>NC_000004.12:2974036-3280533 GCF_000001405.40 Homo sapiens
ACAGGGTCTCGCTATGTTGCCCAGGCTGGCCTCGGACTCCCGGGCTCAAGCGAGCCCACCTAAGCCTCCCCAGTAGCTGGGATTATAGATACACACCACCACACCCGGCTCTCATTTACTCTTTATTTTTCTTCCTTTATTTTTTCCCATAGCACTTATTATTATCTCATATACGTATATTTTACTTGTACTTTGTTCGTCGGGCTTTCTCCCTAAAATTAAGCTTTATAAGAGGAGGAAGTTTTATTTGCTTTGTTCACTGCTGTATTTTTCATGCCTAGAACAGTTCCTGGCACACATTAGATGCTCAGTAAATATTTGTTGAATGAATGAATGAATGTATGAATAGCAGTTAAGATCATGGGCTTTGGAGCCAGCCAGACCTGGGCTTTATATCTCAGTGCCCTCTTTATACTATCTCAACGACGGTGTCAGTTACTTCAGTTTCACTCAAAAACGGTTTATTGTGTGCCAGGCACTAAGCTTGGCTCTAGGGATACAGGGATGAATAAAAACAGATGAATATCTCCTTCTGAGAAGCTGACAGTCATGGAGGAAAGTACTTAGCTCAGGTAATGTGGAGGATCAGACAGGAGGGCTTTATGGTCCAACCCTGGAAGTGGGTACACCCGTTTTTGGTTGTTTTTTATTCTGATAGTTTTGGGGAAACAGTTGGTGTTCTGGTTGCATGGAAAAGTTCTCTAATGGTGATTTCTGAGATTTTGGTGCACCTGTCACCCGAGTGGTACACCTGTTTTATACATTGCTCTGTCACATGGCCACTTTTAACTGCAAAGGGGGCAGAGCCACAGAAGTACTAGCTGGGCAGCCACATCCTGGCAACGACTCTGCATAATGGGAGTGCGTCTTGAGTTGGCATAGGACAGCTGGCTGTCTGTGCCATGTCTGCCCTCTAGCCACCAAATATCCATGCACAGCCTTCTTCCCTTACAGGTATCCTAATCTCCCTTCAAAGACCAGAATGAGGCCGGGCGCGGTGGCTCTCGCCTGTAATCCCAGCACTTTGGGAGGCTGAGGCAGATGGATCATGAGGTCAGGAGATCGAGACCATCCTGGCCAACATGGTGAAACCCTGTCTCTACCAAAAATACAAAAATTAGCTGGGCGTGGTTGCGCGCACCTGTAGTCCCAGCTACTTGGGAGGCTGAGGCAGGAGAATCGCTTGAACCTGGGAGGTGGAGATTGCAGTGAGCCAAGATCACACCACTGCACTCCAGCCTGGCCACAGAGCCAGACTCTGTCTCAAAAAAAGACCGGAAAGACCTCTGCTCTATTTCCTCCATGAGGGCCAGACGTGGCTCCTCAGGATTCCGCAGCCTACATAAAGAACCAAATGATCTTCCCTCCTCATACCTAATATACCGTGGGGGAGCAGAGGCAGGGTGACTATTGTAGAAATTCCCTTTTAGAAAAGGAGGAGCAGGGAGCCCTCAGTAGACACTGGCCCGTCAGCAAAAGGGCCCTGTGCGGGTGGGGAACATTCCTTGATTAGCGCCCAGTTCTGCCCTCACCTGTGTTCACTGTGTCCCATGGCTCCACCCCCAGGACATTTTCCTCCTTGAGCCGGCTAACATGGACAGACAGATGAAACCTCCACAGGTTTCTGGAGCAGTGCAGAGCTTTGCAGACCCACTTCTACGGATTTAAGTTTGTGGGCTTGAAGGTTGTTTCAAGGCTCAAGCAGTTCAAGGCTGTCTTCATCCTGGATCCAAGTTCTTCAGCACTATATTTCTCTCAGAAACATAGTCAGCTTTTGATCTTGTTAAGCTAAATTTATAGGTGGCCATTGGTTTGTACTGAGCTCCTGCACTAGGCCCCAAAAATCAAACCAAAATTGAGTCAGTCCTGCTAAAGTTCCATGTCACCATGCTGAAAGTTGTTTGACCTTTGGAGAAATCAGGAGAGATACATAGTAGCCAAATCCCCAAACAGGCCGGTTTTAGCCAGCATGATAAGGAGGTCCCCTCTGCTTCAACCTTTGCAAGGGGCAAGGAGCAAGGGAAGTAACTCTGAAAGGACTAGTCTGCTTTTTGTTCTCTGTGTCTGCTTGCTTCAGCCCTTTTCTGCCTATAAAACCAAACTCCTCTGTTTAGCTCATTGAAACACTCATTGTTTTCTTTCTCTTTCTCTCTTTCTTTCTCTCTCTTTCCCTCCCTCCTCCTTCCCTTCTTCCTTGTTTTTTTTTCCCTCTCTTTCACAGGCTCTTGTCTGTTGCTCAGGCTGGAATGCAGTGGCGCAGTCATGGCTCACTGCAGCCTTGACCTCCTAGGCTCCAGTGATCCTCCCACCTCAGCCTCCTGAGTAGCTGGGACTACAGGTGCACACCACCATGCCTGAGTAATTTTTTTTTTAGAGATGGGGTCTCAGTATGTTGCCCAGGCTGCATTCTGTTTTTTAGAAGGAGGTGTTGCCCAATTCTAGCATTGCAAATAAAAGCCAACTAGATTCCAATTTGAAATTTGATGTAATTTTGTCCTTTGATGATATGTTTGCTTCCAGCCAGTTCCATGTGCCAGTAGTTGCACCCACCGTTCTTTCCTAGACACATTCTCAAGCTTGAATTTTCTTTCTTTCTTTTTTTTTTTTTTTTTTTTTGGTTTGATACAGAGTTTTGCTCTTGTTGCCCAGGCTGGAGTGCAACGGCATGATCCCAGCTCACCACAACCTCCGCTTCCAGGTTCAGGTGATTCTCCCGCCTCAGCCTCCCAAGTAGCTGGGATTGCAGGCACATGCCACCACGTCCGGCTAATTTTGTATTTTTAGTAGATACAGGGTTCCTCCATGTTGGTCAGGCTGGTCTCAAACTGCCGACCTCAGGTGATCTGTCCACCCCGGTCTCCCAAAGTGCTGGGATGACAGGCGCGAGCCACCGCACCCGGCCGAATTTTCTTTCTTTCAAGTCTCTACTCCCCAGATTAGTTGGGGGCTGTCTTGAGGCAGCAGTATGGGTGGGAAAACCACACCCCTGATCTGCTTGCTGCACAGAGCTGAGTTTTTATCTGCTTTTGTCTTTCAAAGCCTTTTCCAGTCTTATTTTCCACTGTTTGGGGGTCCAGGAACAGGCGGCCTTTCATACTCTCTAAAGGCCCAAATTTCTGGTCTGTTTGCACTTTTTTTTTATTGCTGCTTACAAAGCCAGCAATTCTTGCTTGAGCTCCCTTCCCCAGCAAAATACCTTCCTCGGTATGATGAGTAACAGCGCATACTACTGCTGTTTGACCTGTTTGCTAGAGCGTGGGGCTCTCCAAGCACTTGGTCTGTGTGTGCTGCCTCTTGAGTTATCATCACAGACAACACTGAACTAAATGTGTTGCTGCTACTGAATAACGCAGAGCTCCGGCTGCTACGCCTACTGCTAGACCATCTGTTTACCCAGGGTTTTTTATTAGGTTAATATTTCCCTCTAGATACTGACATCTGTATCAGTTAAACTGATACTTGCTGCTGTAACAGGTAAACCTTAAAATCTCTGTTGTTTGTGGAGCAATAAGAATAGAATTTATTTTTCATTTCCATAAAAGCCACGTTGAGGGCGGTCAGGGAGGGAGTGGGTGAGTAGACTGTGCTTTGTGCAGTCATTGAGGATTCCAGGCTGGCAGAAGTTCTGAGTCATCAGCACATGGCTCCCAAGATCCTCCTGTGGATCTCGGTCCATCTACGAAACAAAGAAGCGAGAGAGCACGGAGAACCGTGTGGGAGATTCTTCCAGGCCAGGCGTGGAAGTGGCATAAACACTTCTGTCCACATTCTGTTGTCCAGATCACAGTCAGATGGCCCCCCTCCCCACAGGGGACTGGGAAATGTCCCTCATTGGGCTGCCACTTCCCAGCAGCAGCTCTGTTGTGACTATTAGGAGTTCACTATATATTCTGATTACTCATCCCTTATCAGGTATATAATGTGCAAATGTTTTCCCCCATTCCATGGGCTTATGAAGTTCATTTTGCCTATTTTTTCTTTTGTAACATGAGCCTTTGGTGCCCTGACTATATCTCTTTTGACAATAAAATATTTTCCTTCTTTTTTACAGCTAAAATTGAGAATAAACTAGGTTTTATAGAAATTCCTAAAAGTCAGTTGCTGTATTAATCTATCCTAAAGATCCATATTGAGTGGGAAGAAAAAGGGAAAACAACTTTCATCTTTAAAATTACTTTATGTAGAAGGTTCTTGGTTATCTCATAGACTGTGGCTTCACACATTAAGCTAATTGATAATATGCTAAGTTTTTAAGAATCTTTTAAAAACTTGGTCTGATAGGATTCTGTAATTGAGCTAATCGATTCTATTGTCAATCTAAAAAAAGATATCAGAGAAAAATATCTCTGAATTTAATGAATGAATTAGGGAGTAAGCAAAGAGGATTATAATTTGGGATGCACAGCCATGGCGAGCCACAGGTGCACCCGAAAAGGGGAAAGGAAGAGGAAGCTTTTATTTGGCAGACAGGGAGAGGTTCACATAAGCTGCTTGGAAACAGAGTTCACTGGTTCCAGAGGCTCAAAATCGTAGTTGGCATCAGTTCTGTGGTGGAGATGCCACTAGGGGGCAGGTGTTCTTTCAAGAGCATCTTATCTCAATTGCTGCCGTCCTAAAAAAAGTCCAGGCCAGGCAAGGTGGCTCATGCTTGTAATCCCAGTTGTTTGAGAGGCTGAGGCAGGAGGGTCGATTGGGCCCAGGGGTCTGAGACTAGCTTGGGCAACATGGCAAGATCTCTTCTCTACAAAAGCTTTTTAAAAAAATAGCCATGTGTGGCCAGGCACAGTGGCTCATGCCTGTAATCCCAGCACTTTGGGAGGCCGAGGTGGGCGGATCTCCTGAGTTCAGGAGTTCGAGACCAGCCTGGCCCACATGCTGAAACCCCGTCTCTTACTGAAAATACACAAATTAGGCTGGGCACGGTGACTCACGCCTGTGATCCCAGCACTTTGGGAGGCCAAGGCAGGCGGATCATGAGGTCAGGAGATCGAGACCATCCTGGTTAACGTGGTGAAACACCGTCTGTAAATACAAAAAAATTAGCCAGGCATGGTGATGGGCGCCTATAGTCCCACCTACTTGGGAGGCTGAGGCAGGAGAATGGTGTGAACCCAGGAGGTGGAGCTTGCAGTGAGCCGAGATCGCGCCATTGCACTCCAGCCTGGGCAACAGAACGAGACTCCGTCTCAAAAAAAAAAACAAAAAAAAACCCCACAAATTACCTGGGTGTGGTGGCAGGCGCCTGCAATCCCAGCTATTCTGGAGGCTAAAGTGGGAGAATCACCTGAACCCAGGAGGTGGAGGTTGCAATCATCTGAGATGGTGCCACTGCACTCCAACCTGAGTGACAGAGGGAGACTCTGTCTCAAAAAAAAAAAAAAAAAAAAAAAGAGTGGCCAGGCACGGTGGCTCACGCCTGTAATCCCAGCACTTTGGGGAGGCCGAGGCGGGCGGATCACCTGAGGTCAGGAGTTCGAGACCAGCCTGACCAACATGGAGAAACCCTGTCTCTACTAAAGATACAAAATTAGCCGGGCGTGGTGGCACATGCCTGTAATCCCAGCTACTCAGGAGGCTGAGCCAGGAGAATTGCTTGAACCCAGTAGGCGGAGGTTGTGGTGAGCCAAGATCACACCATTGCACTCCAGCCTGGGCAACAAGAGTGAAACTCCGTCCCCCTACCCCCCCAAAAAAAATCCATGTGTGGTGGTGCATGCTTGTGGTCCCAGCTGCTGAGGAGGCTGAGGTAGCTGGATCTCTTGAGTCCAGGAAGTCAAGGCTGCAGTGAGACTTGCATTCTGCATTCTAGCCTGGGTGACAGAGCAAGACCCTATCTCAAAAAAGAAAAAAAATGGTCCAGTGTACCTGGTCTCAGAAATACCTGCATATGTGCCAAATGTAGGTTGTGAAAAGCATGAAATGCATGAAGGATGTGAAAGAATTTCTTGTGGGGTTATTTTAGACACTCCTCCTAATGGTTCTTATCTCAGACATGTAAGCAAGAACCCTTCTTTGTGCCTTCCCAGCTCCAAGTTTCTTTGGGTCTGACAAGAGTGCTTTCATCCTGTTAGGACCAGCTGCCTGACCCTCCACAGGGTACCCAGAGCCTGGACAGTGCCTGGCACACTGGACATGGACAGCAGATGTCTTCTCAATAAATAATTTGTTAGCCAGGATTCACAGTATGGAAGGATGACTGGGGCTGCCATGGCCACCCAGCCTCCCTGGAGCCTTCACTGCCTGGAGCTGGCTGGGAGTGGCAGCAGCCAGGATGAAGAGGAAAGCCTAGCACCTTGACTTGTTTCCCTCATCATCCAAGATGGGAACCCGGGAACCAGTCTTCAGTGGGAATCTTCTGTCGATGTAGGAAACATACCCTAAAGGGGAAGGGAAGGAACACTGAACCCCACTCATGGGCCTGGTACCTTTCTATACAAGTTATCCTATTTAATCTCCACAACAAGCCTACTAGATGCTGAGATCTCAATGTGCAAATACCCCAGAACAGCACCTAGATGAGGCACAGGGACTCACTGGAAGCCTTGTCTTCCTTGGGCCCATCTGTGAGGAGCAGAACAGCTCACCTCTTGCCTGACAGGCTAGTCCTGGGTAATGCATCCAGCCTACCTCTTGTTGCCACCCTACCCCACCGTCAGTGCCACATACCCGTGAACACAAACCCACTGGGGCTGAGCGGCTGTGCCACTGTCACAGGATCCTTAGGGTGTCACTTCACCAGCTGGAGACTTCTGTGGCCAGTGGCGGCTTTACCTGAGTTTTGCTTGGGCCCACTGGGCTCCTTCCACCCACTTGGCCTGGCAGGCTGTGCTTGTCTTTCACTACTGGTCCAGATCCCATGCCTGCCAAGGGCAAGCCAGGTGCAGAGCAGCAAGGGTTGCATGAGCAAATGAGTGTGGGGTCTGGCCATTGGGCACAGCCAGGCATGCCAGCTGTGGCAGGGCAGGCAGCTCCAGGCACAGGCGCTGGTTACCTGCTGTGGCTGTGGCTAGACCAAGCGTACTGCAAGCAGCTGCCACTGTGGGTGCCAGGGAATGCGGTGGCGCCCAGAAGCTTGGAGACTTCAGGAACCACAGAGCTTCAAAGAGGGTGTCACAGCCTTGGCTGGGGGAGGTCCTAAGTCTCGGCTCCCCAAGGGGCCACAGCTCTTATCTCCTCTCTTCTCTCCTTCTCATCACCCACAACGTGGTGAGTTGGGGGGTGTGCTTCAGCCTGTTTGTATTACAGCTCTTTCAGTCCCACCATTCAGTGGGTCCCAAGTTCTTGTCCCATGTCCAGGAAGAATGAGGTACACAGACAACTGGAGGGTAAGCAAGAAGAGGTGCTTTATTGAGTGACAGTACAGCTCTCAGGAGACCCAAAATGGGTAGCTCCTTTCTGCAGGCAGATCATCCCATCGTCTGTGCAGCCCTCAGAGGAGAGGAGACCTGGAGTGGGTAGCTCCTATCTGCAGGCAGGTTGTCCTGATGAGTATACAGCCCTCAGTGGAAAGGAGACCCACAGTGGGTAGCACCTCTCTGCAGGCAGGTTGTCCTGTTTTCTGCCCAAGTCTGGCTGAGTCTGGGGTTTTTATAAGCTTCAGAGGGGAGGAAGTACATGCTGATTGGTCCGTGGGCGGGCCCAGAAAAACCACCATAAGTTCTCACTCCAGTCTGCAGAACTGGCAGCCCGGCTGTCAGGCTTCAGTCTATCCCTGGCTTGAAGGTGAGGTTTCACTGGGGACCCTGCCCCTTTCTACCCAGGAGCCTGTCTGCCTCCTGCCCTTGTTCATGGTGCCCTGGCTGTTTGTGTGCCCTGGCCTGCACTGAGCTGAACTCAGCCACGCCTTGGCCTCCCTGCCATGCTCATTGGTGTCCAAAGTCTGGAGGGGGCTGAGGTGGCAGGTGGCTGGTGTGTCAGCACCGCCCCTATCGTGCACACACCTGGCTGGGTTGTGACAGTGCCTGGGCTCAGCCACAACTTTGATCCAAAATCGGAGCAGGTGCCAGGAGCAGTGAGAGGCCAGTCAGTGGGAACAGGCACTTCTGAGCCTGCAGGGGCAGGGGGGCTTCCTGGGCTCCTGAGAGCACAGGGATGCCCAGGTCAGCAGCTGTGGCTGGGTGGCTGCAGCTGCTCCCAGTAGTGTGGGGCTCCTGCCCCACCAACCTGGAAGGGGGTAGGGCTCCCACCTGTTCCTGGCTTCCGCCGGCACTGGCCACTGCTGCCAGCACCACCTCATCCAGGCCCTGCCTGCCTCGCTGCTTGGATCCTGGGAAGGTGGAAGCACTGGTTCTAAGCCTACAGGCAGTGTCAGGCTTAGGAAAGGAAGGACATAGCAGCCAGGCTGCCATGTTTCTTGCTAGTTACTTGAGTAGTGTAAAGTTGGGAGAAGCCAGGGAACAAGAGAAAGCAGAGATAGTGAAATATGAATAAGACCAAGAGGGACTTGTTCTCTGCTCAATGATTCAGCAGCTTGGGCACAGAAGCACCACTGAAGATGTAAGCCATGTCTCAGGGCACTTGTAGATCATGCTTGTTTTCCACTTGTGGAATCTAGAGGGCAAAATACTGCATCAGGCAAGTGACAGCTCAGCTCTGTACTCCTTTAAGAGGTCAGATAAAAATGGCATATCCCAAAGAACAGTTCTTATTTCAACTGAAGGGAGAACCAGCAATAACCCTGAAAAAAATAACCCATAACCAAAGATGATAGCCTTTTTTCAGTGCCTACTGCTTCTCTGGAATGAGTTTCTGTGTTCTCTGTGAAGGGACAGGAGGAACAGGTCACCCTTTCCCCACCCTTCAGTGACATAGGACATGGCTGTCACTGACACAGCACTTGACATATTCTCTGGCATTGGCAGGTGGTTGTTACATGTTTATTAAATAAACAAATCTTAACAGAAAGAAAAAATGTGGACTGGATTTGAGGGGGAAGATTATGAGTCTAGGGTGAACATGTTGAATGCCAGGTGCTCTGGACATCTTGTGGTGTGGGACGTGAGTCCAGAGCTCATGATCTCAGTTGAAATATTGAGTAGGGGGAGTAGAAGAGCAAAACTAAGGCTGAGGAAGAAGCTCTTACATCTTTGATGGTTTTCTTTTTTGCAGATATCAAGTCTGTATCTCTAGCCGAGCCTCTTCTGAGCTCATCCCAGTCTACCCATCTTCCAAATGTCTGTCTCTTACAATTTTCCACACTCACCGTATTTAAGACAGAGCTCATCGTGTTCCAAGGAAATGTGGCTTTTGCCCTGGTTTCCTAATTCTTCCAAATGGTCCTGGAGTCTTAGTCACCCAGCCTAAGCCATTATGTTCTCCTGGATAAAATTCAGTAAAATTTTAGCTGCCCAGAAGGCTTGAGATTGAAGATGCTCATTTCTCTGAGTTGAATTAAAGAAAAAATGGTGCTTGTTTAAAAGATCTTTCTGAAGTATTATAGTGTAGCCTTTTCCATCATTCTGGTTTCACCATGGGATGCTCTTCTCCCAGCACTTGCCAAGACTCTGCCACTCACATCCTTCAGGCCTCTGCCTAAATGTGACCCCTGTAGGGAGGTCTTCTCTGATCCTACCTTAGTCAAAACAGCACCTTCCACCTTTACCCTGCTTGATTTTGTTTCATATTTATCACTATATGATTAGCATTTTTTTCTTATCTCTTATCATTATCTGATTTGTGCACCTGTCTCCCTGTATTAGTCCATTTTCACACTGCTGTGAAGATACTACCTGAGACTGGGTAATTTATAAATAAAAGAGGTTTAATTGACTCACAGTTCTGCATGGCTAGAGGGGCCTCAGGAAACTTACAATCATGGTGAAAAGCGAAGGGGAAGCAAGGCACGTCTTACATGGTGGCAGGAGAGAGAGAGGGGGAGAGAGAGCACAAGGGAAACTGCCACTTTTAAAACCATCAGATCTCATGAGAACTCCCTCATTATCGCAGGACAGCATGGGGAATCCGTCCCCACGATCCAATCACGGGACTCCCACCTGGTCCCTCCCTCGACATGTGGGTATTATAATTTGAGATGAGATTTGGGTGGGGACACAGAGCCAAACCATATCACTCCCTCACTTAGAATGCGAGGGAGGGACTTGGTCTTTTTTACCATCATATGCCTAGTGCTTTGAAGGTTTTTGGTACATAGTAGATGCTCAATAAATATTTCTTTGATAAATACTTATAAGCAGCCCTGAACAATATGTCATGTTAGATCTTGTTTACAGATTTGGAAACTGAGGCTCACCATGGCTTCTAAATGGCAGAGCTAGTGACAGATTGCTTCCCTTGGGAATTTTATACTTCATCAAGCAGCTTTCCAGATAAGACAAATTATTATAAGCATGTATTTTTATTCATGATAGGTACCCAAACCACTCAAACAGAAATGTTAAGATATATTGGTGGAAGTAGTTGTTATAATTGGATATTTCTGACTGTTAAAGGAAATTGCCTTTTTTCTCCCAAATTCAGGAGGATATGGCAAAAAAAGTGGTCGTAGTAAAAAATGGAAGGAGATACTGACACTGCCTCCTGTCAGCCAGTGCAGTGAGCTTAGACATTCCATTGGTGAGTAAATAGTGCCTACTAATGCTTGGATGGTACATCTGGCATGATACCATTCATTAGATGTTATTCTTTCTTGAGTTCCATGTTTGTTTCAAACATTTTATGATAAATTCTCCTTATATCTTCATGATTCCTCTCAGGAAAAAAAATCCTTTAGATTTTCTGATCTGCAGTTATAAAGTTGGCTGTTGACTTTTTCATTAAAAATATATATTTTTTATAGAGGTGGGGTCTCACCATGTTGCCCAGGCTGGTCTTAAACTCCTGAGCTCAAGCAGTCTGCCCACCTTGGCCTCCCAAAGTGCTGGGATTACAGGTGTGAGCCACTATGCCCGCTCCCCATTAGAAACATTTTTTACAAGTAATATATATACTCATTGTTCTATACATTACTGAAGAAAAAGTAAAAATTCCTCTCCCCATGACCGAGCCAATTATTGTCTGTAGAAGAAACACTGTTAAGTATTGTTTAGTAGCCTTCCAGACAGTTTTCTATGCACGTTTTAAAAAATTATTGAGCCAGGCCGGGCGCAGTGGCTCACGCCTGTAATCCCGGCACTTTGGGAGGCCGAGGTGGGCGGATCACGAGGTCAGGAGATCGAGACCACGGTGAAACCCCGTCTCTACTAAAAATACAAAAAAATTAGCTGGGTGCGGTGACGGGTGTGTGTAATCCCAGCTGCTTGGGAGGCTGAGGCAGGAGAATGACGTGAAACCGGGAGGCGGAGCTTGCAGTGAGCCGAAATCACACCACTGCACTCCAGCCTGGGGAACAGAGCAAGACTCTGTCTCAAAAAAAAAAAAAAAAATTATTGAGCCAGGCATGGTGGCACATACCTGTAGGTGCACCTACTTAGGAGGCTGAGGCAGGAGGATCCCTTGAGCCCAAGAGGTTGAGTCTAGCCTGGGCAACATAGTGAGACCTGTCTTGAGAAAAAAAATTAATGAGGGAAAGAAAGAAAAAAGAAAAGAAAAATTTCTAATGATCTTCAGGAAAGGATTAGTCAGATAAAAATATGGTATATCAGTGTAACAGAATACTCTGCAACTGTAAAGAATGAGAGTTAGCTACAGGTCCTAACATGAGCCTAAGGAGTCAGATACAGAAGGCCGGGTGTGGTGGCTCACGCCCGTAATCCCAGCACTTTGGGAGACTGAGGTGGGCGGATCACGAGATCAGGAGATCGAGACCATCCTGGCTAACACGGTGAAACTCCGTCTCTACTAAAAATACAAAAAAATTAGCTGGGCGAGGTGGCGGGCGCCTGTAGTCCCAGCTACTTGGGAAGCTGAGGCAGGAGAATGGTGTGAACCTGGGGAGCTTGGAGATCCCACCACTGCACTCCAGCCTGGGTGACAGAACAAGACTCCGTCTCAAAAAAAAAAAAAAAAAAAAGAAGTCAGATATAGAATCATGTCTATAGAGCAATCATAACTGTATTTTTTAACAATAGAATTTTCAGTTCAAAGGGTACATGCATTTAAAATTTTGATATTGCTAAATCACTGCCAAAAAGATTGTATCAATTTACCTTTCTGTCAACAGTATGTAACAAACTTTCTTTGTGATGCCTTTGCTAATACTGGTTGTTGTCAGTATTTTTAATATTTGCTAAACTGCAATTTGAAAAATGGTTTCTTTTCTCGATTATGGATGGGGTAGAACATTTCCTTTTTTTTTTTCAATGTTTCCTTTTTCTTTTCTAATTCATTTATAAAAGTTCTTTAT
This sequence comes from Homo sapiens, assembly GCF_000001405.40. Taxonomy (NCBI): domain Eukaryota; kingdom Metazoa; phylum Chordata; class Mammalia; order Primates; family Hominidae; genus Homo; species Homo sapiens. Next base: position 2,986,338 of record NC_000004.12, read on the forward strand.
ATATAAAAGGTGTTATCTTTTTTTTTTTTTTTTTTTTTGAGACAGAGTCTCGCTGTGTCGCCAGGCTGGAGTGCAATGGCATGATCTCGGCTCACTGCAAGCTCCGCCTCCCAGATTCAAGTGATTCCCTGCCTCAGCCTCCCAAGTAGCTGGGACTACAGGTGCCCACCACCACGCCCGGCTAATTTTTGTATTTTTAGTAGAGACTGGGTTTCACCAGGTTGGCCAGGATGGTCTCAATTTCTTGCCCTTGTGATCCGCCCACCTCAGCCTCCCAAAGTGCTGGGATTACAGACCTGAGCCACCGCGCCTGGCCCTCAGTGTCTTTTTTTCATACAGAAGTTTTAGTATTTTTATAGAGACAAATATATCAGTCTTTTCCTGGTTAGCTTCTGAGCTTTGTGTTATCTGTAGGAAGGACACATTTATTCCAAGATTATTTTTACAAACCAATCCATCTTTCCTTTAGTACTATTGTAGTTCCTTTTAAAGAAAGATGATGAAGTATTATATTTATAAAAATTAGTTTCAGGTGGTATAAAGGAGCTAGTATTTCCCTCATTGTTGTAACCCCCCCATTGTTTTAACTCCACTGAGTATTTTAAATAACTGCTTCTTGAAGATATAATTCATATGCCATACAACTTATCCATTTAAAGTATATAATTCAATAGTTTTTAATATATTGAGTTGTGAAACCATCACCACAGTCAATTTGACAGCATTTTCAGCACCCCAAAAAGAAACGCCACACCCATTGATAGCCACTCCTGACTCCTTCCTGCCCGCTACCTCCAGAGCTAGACAACTACAAATCCACTTTCTGTCTATGTCTTTGCCTGTTCCAGACATTTCATATAAATGGGAATCATAAACTATGTGGTCTTTTGTGACAGGCTTTTTTTACGTAGCATAATGTTGTCAAAGTACTTCATCCTTTTTTGTTGGTGAATAATATTCCATTATATGGATATATCACATTTTATTTAGCCATTCATCAGTTAATAGACATTTGAGTTGTTTTCTACTTTTGCCTGTTATGAATAATGCTGCTATGAATATTCATGTACTAGGCTTTTAAAAAATGATGATAAAATATACATAACAAAAATTACTGTTTGAAATGTACAGTTCGGTGGCATTGAGTTGGATATTGCGTGGACATACCACATTTTGCTTATCTGTTCATCTGTTGATGGACATTGGGTTGTTCCAAGTTTTTGGCTGTGTGAATAGTGTTGCTGGGAACATTGGTGTGCAAATACCTGTTTGAGTCCGTGCTTTCACTTGTTTTGTGTATGTACTCAGAAGCAGAATTGTTGGCCAGGCGCAGTGGCTCACGGCTGTAATCCCAGCACTTTGGGAGGCTGAGGTGGGTGGATCACTTGAAGTCAGCAGTTCGAGACTAGCCTGGCCAACATGGTGAAACCTGTTTCTACTAAAATTACAAAAATTGGGCCAGGCGCCATGACTCATGCCGGTAATCTCAGCACTTTGGCAAGCCAAGGCAGGTGGATCATCTGAGGTCAGGAGTTTGAAACCAGCCTGGCCAACATAGTAAAACCACATCTCTACTAAAAATACAAAAATTACTTGGGTGTGGAGGCATGTGCCTATAATCCAAGGTACTCAGGAGGCTGAGGCATGAGAATTGCTTGAACCCGGGAGGTAGAGGTTGCAGTGAGCTGAGATTATGCCACTGCACTCCAGCCTGGATGACAGAGTGAGGCTCTGTCTCAAAAAAAAAAAAAAAAAAAAAAAAGAAGTAGAATCATATGGTAATTCTGTGTTTAACTTTTTGAGGAACGCCAGACTCTTCCAAACCACTGCCCTGTGTTACATTCCCAGTAGCAATGTGTTCAGTTGCTTCACATCTTTCCCAACGCTTTTGATTTTCCTCTTTATTTTTCATTGAATCTAATCCTAGTGGGTATGAAGTATCTTACTGTGTTTTGATTTGCATTTCTCTAATGAATAATGATGTTGAGCATATTTTCATGTGCTTATGGGTCATTTGTAAACTTTTAGAGAAATGTCTGTTCCAATCTTTTATCCGTTTTAAAAATTGGATTGTCTTTTTGTTGTTGAGGTATAAGATTTCTTTCTATGTTCTAGATATTAGATGCTTAACAGATAAGCAGGAGAATCGCCTGAACCCGGGAGGCAGAGGCTGCAGTGAGCGGAGATTGTACCGCTGCCCTCCAGCCTGGGCGACAGAGGAGGGAGACTGTCTGAAACAAACAACAACAACAACAACAAGATGAAAATAATACGGCAAATACTGTTCTTGACTTTTACTGTATCGAGTGAGAACTGTAAGGCTTAGAACAGCATGTGGTGGACTGTAATGATTCTATTTGTTTGCTTCTTATCCCTTTGCTTCACCCAGAAAAGGATTATAGCAGTCTTTGTGACAAGCAACCGATAGGAAGACGTCTCTTCAGGCAGTTCTGTGATACCAAACCCACTCTAAAGAGGCACATTGAATTCTTGGATGCAGTGGTGAGCAGTTTATCTCCATATTGAGCAACCACCCAATCTTATGCTTTTGAAAATGTAAAAACTTGGCCAGGCGCAGTAGCTCATGCTGTAATCCCAGCATTTTGGAAGGCTGAGGCGGGCGGATCATGAGGTCAGGAGATCGAGACCATCCTGACCAACACAGTGAAACCCGTCTCTACTAAAATACAAAAAGTTAGCCGGGCGTGGTGGCGCGTGCCTGTAGTCCCAGCTACTTGGGAGGCTGAGGCAGGGGAATCACTTGAACCAGGAGGCGGAGGTTGCAGTGAGCCGAGATCGCACCACTGCCTTCCAGCCTGGGCGACAGAGCAAGACTCCGTCTCAAAAAAAAAGAAAATGTAAAAACTAGACCTGGGCAATGATGTAGGAGTGGAGGGACTGGTTGTCTTGGTGTCATATTATCTTATTAGGACAGAAATCCCTTTAGTCTGAAGTGGTATTTTGTGTAGAATTACGTCTCAAGTGTTGGAGAATCACATGTAGTCATTGAATGACTTTGAAACTTGAGGCTTGAATTGTATGAAGATGACAAACTAATTAAGATGATAATGCTTTTTTTATTTTTTATTTTTTTGAAATGGAGTCTCTCTCTGTCTCCCAGGCTGGACTGCAGTGGCATGATCTTGGCTTACTGCAACCTCCGCCTCCTGGGTTCAAGCAATTCTTCTGCCTCAGCCTTGTGATCCACCTGCCTTGGCCCCCCAAAGTGCTGGGATTACAGGCATAAGCCACTGTGCCCGGCTCTAAGATGATAGTGCTTGTTCGGCTACCAGAAAAGTGTCCTTTCTGCACTCAACTGGCCAATGCTCTTAACTTAAAAACGCTTTAACCCAGAAGCATATGGAAGGGATAAAGTTTGTGTAAGAAGAATGATCACTTTGGATGGAATTTACTATGCTCAAGAAAGTTTCCAACATTCTCATGTATCCTGTTTGAGATTTACTGTGATTTCCTTATAGGTAAAGAAACTTTATGTTTCTCAGTCTTTGTGGGTACCATTGGGAAGCCTAGACTTTCAAAGCTATGAAATTCAGAAGCAAGTGACCAATAGAAAATTGGTGGAATTTAGCAGAAAATCTCTCTCACTTTTGTACCAGGGTTATGATCCTTCCTCTCTCTGCTTTGGCCTGTCTTAATTGTATCGGCAAATATGTATTGAGTGCTTATTATATGTGGACATATATGTCTTATATCATTGAGTTTGGATTTGATTTTCCTCTAACACAGCTTTTTAAAACTTTAAAATGTATATATATTTATTTATGATATATTCTTTTCAGAAAAACATTTGCGGCTGTTTTGTTGTTTGCTTCCTTCCCTCAGATCTCTCCCAGTCCTTTCCTTTCTGGCACTGTTGCTAGAATAAGGTGATTCTTCTTCTTCTTCTTCTTTTTTTTTTTTTTTTTTTTTTTTTTTGAGACAGAGTTTTGCTCTTGTCCTCCAGGCTGGAGTGCTATGGCGTGATCCCAGCTCACTGCAACCTCCGCCTCCCAGGTTCAAGTGATTCTCCTGCCTCAGCCTCCTGAGTAGCTGGGACTACAGGCATGTGCCACCACACCCAACTAATTTTTGTATTTTTAGTAGAGACGGGGTTTCCCCATGTTGGCTAGGCTGGTCTCAGACTCCTGACCTCAGGTGATCTGCCCGTCTCGGCCTCCCAAAGTGCTAGGATTACAGGCATCAGCCACTGCGCCTGGCCAGTTCTTCTTTTTGAAGACAGAGTTCCAGTATGCTGGGGCATGCTTACTCAGTTTGGGGGATGGAACCCTGGGTGTAAGTTCTCATGTAGTGGGTAATGTTTGCCAAGCTGCTGTATTTTAAGAATTTAGGGACCTACTGTTCTTCCTTACGTTAAAATAGCTAAACTGCATTGTTGAAACTCTGTTTTAGGTTTCAGTCTTCTGATATTGTCATGATACCTGTCGTTATGAGGTGACAGCTATGTGACTGCAGTTACAGGTTATGTTTTTGTTTTTTTGATGGCAGTTGTGTAGGTTCAGAAATAATGTCTGATTGTGCCATTTTGTCACACTTACTGCTTTGACTATCCTCGTGATAGGTGATGACAGGCTCTGTGAGCTTCTCAAGTGAAGGGACTGTGTCTTATTCATTTCCCCCTCATGGCACATGGCATGGTTGTTTGCCCTATTTCTTGCTCATTAAATGAATTAGTGGCATCTGTATCAGTCAGGATTCAACCAGAGAACTAGAACCCATAGGAGGAGATATTAAGAGATTTATTGCAAGGAATTGGCTTACATAATTGTGGGGTCTGGTTAGGAAAGTCTGAAATCTGTAGGGCGGACCGTCAGAAGGGGCATGGTAGGACTCTCCAGTAATGGGCTGAAGCTGCCGTCCTCAGGCAGAATTTCTTCCTCCAGGAAGACTCATCTCTGTTCTTAACACCTTCCAACTGATTAGGTCAGAGCCACCTAGATTATCTAGCATAATCTCCTTCACTTGAAGTCAACTGATTATAAACTTTAATCGTATGTACAAGTACCTTCCCAGCAGCACCTGGATTTATGTTTGAGTGACTAACTGGGGCTCATAGCCTGCCCAGTTGGCATATCGAAGGACCATTGCAGGATCAGACTTGCTTTCTCTTCCATTAATTGCATGCCACACAGTATCCAGAACTCCCAGCACTGAAGTTTGTTTGTTTGTTTTTGAGGCTGAGTCTTGCTCTGTTGCCCAGGCTGGAGTGTAGTAGCATGATCTCGGCTCACTGCAACCTCCGCCTCCTGGGTCCAGGCAATTCTTCCTGCCTCAGCCTCTTGAGTAGCTAGGATTACAGGTATGCGCCACCACACCCAGCTAATTTTTGTAATTTTAGTACAGACGGGTTTTCACTATGTTGGCCAGGCTGGTCTCCAACTCCCAGCCTCAGATGATCTGCCTGCCTCGGCCTCCCAAAGTGCTGTGGTTACAGGCATGAGCCACTGCTCCCGGCCCTGAGATATCTTTAATGGATACAATGTAATATGGCATACAGAGTATTATGGGAAGTATTGCTCTAAAACTTCATTAACCTCCTTTAAAAAACTGACTTCTTCCGCCTCATACACCTTACTTTCCCAAAGAAGAGCTGTAGACTCTTGATCAGTAGAGTTGGTCTGTGACTCTGAGGATATCAAACCAAATAATTTGAAACATAATGAAACATTGTTGGTGAAGAAGCTTAACTTTTTTTTTTTTTTTTAAGAGATGGGATCTCGCTATGTTGCTCAGGCTGGCCTCGAACTCTTGAGCTCAAGTGATCCTCCCAACCTCAGCGTCCCAAGTGGCTGGAACTACAGGTATGCACCACCACACCCAGCTTAACTGTTCTTTCTTTTCTTCCATCTCTCCAATCAGGCAGAATATGAAGTTGCCGATGATGAGGACCGAAGTGATTGTGGACTGTCAATCTTAGATAGATTCTTCAATGATAAGGTGTGTTTTCTTCTTTAGAATAAAAATTTGTAGATAAATAATTAGAGTGCATAGCCATTTTTACTTTGTTAGATAAGACGTAACATATGTTAAAAGCTTTAATTTGGCTGGGTGTGATGCCTGACGCCTGTAATCCCAGCACTTCGGGAGGCTGAGGAAGGAGGATCTCTTTAGCCCAGGAGTTCGAGATCAGCATGGCCAACATAGTGAGACCATCTCTACAAAAAAATAAACAAAAAAACTAGCTGGACATGGTGGTGTGCATCTGTAGTCCCAGCTACTTGGGAGGTGAGGTGGGAGGATCGCTTGAGCCCAGGAGATTGAGGTGGCTGTGAGCCAAGGTCATGCCACTGCATTCTAGCCTGGGTGACAGAGCAAGACCCTGTCTTAAAAAAATAAAAAGTAAGGCCAGGCACAGTGTTTCATGCCTGTAATCTCAGCACTTTGGGAGGCCGAGGCAGGCAGATCGCTTGAGCTCAGGAGTTCAAAACCAACCTGGGCAATATGGCAAAACCGCATTGCTACAAAAAAGAAAAAAAAAATTAGCTAAGCATGGTGGCGTGCACCTGTGTTCTCAGCTACTTGGGAGGCTCAGGTGGGAGGACTGCTTGAGCCCAGGAGGTCAAGGCTGCAGTGAGCTGGGATCATACTGCTATGCTCTAGCCTGGACAAGAGAGTAAGACCCTGTCTCAAAACTACCTCCCAACATCAATTAATTAATCTTTAAAAAGCTTGAATTTATTATAAATGTTCCTCTTTTGCATTTTGTTTGATGTCATGAGGAAACTAACAATTAGATCTCTTAGAAAATTGATTCAGTGTATTTAAAGTTTCAGAATATAGAGTTGGAGAATTTTATTTGTCTCTCTTGGACTAAAAATAACATTTTTTCCTAAAAGCTTTAATGGGTCTTAGCTTTTATGCTTTTGACTTACTTGGTTCTTGTAGTTCAGTATGTCACTGAAATTAGAGCTGTAACCTGCTTCCTTTCATGTGACTTCTGTTAGAAGTCCTCAATTCTGGGCAGGGCCCTATATTGTAAGGATGGAAGGAGAAAAGGAACAACAGGGATAGCAAACATGTAATTAACACTGCTCTAGGCCAGGTGTGGTGGCTCACGCCTGTAACCCCAGCACTTTGGGAGGCTGAGGCGGGTAGATCACTTGAGGTCAAGAATTCGACACAGGCCTGGCCAATATGGTGAAACCCTGTCTCTACTAAAAATACAAAAATTAGCCAGGCGTGGTGGTGCATGCCTGTAATCCCAGCTAATAGGGAGGCTGAAGCATGAGAATCACTTGAACCTGGGAGGTAAAGGTGGCAGTGAGCTGAGATCGTGCCACAGCACTCTAGCCTGGTCAACAAGCGAGACTCTGTCTCAAAACAAAACAAACAAAAAAACACAAAAAAATCACTGCTCTAACATGTAATACATTATGTAATTATCACAACAAACCTATGAGGTAGATACTATTCTCAAGTCTATTTTCATATGATAAGACTGAAAATCAGTGACTAAGTGACTTACCCAAGGTTACACACCTAGTAAGTGTCAGAACCAGGAATCGAACATGTGGAGAATGGAATTAGTGAATAGTGTGGTGAGAATGAGTTCAAAATATTTGGATTTGAAACATAGCCAACTGGATATAGGGCCATCATCTTAGGGGAGCTTCGTTGTACAAAAAATAGAGTGCCAGAGGGGATGGCCAGCAGGACCATCTAGCAGCACAAAGATACATAGCAGTGGGTGTCAGAGGTGTGATTCAGACCCTAATGAGTTTTCTACCCCAGCCTCCAGCCTTACAGATTACTCTCTCAAACACAGCTGTTACAACATGAGCATATTTGTAGGTACCCCCAGGACACTAGTTAGAATGAGTAGAAGTTTCATTTATCTAGTTCTAATTTTTATTTTTATTTTTTTCCCTTTTTTGAGATAGCACCTTGCTCTGTTGTGCAGGTTGGAGTGCAGTGGCACGATCTTGGCTCACTGCAGCCTCTGCCTCCCGGGTTCAAGTGATTCACATGCCTCAGCCACCTGGGTAGCTTGGATTACAGGTGTGCACCACCACACTTGGCTACTTTTTATATTTTTAGTACAGACGGGGTTTTGCCATATTGGCCAGGCTAGTCTCGAACTCCTGGCCTCAAGTGATCTGCCTGCCTCGGCCTCCCAAATTGTGGGGATTACAGGCGTGAACCACTACACCCGGCTCCATTTATCTAGTTATTATTCTTTTTAAATTAGCTCCCTTTTCTTTCTTCACCTCTTCTGAAGAAATACCCATATAGCAAGGGAGGGCATCAAGAAGAAAGAAATAATTATAAAGAAAAACAAAAGAAAAAATTTAAAAATGAATCATGGTAGATATAGCAAATGTGGAAGAGGAGGGAAGGGGAGGTTATACATGTGTGGCTTGGTGCCTTAGTCTGTTTTGTGCTGCTGTAATAGAATGCCAGAGACTGGGTAATTTATGTATTTATTTATTTTAACTTCTATTTTAAGTTCGGGGGTACATGTGCAGGTTTGTTACGTAGGTAAACTTGCATCATGGGGTTTGTTGTACAGATTATTTCATCACCCAGGTATTAAGCTTAGCACCCTTTAGTTATTTTTCTTGATCTGCTCCTTCCCCACATCCCCCATCCTCCAATAGGCCCCATTGTGTGGTGTTTCCCTCTGTGTGTCCATGTGTCCTCATCATTTAGCTCCCACTCTTAAGTAAGAATATGTGGTATTTGGTTTTCTGTTCCTGTGTTAGTTTGCTAAGGATAATGGCCTCCAGCTCCATCCATGTTCTTGCAAAGAACATGATCGTTCTCTTTTTTACGGCTGCATAGTATTCCATAGTGTATATGTACCCCATTTTCTTTATCCGGTTTATCATTGATGGGCATTTAGGTTGATTCCATGTGTTTGCTATTGCAAATAGTGTTGCAATGAACATATGCGTGCATGGAGACTGGGTAATTTATAATAAAAAGAAATTTCTTGGCTCACAGTTTTAGAGGCTAGGATGCCCAGTTCAAGGTGTTGTTGACCTAAAATGAAGAAGCTGAGACACAAAATGTAATTTAAAGAGTTTACTTGGACCAGGTGCTGTGGCTCACGCCTGTAATCCCGGCACTTTGGGAGGCCGAGGCGGGCAGATCACCTGAGGTTAGGAGTTCGAGACCAGCCTGGCCAACATGGTGAAACCTCATCTCTACTAAAAAAAAAAAAAAAAAAAAAAAAATTAACTGGATGTGGTGGTGCATGCCTATAATCCCAGCTCCTTGGGAGGCTGAGGTAGGAGAATCACCTGAACCTGGGAGGCGGAGGTTGCAGTGAACCAAAATTGTGCCACTCCAACCTGGGTGATAAAGTGAGACTCCTTCTCAAAAAAAAAAAAGAGTTTACTTGAGCTAAAGTAAAGACAGCTGCGTGGGACACACTTCCAAGTTGCCTTGGGAAGTGCTCTACTGGCCTTGGTTACTGGCAGGGTTTTAAAGGCAAAGGGAACAAGGAGTGAGCTGATACAATGTTGTTTGACCCGAATTCTCACTGGTTTAAGAGAGAACAATGATCCACTGATCATTGGCTATATATTGTTGAACTACAGAGTGAGAATATAAGTTATGGTGTCCAGTATATGGCATTTATGGATACTTGGCATCAGTCTAGGGACCACTAGCAAGTGGCTTCAAGAAGTAATTATTTAGCTCAAGGGGGAGTGAGTCATGACTGTTCTGGGCCTGATAATTCGAAGGGGCTCACATTCCTCAGATAAAAACCTTTTTTTTTTTTCCCCCTTCTTAATGCCAGCATCTGGCAAGGGCCTTCTTGCTGCATCATCACTTGGTGGAAGTGGAAAGAGAGGGATTGCTTGCACACATGTCTGAGCATGTGGACACAAAAGGGGGCAAACCTACTCCAGGGATAACAAGATAAGGGCACTAGTCCCTTCATGAAGGTGGAACCTCTTAAATGCCTCTTAGGCCGGGCGCGGTGGCTCACGCCTGTAATCCCAGCACTTTGGGAGGCTGAGGCAGACGGATCACCTGTGGTCAGAAGTTCGAGACCATCCTGGCCAAGATGGTGAAACCCCGTCTCTACTAACAATACAAAAATTAGCCAGGCATGGTGGCAGGTGCCTATGATCCCAGCTACTCAGGAGGGTGAGGCAGGAGAATCGCTTGAATCCAGGAGACAAAGTTTGCAGTGAGCTGAGTTCGCGCCACTGCACTCCTGCCTGGGTGACAGAGCGAGACTCTGCCTCAGGAAAAAAAAAAATGCCTCTTAATGGTCCTACCTCCCAATACTGTCACAGTGGCAATTAAATGTCATCATGAGCTTTGTGGGGGATAGACAAATGTTTAGATAATAGCACTTGGTAATAGAGAGATGTTTATGGGCTGCCTGGAGATGATGTAGCTGGAAAGCTTTTTTTTTTTTTCTTTTCTTACCATCAACTGGGGAAACTGCCACATTCTTCCTCTTCCCACCTGATGGCCCTGCTCTTGTGCTTTACTGAAACAAAAAACAAACAAATAAAAAGCAATGATTCACGTCATTATTGTAGTTTTTCCTTTTCTTGTCTTTTATTTTAAAACAGCAAGAATAAACTTCTCTTTCTTTTACATGCTAAAAAGGGAACCCCTAGGCTAGGTGCGGTGGCTCATGCCTGTAATCCCAGCACTTTGGGAGGCCAAGACAGGAGGCTCTCTTGATGCCAGGAGTTGAAAAAAGAGAACTCCTTGAGGTCACTTACTCAAATTTTAACAACCCATAATATTCAAAGTACCTGAAAGTAAAGCAAGACCGTGTGTTCATTCTTGCATTTCTTTATCCAGTCACTCAGACATTGTTAGTTTTTCTTAGTTTTCCTCTCAGGGTTCTCAAATATTAAAATTCAGCCAAATTTGAATTTATGGTTTAAAAGAATCATAACCAAAACCAAGTGGGCTTTTCCCTAGGGATACAAAATTGGTTCAGTATCTGAAAATCAATTACTATAATACACCATATTAATAGAATAAAATATTTAAAAACCACATGATTATCTTAATAAAAATAGAAAAAGTATTTGATAAAATCCACACCCCTTCGTGATAAAAGCACTGAGCAAACTAGGAATGAAATTAGTCCCTTCATGAAAGTGGAACCTCTTAAATGCCTTTTAATGGTCACAATAACAATTAAACGTCAACATGAGCTTTGAGGGGAAGGGACCAACGTTCAAATGATAGCACTTGATAATAGAGAGAGAGAGACGTTTATGGGCTGCTCAGCCTGATAAATGATATCTATGAAATACCCACAGCCAACATCATACTTAAATGTGAAAGACTAGGCCGGGTGTGGTGGTGTTCACCTGTAATTCCAGCACTTTGGGAGGCCGAGGTGGGCAGATCATGAGGTCAGGAGTTTGAGGCCAGCCTGGCCAGCATGGTGAAACCCCATCTCTACTAAAAATACAAATATTAGCCGGCCATGGTGGTGCACGCCTATAGTCCCAGCTACTGAGGAGGCTGAGGCAAGAGAATCACTTGAACCTGGGAGGCAGAGGTTACAGTGAGCTGAGATTGCACCACTGCACTCCAGCCTGGATGACAGAGTGAGACTCCATCTCCAAAAAAAAAAAAAAAAAGTAAAAGACTATATGCTTTCCTTTAAGATTAGGAACAAGACAAGATTGTGCACCCTCACCACTTCTGTTCAACTAGGGTCAACTGTAAGTTCCATTGTACTGGAGGTTCTAGACAGGGCAATTAGGCAAGAAAAAGAAATAAAAGGTATTCACCAGGCGCAGTGGCTCATACCTGTGATCCAGCACTTTGGGAGGCCAAAGCGCGTGGATCACCTGAGGTCAGGAGTTTGAGACCAGCCTGGGCAACATGGTGAAACCCCCGTCTGTACTAAAAATACAAAAATTAGCTGGGCATGGTGGTAGGCACCTGTAATCCCAGCTACTTGGAAGCTGAGGCAGGAGAATTGCTTGAACCCGGGAGGAGGAGGTTGCAGTGAGCCAAGGTTGTGCCATTGCACTCCAGCCTGGGCAACACAGCAAGACTCTGTTTAAAAAAAAAAAGAAAAGAAAAGGTATTTAGATTGTAAAGGAAGAAGTAAAACTCTATTTGCAAATGACATAATCTTGGATATAGAAAATTCTAAGAAATTCACACATACACACATAAAGAAAAAGACTGTTGGAGCTAATAAGTGAGTCTGGTAAGGCTGCAAGATACTAAGTCACTATACAAAATTTAATTGTATTCCTATATATTAGCAATTAAAATCCAAAAAAAAAGAAATTAAGAAAGCAATTCCCTTTGTATAGTATCAAAAAAGAATAAAATACTTAAGAATGAACGTAACAACATAAGTGTAACACTTATACTCTGAAAACTAGAAAGCACTGAAAAAAATTAAAGAAGATCTCAAGAAATGGAAAGACATCTCCTGTTCGTGGATCAGAAGACTTAATATTGTTAAGATGGCAGTACTCCCCAAATTGATCTATAGATTCAATATAATCCCTATCACAAGTCTAACTACCATTTTTTTTTTTGCAGAAATTAACAAGCAAGCTAATCTTAGAACTCATATGGATAGTCAAGGGACGTGGACTATAACATTCTTTAAAAAGAATGTAGTTGGAGGACTCGCACTCCTCAATTTCAAAACTTAGTACAAAGCTACAGTAATCAAGACAGTATGGTCCTGGCATGATGGTAGACATACAGCAGTCAATGGTATGGAATCGAGAGTGCAGAAACAAATTCATGCATTTTGTCTTAGTCCATTTAGTGCTGCTCTAACAGAATACCTGAGATTGGGTAATTTATAAAGAACAGAGATTTATTTCTTACAGTTCTGAAAGCCGGAAGTCCAAGGTCAAGGAGTCCAATCTAGTGAGAGCCCTCTTGCTGCATCATCCATGCAGAAGAATACGAGGGTATGCACACGCCTGGGTGGGGAGTGGTGGAAGGGGCTGAGCTTAGCTTTTTATCAGGAACCTGCCGCAATGCCGCAACAATAACAAAACCAGTCCTGAGATTGCAGCATGAATCCATTCCTGAGGGGCAGAGTCCTCATGATCTTATCACCTTTTTAAAGGTCCCACCTCTCAACACTGTTGCATTGGGAATTAAGCTACCAACACATGAACTTTGGGGCACACATCCAAACGATAACACATTAACAGTCAATTAATTGCCTTATCACAAGGATGCCAAGACAATTCAACTGGGAGAAAGAATAGTCTTTTCAATAGATGGTACTGGAACAACTGGATAGCCACATGCAGAGAATCACACGGAAGCCCTACCTCATTCCATAAACAAAACATTAATGCCAAATCCATCAAAGGCCTAAATATAAGAGCTAAAACTATACAACTCTTAGAGGAAAGTGTAGGTGTAACTCTTCAATACCTTGAAATTAGGCAGTGACTTCTTAGATATGACACCTAAAGCACAAGCAACAAAGAAAAAATAGATAAACTGAACTTCATCAAAATTTAAAACTTTATGCTTCAAAGAACACTATCAAGAAGTGAAAACATAACCAACAGAATGGGGAAAAGGATTTGTAAATCAAATACTGGTAAGGGTCTAGTATCCAGAATATATAAATAACTCTTACAATGCAACAATAAAAAGATGACCCAATTTTTTAAAATAGGAAAGTAAATGTAATTTTCAACACAGAAAAAGAAGCATATTTCTGCAAAATCCACCCTCCCTTCCCTCTCCACCAGTGGTCTTTCCTATTAGAATTTCCTCTGCCTAAAATTTTAAAAAGCAAGGCACTAAGTCATTTGGTAAATTTGCCCTGGTAACTACTTATTCTGAAAAACAATGATTGATCCTTAATGTAAAGCCCCAGAAGTCTCAGTTCTGCATCAGGCTGGTAGTTCTGTACCTTACCTTGCCATACTTCAGGTCACCTTAGCTTACCTCCCTCTCTCTCATGGATATTAGAAACACTGCTTTTCCTTTGTGTGAGAATAAATAACTATTAATATAAAAATTTTCTATGATATAGAAAATGGGAACACTATTTGGTGTTAATCATTAAACGGTCTTGATAGAATCAACCTGCTATTTAGTTTCAGAAAAATTGAGACTTTGGAGGGGAAATGACTGTTAAAATATTGTCTTTGTCTTCTGAGAATATTTTGTCTTGTTTTCTGCTGTGTCCAGTGCCTGGAACAATGCATATTTGTGGAGCAAATGAGTGAATGAACAAACTTCTTTTCTTTCTTTTTTCTTTTCTTTTCTTTTCTTTTCTTTTCTTTTTTTTTTTGAAACAGTCTTGCTCTGTCACCAGGCTGGAGTGCAGTGGCACAATCTCGGCTCACTGCAACCTTTGCCTCCTGGGTTCAAATGATACTTCTACCTCAGTCTCCCGAGTAGCTGGGACTACAGGCACGTGCCATTATGCCCAGCTAATTTTTTTTTTGTATTTTTAGTAGAGATGGGGTTTCACCATGTTGGCCAGGATGGTCTCGATCTCTTGACCTCGTGATCTGCCCACCTCAGCCTCCCAAAGTGCTGGGATTACAGGCGTGAGCCACGGCGCCTGGCCCAAACTTCTTTTCTTAAATAGGAAAATGAATGGACCGATCTTATTCTTATGACAGCCTTGCTGCATAGAAAGAAAGGACTGGAGAGTCCAGCAGGGTGTGTGTGTTTCAGTCTTGGCTCTCCCCTTGGTGATGCAGGTGCACTGGAGAGGGACTTCCCAAGTCTCTCCTCATCCATCAGGGTGGTGGTTGTAGGGCTAAATGAGACTATATATATATATATATGTGTGTGTGTGTGTGTATATATATGTATATATGTGTATGTGTATATATATAGGTATATATGTGTATGTGTATATATATGTATATATGTGTATGTGTATATATATGTATATATGTGTATGTGTATATATATGTATATATGTGTATGTGTATATATATACATATATGTATATATATGTGTGTATGTATGTATGTATACACATACATATATATGTATATATGTGTGTGTGAGTACATATACACACACACACACACACACACACACACATATATATATATATATTTTTTTTTTTTTTGAGATGGAGTTTCGCTCTTGTAGCCCAGGCTGGAGTGGAGTGGCGTGATCTTGGCTCACTGCAACCTCTGCCTCCTGGGTTCAAGTGATTCCCCTGCCTCAGCCTCCTGAGTAGCTGAGATTACAGGTGCCTGCCACCATGCCCAGCTAAATTTTTGTATTTTTAGTAGAGACAGGTTTCACCATGTTTGTCAGGCTGGTCTCGAACTCCTGACCTCAGGTGATCCACCCTCCTTCGCCTCCCAAAGTAGTGGGATTACAGGCGTGAGCCACCACGCCCGCCCGAGACCATAGTTATTGAAATGCCTCAAATGTATTAGATAATTTAAATGGCAGCTACTAATCATGATTAATTGTGATAATATTGTTGATTTTTTAAAATGTGAGTTTTCTTATTGTTTACTATCTTTCAACTTATGTTAGGAAATAACTGATTTATAAACACAGATTTCCTCTGGTCGCTTGGCCCTATCACAGTCAGAAATCAGTCTGGAATGCATTTCTTGTTTCTAATTACAAATTAGGTGGACAATTGAGCATGACTTGGGTATTTTTTCATTGAATCTGGACAGTGGTTTTGTCATGTGTTTCCTTTTTCCAGAATTCTCTGGATGAGGGTTAAGGAGAGCAGGGCCTGGGCACCTGGAACACTGTGAGTGGGAATACAGAGTGGCAGAGCCTCTTTGGAGGGCAGTTTCACAATAAATATGAAGTTTAAAATGCTTGCATCTTTTTGAGCTGGTAACTCTGTGTTTAGGAATCTATCCTATAGAAATACACATGTATAGAGACGTTCACGGTGGTGCTGTTTGCGTGGGAAAACTGGCAACTAGGATGTAACTGGGGGCAGATAAACTCATACACCGGGAGACCGTGCAGTCACTCAAGAAAGTGGGGTAGCTCTATAGACGTCAGCACATACTTTAAACACTGGACCCAGGCTGGGCACAGTGGCACATGCCTGTAATCCTAGCACTTTTGTAGGCCAAGGTGGGCAGATCAGTTGAGCTCAGGAGTTCAAGACCAGCCTGGGCAACGTGGTGAAACACTGTCTCTACAAACAATACAAAGATCAGCTAGGTGCAGCTGGGCACAGTGGCTAACACCTGGAATCCCAGCATTTTGGAAGGCTGAAGACTTCCAAAGGATCTCTTGAGGTCAGGAGTTCGAAATTAGCCAGGCGTGGTGGCGGGCACCTGTAATCCCAGCTGCTTGGGCGGCTGAGGCAGGAGAATCGCTTGAACCTGGGCGGCGGGACTTGCAGTGACCCAAGATCATGCACTGCACTCCAGCCTGGACCACAGAACAAGACTCCATCTCAAAAAAACTAGCCAGGTGTGGTGGCATGCGCCCATAGTCCCTGCTACTTGGGAGGTGGAGGTAGGAGGATTGCATGAGCCCAGGAGGTGGAGGCTGCAATGAGCCGAGATTTTCTGTCTCCAAAAAAACCACAAAACTGAACATATATTTTTCCCATTTGCATGAGGAAAAAGAAACTATCTGAAGAGGTGTGTGTGTTTGATTTTTAATTTTAATTGTGATAAAAAAACACGTAACATGAAGGTTACCAACGTCAGCATTTGTAAGTGTGCACTTCAGTAGTGTTAAATATATTCACCCTGTTCTGCAGCCCATCTCCAGAACCGACCTTTTCATCTCACAGAACTGAAATTCTGCGTCCATTCAACAATTCCCAGTTCTCTCCAAGCGCCTGGCAACCACCATTCTACTTTATGTCTCTATGAATTTGACTACTCTAGGGACCATATATAAGTGGAATCATACAGGATTTGTCACTTTGTGACTGGCTTCTTTATTTATTTTTGAGATGGAGTTTCGCTCTGTCGTCCAGGCTGGAGGGCAGTGGCACAATCTCAGCTCACTGCAACCTCCGCCTCTCAGCTTCAAGCAATTCTCGTGCCTCAGCCTCCTGAGTAGCTAGGATTACAGGTGCCTGCCACCACGCCTGGCTAATTTTTGTATTTTTTAGTAAAGACAGGGTTTCACCATGTTGGCCAGGCTGGTCTTGAACTCCTGACCTCAACTGATCCACATAACTCTGCCTCCCAAAGTGCTGGGATTACAGGGGTGAGTCACCATGCCGGCCGTGACTGGCTTATTTCATTTAACATAATGTCCAAAAGGTTTATCCAAGTTGTAGCGTATTTCAGAATTTCCTTTTTTTAAAAGGCTGAATAATATTCCACTGTGTATATATACTGCATTTTATTTATCCATTCATCCACAGACACCTGGGTTGTTTTTTGCTATGGTGAATTATGCTGCAATGAACATGGGTGTGCAGATACCTGTTTGAGACCCTGCTTTCCATTCTGTGTGTGTGTTTTTTTGTTTGGTTTGGTTTGGTTTGGAGACGGAGTTTCACTCTTGTTGCCCAGGCTGGAGTGCAGTGGCGTGATCTCAGCTCACTGCAACCTCCGCCTCCCAGGTTCAAGTGATTCTCCTGCCTCAGCCTCCCAAGTAGCTACCTACCACGCCTGGCTAATAGTTTTGTATTTTTAGTAGAGACGGAGTTTCACCATGTTGGCTGGTCTCAAACTCCTGACTTCAGGTGATCCACCCACCTCGGCCTCCCAAAGTGCTGGGATTACAGGCGTGTGCCGTTGCATCTGGCCCTGTGTGTGTTTTGATATGCATCGGAGAAGATCTGAAAAGGCAGACAACAGCAGAACTCTGGAGAGTGGGACGGGGTGGAGGGTCCAGGTGGCACTTTGACTTTCATTTTATACACTTTGTGTTTCATTTTTTTACAATAAGCATTAGGTTCTGTTCACTAGTAAGTTATGAAATCACTAATGGTTATGTATTTGGTTTGTACTGTATTAAGTTGGCAGCCCCTTTACCAGAAATACCTCCAGATGTTGTGACAGAATGTAGATTGGGACTGAAGGAGGAGAACCCTTCCAAAAAAGCCTTTGAGGAATGTACTAGGTAAGTGGTTCATGCTGAGCCCTGCATATATTATCTATGACTAACCCCAAAACAGACAGCTTTCAGGAGGTTTCTCTGCATAAGACAAGTTCCTAGAGTGTAGTTGACCCTTGAACAACATGGGCATTAGGGACGCTGACACCACCCAACCTTCTGCGCAGTTGAAAATCTGTGTGTAACTTTTGACTCCCCCAAAAGCTTAACTACCATTAGCCTACTGTTGACCAGAAGCCTTACTGATAACATAAACAGCAGATGAACACATATTTTGTATATGTATTATATGCTATACTCTTACAATAAAGTATGCTAGAAAAAATAAAGTGTTACTAAGAAAATCATAAGGAAGAGAAAATATAATTCCTATTCATAAAGTGGAAATGGATCATCATAAAGGTCTTCATCCTCGTCATCTGCACGTTGAGGAGGCTGAGGAGAAGGAGGAAGAGGAGGAGCTGGTCTTGCTGTCTCAGGGGTGGCAGAGGCGGAAGAAAATACATACATAAGTGGCTCCTGGCGTCTCAACCCGCATTGTTCAAGGGTCAACTGTACTTTACACATTAAAATGATTACTTCCTCTAGAAAGAGGTGAATGAAGAGTAATAATTCCATGTACACACGAGGCACACTGAAGGGGGTCCCATCGTTTAGCACCAGTATCCTAGCATCCCTGTGGTGACTCCAGGCCCTCTCTGCTCTGCTTGTGTCTAGGACAAAAAGATTTTTTTCAGACCTAGGTACTCACCAAAAACATCTTTTTTCAGGGCATTTCCAAGGAGAATTCCGAGGTAAAGCACTTTGGCTAAATTCAGTTTCTTTACATATGCGGGATGAAAGAACAGTTTCTGAGGTGATCAGGCCCAAAATCTGCAGTGCCTTGTGTATGCATGCAGACAGTCACTCATGTCACAGCGGAGGAAACGGAGGCCCAGGGAGCCATGAGAAAGTTTATTCTTTGCTCTGAGAGCAAGCAGATGACATATGCATTGTGTTTAAAAAGATCGCTCTGGGTGCAACTTAGAGGTTAAAGAGAGGGAAGATGGGGTCCAGGAGATGAGCCGGCGAGGCCGTTGCAGCTCACATGTGGCAGGGAGTGGCGCACCTGAGCCAGTGCAGTCCGAGCATAGTGGGGCTGGGGCTGGACCCTGATGCTTTAATGATGCGGCTGCCTCTAAAATAACACACAGGCCGGGCGCGGTGGCTCACGCCGGTAATCCCAGCACTTTGGGAGGCCGAGGCGGGCAGATCGCTTGAGGCCAGGAGTTCAAGACCAGCCTGGCCCACATAGAGAAACCCCATCTCTCCAAAAAAATGCAAAAATTAGCCAGGCCTGGGGGTGTGCGCCTGTAATCCCAGCTACTCAGGAGGCTGAGGCATGAGAATCACTTGAACCTGGGAGGTGGAGGCTGCAATGAGCCTCCCCTGTACTCCACTGTACTCCAGCCTGGGCAACACAGCGAGACTCTGTCTCATAAATAAATAAATAAATAAAAATAAAAAACAAGGCTTTCTCTCTCTATCTGGCTTTCTCTTGAGGTGTGGCTTCTCTGCACACTGAGGAGCTGGGTGGTTTAGATGCTTATTCCTTTAGTGAGAATTCAGCGGCCAGTTCCACACCCCACAGATAAATGGCATGCATCCCATCTTTCTCCTAACCAGGTGTATGGCACCGGACTAGAACCCTTCCCTCTGTCCCTCAGCCCCCTCCTCTGAAAATGGATTAGAGTAAATGGATTAGAGTAAATGTAGACTAAAGATTTTCAGGCCAGGCATGGTGGCTCACGCCTGTAATCCCAACACTTTGGGAGGCCGACGTGGGTGGATCACCTGAGGTCAGGAGTTCGAGACCAACCTGACCAACATGGAGAAACCCTGTCTCTACTAAACATACAAAATTAGCCAGGCATGGTGGCACATGCCTGTAATCCCAGCTACTCAGGAAGGCTGAGGCGGGAGAATCGCCTGAACCCAGGAGGTGGAGGTTGTGGTGAGCCAAGATCACGCCATTGCACTCCAGCCTGGTCAACAAGAGCAAAACTCCGCCTCAAAAAAAAAAAAAAAGAGATTTTCAATTTCAAGTCATCTTACTTATTCTTGTTGGATATTCACATTAATGGTATTCTAGTGTTTGTGATTTGAACTGCTTTCCAAAAAGATGTCTCTGGCTGGGTGCCATGGCTCATGCCTATAATCCTAGCACTTTGGGAGGCCAAGGCAGAAGGATTGCGTGACCTCAGGAGTTCGAGACCAGCCTGGACAACATGGTGAAACCCTGTCTGTAATACAAAAATTAGCCAGGCATAGTGGTACATGCCTGTAGTCCCAGCTATTCAGAAGGCTGAGGTGGGAGGATCAATTGAGCCTGGGAGGTCAAGGCTGCAGTGACTGTGACCTCACCACTACCCTCCAGCCTGGGTGACAGAGCCAGACCAAAAAAAAAGAAAAGAGATGTTGGCTCCATGGCTCCATTTGATTGCTTCTCTGGTATGGCAGACAGGACAGGCTTGGTCTTTGCTCTCTGATACTGGTCCTGGGATATTGTGATAAGAATCAGATTTCTTCCTGTCTTCATCTGGGATGCCACAGAGGCCAGGAAGGGCCAATCTTTCAGTCCACGCTTTTGTCCTTCACATCCCTCTCCTGGGCATGTACACACCCTAAACTCTTTCTTGTACATGTGCACTAAGTGACATGTAATAGTAATAACACAACAATTATAAGGCTAGGCTTGGTGGCTTACACCTGTAGTCCCAGTGCTTTGGGAGGCTGAGATGGGAGGATTGCTTGAGGCCAGGAGTTCAAGGCTGCATTGAGCCATGATTGTGCCATTGCACTCCAGCCTGGGCAATAGAGTGAGGCCCTGTCTCTAAACAACAACAACAAATAACAAAACAATAATAAATACTTGGAAGTATTAATGCACTTACCCGCTCACAGTAACTGTATGAAATAGGCATGATTATTATCTCTGTTTTACAGAAGGAGAAACTGAGGCTATAGAGGTTGGGTAAGTTGGCTCAGGTCCCTCAGCCAGTGAGTGGCTGAAGCCGGACTTGCAGTGGCCCATGGCTTTGACCTCTATGCTGTCCTCCAGAGGACCCTTCCACTGTGTCTTGCACATGGGAAGCATGCTGCTTGATAACAGAACAGCTGACACCCTCACTCCCAAGAAGGGAATGCATCCTTCTATTTCACTGCTTTTTTCATTCATTCTATTTCACTTCTGTTTTCACTTATAGCGTTAGAACCTAACGTGGACTTCTGTAATTGCAAATTCAAAATATTGAATTGTGTGTAATGATTGGCTTTCCCATATTCAGTGCCTATTAATGCACTAAAACACACTTGTTTTTATTTCTTAATACAACAAATGTATATAATTTTAAAAAATCTTTTTCTAGAGTTGCCCATAACTACCTAAGAGGGGAACCATTTGAAGAATACCAAGAAAGCTCATATTTTTCTCAGTTTTTACAATGGAAATGGCTGGAAAGGTATGTACTGATTTTAAACTTGATAAAAGCCAATTGAGGTGGCACATGCCTGTAGTCCCAGCTACTCAGGAGGCTGAGGCTGAAGGATTGCTTAAGCCCAAGACTTCAAGGCTATAGTACGGGATGATCAAGCCTGTGAATAGCCACTGCACTCCAACCTGGGCAATGTAGCAAGACCCCATCTCTAATACAACAGAAAAAAAGAAAAGAGACCTCAATAAAAGAAGTGTTAACTTCTCACAATGCATACTGATTGACGTAGACTTTTCCATCTGTCAAAATACAATTAGAAATTTTGAGTTGTATATGATATTTTTATACAGAAATTTTCATAGGTATTAGTGTTATACCATTTCTTCTAATTTAATAGACTCTGTTCTCTCTTTTTAAAATGGCAGGTATCCCTGTTGGTTCAGTGGCTAGAAAATAAAACTTAGCTTAGATTTTTAGTGCTAGAATAGGATGCAATGGGTGGGACCTGGCAGTTAAACCCTGCTCAGCCTCTTACTGTTTATGTGGCCTCAGGTAAGTGGCTTAGCTTGTATGAGTGGCAGGTCCTTGTTCTATAAATTACAGGTAATTATAGAATCTGCCTCCTTGGACCATTGCTAGGATCACCTGGGAAATGTGTGTACAACGCTTATAGCACAATGTTTGGTGCACAAAATAAGTGCTTAAAAAGTGTTAGCTGTGGGCCGGGCGCAGTGGCTCATGCCGGTAATCCAGCACTTTGGGAGGCCGAGGCGGGTGGATCACCTGAGGTCAGCAGTTCAAGACCAGCCTGGCCAAAATGGTGAAACCCGTCTCTACTAGAACTACAAAACTTAGCCAGGCACGGTGGCATGCACCTGTACTCCCAGCTACTTGGGAGGCTGAGGCAGGAGAAATCGCCTGAACCCAGGAGGTGGAGGTTGCAGTGAGCTGAGGTGGCTCCACTGCACTCCAGCCTGGGCAACACAGCAAGACTCTGTCTCAAAAAAAAAAAAAAAAGTGTTAGCTGCTACTAGTGTTATTATTAGTACTATTATTATTGATTGATTAAATTTCCAGTTCTTGCTTATACATGCTGTTTTTGAGGCGCTGGGTATAAACATCTTTGAGGTTCTTTTTTCAAAGGATGGCACAACGTATATACGTCATCTTCTTCACCTGCTTTCTGACAGGTTGAGAGGGATCTACCCAAGAGTATACCAGGAGTTATGAACATACATATTTCCTAGTGTTGGCTGGTTTCAGACCTATCTTTAGTTAGTGAGGATAATTAGACTGTTCTGCCTTTTGCTTCAGTGTCTTAAATATTAATTAAGATTAATTGGCCGGGTGGTGGCTCACGCCTATAATCCCAGCACTTTGGGAGGCTGAGGCGGGTGAATCATGAGGTCAGGAGTTCGAGACCAGCCTGGTAAACATGGTGAAAACCCGTCTCTACTAAAAATACAAAAAATTAGCTGGGTATAGTGGCAGGCGCCTGTAATCCCAGCTACTCGGGAGGCTGAGGCAGGAAAATTGCCTCAATCCAGGAGGCGGAGGTTGCAGTGAGCCTAGATCGTGCCACTGCACTCCAGCCCTGGCGACAGAGTGAGACTCCATCTCAAAAAAAAAAAAAAAAAAAAAGATGAATTAATTGCTCTTAGAGCAAGTCAAGAGCTATCCTGCTAGAGGGAGCCACAGTCCCTGAGCACAGACACCCTTTGTCCCGGGCATCCCCTTTGAGCAGAATGGTTCAATAAATGAGGCGAAGACAAGCGCTGAGTAAACTTTTCTTTTTTAAAAGAACAATGCAATGTGAGACCTGAAACTTGTTTTTCTCATTGATTAGGCAACCCGTAACAAAGAACACATTTAGACATTACAGAGTTCTAGGAAAAGGCGGATTTGGAGAGGTGAGTAACGGGAGCCAGTTCATAGCAGCGCTGCTAGCTGGGTGGGGAGCAAGGTCCTGAGAACATGGCTTCAGGTAATGCATCAGCTCTCCCAGTACACTGTTGCCTTAGTGGGTGTTTTGGGAATAATCTTTGCCAACTGTGAGAATCCACATGGAATTTTGAGCAAAAGGTTTTTAAGAATCCCTTCTCTTGGTGACTTCACCTTTTACCTCATAGTTCTGAAGAAGCTGGTTTCCATGCTTGATGCCCCAGCTCAGTCACTTTGCCCAGATGGAAAGACGATTCTGTTTCCGCATTGTGGAATTTCCATGATTCTATTTCCATACATTTAAGACTGGTCCCAAATTCACATAGTACAGAGTGAATTAGTAAATATACTTACGTAACCCTACTCTGTTTGGACACGTATGTACCTCATACCTACATCAAAAGGTGTTTGGAAATGTGTCAATTTGGGAAAATCCTAAGGAAATGACTCACAGACTCACGAGGGGTGTTTTTTTTGTTTTGTTTTGTTTTGTTTTGTTTTGAGATGGAGTTTCGCTCTTGTTGCCTAGACTGGAGTGCAATGGCGTGATCTCAGCTCACCACAACCTCCGCCTCCTGAGTTCAAGCGATTCTCCTGCCTCAGCCTCCCGAGTAGCTGGTATTACAGGCATGCGCCACCACACCTAGCTAATTTTCGTATTTTTAGTAGAGAGGGGGTTTCTCCATGTTGGTCAGGGTGGTCTTGAACTCCCGACCTCGGGTGATCCGCCCTCCTCAGCCTCCCAAAGTGCTGGGATTACAGGCGTGAGCCACCGTGCCTGGCCCGGGGTGTTGTTTAAATATGATGGGTCTCCTAGATGGAGACCACTGTAGTTGGTGGATGGAGAACAGCAGCAGTTCTGGTCTGGGGATTTAAAGAGATATTAATTACCTTACTAGTTACCTGGAGTGATCATATGGAGTTCAAGAACTTTTAAGTCCCTAAGAGCCAGGCAAGCCATTGGCAAACTAATACTGTATGTTTAACTCAGGAGCAGGTTACACTGCCCGGGTGTGACTCAGATATTACTGCTCCCATATTACAATTCAAAGGAAAAGCCACTAGCATTGCCTTGAAGTTAATTAGAAAGCTGACCTAGGAGGCAGCACACTGCACCTATATCTGTTATGCACCTGCAGCTTGACATGACAAGAAATTGGCCAACGTAGTTGTTACTTCAGGAGAAGTAACAGTACTGTCCCTCTGGTACAGTTCCAGAGACCATGAAGAATATTTTGCCTAATCCAATCGTATGCTTGCTCTAATCCCTCCATGATAGATATTTCTGTAAGAAATCCACCCTCTGTTTGAATATGTCCTAGAACAGGAAAGTCATTTTCTTACTTGGACTCTTGCTAATCTGCCTTTAATGATCTGCAAATGTAATGACTCAGATTTTGTGAAAGAACAGAGGAAAAATTTCTGGAACATGGGTCATGTGTTTACAAAGGAATGAAAGTCTAATTATAGCCACATGTAAGTTTTTAAAACATGTCAGTCTTAATAGGATATAATAGGGACATGTTAGCAAATTTTAGCTATTGTGAAAGACCTGGTGCTGGGCGCGGTGGCTCACGCCTGTAATCCTAGCACTTCGGGAGGCCAAGGTAGGCAGATCGCTTGAGCCCAGAAGTTCCAGATCAGCCTAGGCAACATGGCAAGACCCCATCTCTATTTAAATATTTAATATAAATAAATACATTAAAAAAGAAGATAAGAAAGACTCAGTATAATTATGATTGTATAGATTACTTTTTAACAGATTTACTTGGGTTCCCAAACAAATGATTGGCTGCACGAATAAAGCATGGCAGTTTCCCACAGACTTGCTCTGGAGGTGTTGTACTCTCAGTCAAGGCCCAGAGGCAGTGAGCAGTCAGCTCACCCCTACTCTGAATGCCTGTCAGAAGGAGCCCTGCTTGCCCTCATGCGGGGACAGCCTCGGTGCCCTTTAATCCAGATTCTAATCGTGCATTTGCTTTTTCCAAGTGCTAGCACTTCCTCCAGTGGGCTTGAGAGAGCAAACCTAGTTGGTTTTATTTTGTCAACAGTAATTCTTTCGCTTATGCTTGAAGTCCTCCGAAATGAATTTGTAGGGTCCTGAGTGAGCACAATGGTAAAGGAATTGAGTAGACATCTCTGCTGTCATGGTTTTAGGCCACAGACTGTAGTGGAAAGAGCACGTACTTCAGACGTGGGCAGACCCGAGGTCAGGGTCCTGTCGTATCACTTCCAGCAGCGTGATCTTGGGCCCGCCATCGTGATCTCATCTCTAGCAGGGAAATAATCGGCCCTGCCCGCCAGGCTGCTGTGAGCCAGCGAGTGTTCACACCCAGCTCTCAGCACAGTGCCTGGCACTCTTGTCTGCTTTCCATTCCCTTTCTCTGATTTGCCCATTCCACTTAGAATAATTTGTTTTAAATTAACGATAAAGAGATATGAAGAGATTTTTATGCCAAGTCTTAATGGTAAGAAAATGATTAAATACATATTGGGATAGTCACATTTTAGGAAAACATTTCACGATAGGAAAATAGTCACACAATAAGATTTTTTAAAAGGAGGTTAGGAAATATTACCTATTTTACAATACGAGACCAGTTTTGCCATGAAAGGCTGGAGTGGTGGGAACAGGGTATGTATTCTTGCATACCCATGTAAGAAGGTGGGCCCAAAATCAAATAGAGCAAAATATTAACAGTCATTATCTTGGAATTACGGGTGAGTTTTTATCACTGTCCTTATTACTTCCAATATTTTCCACAATTAACTTTGTATTTCTTTTACCACCAAAATTATTTTATTGATAGATAAAATTAAATCATGTCTTATGTTTGCTTTTAAAGCAGTCCCCTGTGGGGTGTGCAGTGGATGGGAGTTGGAAGAAACAGCAGCCTAATGTTGATGACACAGAGGCACGGGGACCAGAACCTGAGGCTCATGATACTATTTTTTCCACTTTTGTATGTTGGAAATTTTTCATGACATAAAGTTAAAATAATACATAAATACTACTTTAAGAAGTAATAGAATAAAGATATGAAAATTGTGAATTCTATGAAATATATTTCCTTATACTCTTGACATTTTAAATTAAAAAATCAAGAATCTTTTTAGGCCAGGCGCGGTGGCTCACACCTGTTAATCCTAGCGCTTTGGAAGGCCAAAGTGGGCAGATCACCTGAGGTCAGGAGTTCAAGACCAGCCTGGCCAAAATGGTGAAATCCCGTCTTTACTAAAAATACAAGAAAAATTAGCCAGGCATGGTGGCGGGCACCTGTAATCCCAGCTACTTGGGAGGCTGAGGCAGGAGAATCTTGAGACGGAGTCTCACTCTGTCGCCCAGGCTGGAGTGCAGTGGCGCGATCTCGGCTTACTACAACCTCTGCCTCCCGGGTTTAAGCGATTCTCCTGCCTCAGCCTCTGGAGTAGCTGGGGCTACAGGCACCCGCCACCATGCCTAGTTAATTTTTTTGTTTTTTTATTTTTCGTAGAGACGGGGTGTCGCCATGTTGGCCAGGTTGGTTTCGAGCTCCTGACCTCAGGTGATCTGCCTGCCTTGGCCTCCCAAAGTGCTGGGATTGTAGGCATGAGCCACCATGCCCAGCTGAAAAAGAATCTTTTCAGTTTTACTTTTTAAAACTTTTGCACTTTTACAAAAAGTAAAATACACATATGGGGACATTTAAAAATTAAACATTTACCGTGATCACCTATGCCAACTAGTTCCATTTGTACACTGTCTTAGAGTTGATAGAGTACAGTGCATCACTGAGGGAGGAGCCGACTCACACTGACGAAGCTCACCTTTGAAACGGTCTCGGCTCCTCATGCACTGCTGCTGGTCTCTGCCAGTGAGGGTCTCATCAAGCAAAGAGCTTCCTTTGTGTGGCCTAAGAAATGCCAGGTGGACATAAACCTCCTTTATTTTGCTGTTTAAACTAGGTTTGCGCCTGTCAAGTGCGAGCCACAGGAAAAATGTATGCCTGCAAAAAGCTACAAAAAAAAAGAATAAAGAAGAGGAAAGGTGAAGCTATGGCTCTAAATGAGAAAAGAATTCTGGAGAAAGTGCAAAGTAGATTCGTAGTAAGTGTCTCCTCTTAGTCTTCACTGTGCATTGTTTGATTCATAGCACTTTTGTCAGCCGACATGCCGCTCAGCTCACGCTCACTGAAGCCGTGGAAGTCATTTCTTGTTTTCTGAGTTTATGTGGGGGTTTGCTCTTTTTAGTAACAGTTTTGTTTTTAGTAACAGCTCTCTTCTTTCTTATTCAAACCTTAGAAAACATAGAAGGAGTGATACTGCTTCTAACTTCTGGTTTGTTATAAATCTGTAGTCCCCCGCCTCCCATTCTGTCACTCTTCACACCTGCCAGCTTGCAGAGGCTCCAGGTCCATTAGTTACCCGTGTTTCTTGGTGAATTGCCCTTTCCTTTCCCTTATCACAGCCAGCCAGAGCTTATCTCTGTTTGCTCTCAGCCTCCAGTCAATTTCTCTGGCCCCTGGGACACTGTGACTTGGCTGTGCTTGAGGATACCTTCTCTCTCTCTCTCTCTTTTTTTTTTTTTTTTTTGACACAGGGTTTCGCTCTGTTGTCCAGGCTGGAGCGCAATGGCACGATCTTGGGTCACTGCAGCCTCAACCTTCCAGGCCCAAGTGATCCTCCTACCTCAGCCTCCCAAGCAGCTGGGACCACAGGCACACACCACCATGCCCAACTAGGTTTTAATTTTTTTATTTTTATTCTTATTTTTTAGAGATGAGATCTCTGGCCAGGCGCGGTGGCTCACACCTGTAATCCCACCACTTAGGGAGGCCAAGGAGGGTGGATCACCTGAGGTCAGGAGTTCGAGACCAGCCTGACCAACATGGTGAAATCCCGTCTCTACTAAAAATACAAAAAGAATTAGGTGGGCCTGGTGGCGCGTGCCTGTAGTCCCAGCTACTTGGGATGCTGGTGCAGGAGAATCACTTGAACCTGGGAGGCGGAGGTTGCAGTGAGCTGAGATTGCACCACCGCACTCCAGCCTGGGCAACAGAGCGAGACTCCGTTTCAAAAAAAAGAGAGAGAGATGAGATCTCCCTATGTTGCTCAGGCTGGTCTTGAACTCCTGGGCTCAAGTGATCCACCTGCCTCAGCTTCCCAAAGTGTTGGGATTACAGGTGTGAGCTACCACGTCTGGCTGAGGATACCTTCTCTAGCCCCCTTCTCATGTGGGCCTCCTCCCTCTGGCCTCAATCTGCTTTCCGTCTTTTCCTTTTTCTGGGAAGTTTACCGCTAGGCCCTCAACTAGCATATCCCAATTGTATGAAGCCCAAATACCACCTTCCCACCTTTCTGGAAAGGACAGAACATTGGGCGGACTGGTATGAGCTCAGGGGAGCAGTTCCAGGCTTTACGGTGTGCATTGTATAGTGTGGTTCTCATCTCCAAACCCAGTTTCTCTCTACCTAATTACATATGTCCTGTAGCAGCTACTGAAGTATGAAGACTGGTTGAAGGGAGAGTGTGAACGAGAATTTATAAAATGATTTGTAGTGTTAGAGCTATTTCCTCCAAGCCATTTATTTCTTAGCCCGGAGGTTAGCTGCTTTGTGCAGGGGGACAAATGTTCCCAGTGTACCTTCACAGCCAGCATCTGAATTTAATAGCACAGTGTGGGGCCGGGCGCGGTGGCTCACGCCTGTAATCCCAGCACTTTGGGAGGCCGAGGCAGGCGTCAGGAGATCGAGACCCTCCTGGCTAACACAGTGAAACCCCATCTCTACTAAAAATACAAAGAATTAGCCAGGCGTGGTGGCAGGCGCCTGTAGTCCCAGCTACTCAGGAGGCTGAGGCAGGAGAATGGCGTGAACCCCGGAGGCGGAGCTTGCAGTGAGCCAAGATCACGCCACTGCACTCCAGCCTGGGCAACAGAGCAAGACTCCATCTCAAAAAAAAAAAAAAAAATAGCACAGTGTGTGTATATGATATGTCACTCTCATGTGCAATTACTTGAAAATCTGTAATAAAATGGGCTTATCTGGGAGTTGCTTTAAACATATTTTTTGGCTGGGCTTGGTGGCTCATGCCTGTCATTTCAGCACTTTGGGAGGCCAAGGTGGGAGGATCACTTGAGCCCAGGAGTTTGAAACCAGCCTGGGCAACATAGGGAGACCCCCATCACCCTATTTTTTTTTTTTTTGATACAGAGTCTCGCACTGTCTCCCGGGCTGGAGTGCAGTGGCGCGATCTTGGCTCACTGCAACATCCGGCTCCCGGGCTCAAGTGATTCTCCTGCCTCAGCCTCCCGAGTAGCTGGTTTTACAGGTGCCCACCACCACACCCAGCTAATTTTTTGTATTATTAGTAGCGACAGGGTTTCACTTTGTTGGCCAGGCTGGTCTCAAACTCCTGACCTTGTGATCTACCCACCTTGGCCTCCCAGAATGCTGGGGATTACAGGTGTGAGCCACCAAGCCTGGCCTCTACAAAAAAAATTTTTTTTAAAAGGCCAGGCACTGTGGCTCACGCCCTGTAATCCCAGCACTTTGGGAGGCCAAGGCCTGCAGATCACCTGAGGTCAGGAGTTCGAGACCAGCCTGGCCAACATGGTGAAACCCTGTCTCTAATAAAATACAAAAATTAGCTGGGTGTGTGGTGGCGAGCACCTGTAATCCAAGCTACTTGGGTGGCTGAGACAGGAGAATTGCTTGAACTCAGAAGACGGAGGTTGCAGTGAGCCCAGATTGCGCCATTGTACTCCAGCCTGTGTACTCCAGCCTGGGTGACAGAGTGAGACTCAATCTCCAAAAAAAAAAAAAAAAAAATTAGCCAGGCATGGTGGTGTGTGACTGTAGTCCCAGCTACTCAGAAGGCTGTGGTGGGAGGATTGCTTGAACCCAGGTGGTCAGGGCTGCAGTGAGCCATTATTGCCCACTGCACTCCAGCCTGGGTGACAGAGTGAGATCCCATCTCAAAAACAAAGCAAAACAAAAAAAAAAATACAAAAAAACAAAACAAAAAAAACCCCCGTGTAACTACCTTGGAACATAGAAATCCACAATCTAGCTTTATGAAAAGAACAGAAACAGTTGTTACAGTTTCTTTTGCTTAAATGCTTTGATTTCTATATCGTTGGCCTCTCCCAAGGAACCTAGAGACATTTTTCTCCTTCCCTATGGTGTTTTCTCCCTGCTTAACCTAGAGACATTTTTCTCCTTCTGTGATGGTGTTTACCCCCTGCTTACAGTGGCATGTTCATCCCTGCTGCGCCCTGACCCATGGCAGTAATGCCTCTCCCTGGAGCCCTCTGCCCCTGCCTGCACCCTCGCCCCTCACAGTCTGTTCTCCACGGAGCAGTGCAAGGCAGTCTGTGGACAAGTTAAATTAGTCATCCACTTTCCTGATTAAAAACTCCAGTGGCCACCTGCCACTCTGAGAATAAAATTAGACTCAGCTCTGGCCTTTCAGGCACTGAGGGACCTGGCTCCTGCAGCCTCTGCCACATCAGGCCTGGGGTCTGACTGCACTCTGCCTGAAGCATCACTGCCTTTCCCTCTTGCCCTTGGTCTCCCTCCCCATAGGCAGTCTGTGAGTCGCCCATCACTCTGTTGGATGGTTTCTTTGCATTGGTTCATCTGTCATCTGTAACTGCCCAGGCCTCCTCCACCACGATATTAGGACAGAGCTCCTCAGGGCCATGCTCACCACTGCATCCCAGCTGCCCACAACAAGGCTGGCGTGATAAAAGATTCTCAATATAATTTTAATATATATTAAGCAGATGTTGAATGAATATTCACAAGAGGAGAGAAAGTAAGGGATCCTTACTAATTCAAGGGCCAGTGAGAATTCCTTGTGGTTTAATTCTGTGGTCTGTTGCATGCCGGCTGGGGCCTCCTCTCCTCCATTCTCAGCACCTCTGTTACTGTTTTAATACATCATGACCAAGTTGGATTTATTCCAGGAATGAAAATCAAATAATGTAATTTATCACGTTACCAGAATAAAGGGAAGAACCATATGGTCATCTCAACAGCTGCAGGAAGAGCTTTTGATAGAAGCTAATGCCCAGTCATGCTTAAAAACTCGAAGCAAACCAGGTACAGAAAGGAACTTCCTTCAGAAAATCTCTAACACAATCATACTTAATATGAAAATATTAAAAGCTTTTCCCCGTGAGATCTGGAATGAGGCTAGATACCTGCTGACCATTTCAATTCAACATGATATTGGAAATTCTGGCCAGTGCAGTAAGGTAAAGGAAAAAGTGAAAGGGATTAAGGTTAGAGAAAAGAAGAAAAAAGGTTAAAAAAAAGCCCTCATCATTTTCTTTTTCTTTTTCTTTTTCTTTTTTTTTTTTTTAGATAGAGATGGGGGTCTCACTATATTGCCCATGCTGGTCTGGAACTCCAGGGATCAAGTGATCCTCCTACCTAGGCCTCCCAAACTGCTGGGATTATAGGTATGAACCACTGTGCCCGGCCACAACTCATTATTTTCGAACAACATCATTGTATGTGGAGACATTCCCAGATTTTTAGATAACCTATTAAGGATTTAACCAAGTGATTAAATGTGAATCAGCCACTAACAATTAGAAAATGGAAATGTTACTGATACCATTTACAATGGCATCAAGAAACATCAAAATCTAAGAAAAGACCCGGTGAGGTGGTGTGCACCTGTAGTCCCAGCTTCTTGGGTGACTGAGATGGGAGGATCAGTTGAGCCCAGGAGTTTGAGTCCAGCCTGGGCAACATAGCAAGACCCTGTCTCTTAAAAAATAACTCTAGGCAAAGAACTGACAAAAATGTGCAAGACTTCTACACTGAGAACTGTAAAATGTTATTATAAGAAATTAAAGAAGGAGGCTGGGCACTGTGGTTCACGCCCGTGATCCCAGCACTTTGGGAGGCCGAGGCAGGTGGATCACTTGAGGTCAGGAGTTTGAGATCAGCCTGGCCAACATGGTGAAACCTCATCTCTACTATAAATACAAAAATTAGCCGGGCGTGGTGACAGGTGCCTATAATCCCAGCTACTCGGGAGGCTGAGGCAGGAGAATCGCTTGAAACCTGGGAGACAGAGGTTGCAGTGAGCCGAGATGGTGCCACTGCACTCCAGCCTGGGCGACAGAGCAAGACTGTGTCTCAAAAAAATAAAGAAAGAAGGTCTAAATAAATAGGGGGAGACCATGTTCCCAGATTGGAAGACCCGATGCTGTAAAGATGCTGGTTTTCCCTAATTGATCTGTAGATTAAATGAATTGAATGCAGCCCCAATCAGAATCCCAGCAGGGTGTGTGTGTATGTGTGTGTGTGTGAACTGACATACAAACCAATAGAAAAATGGGGGGAAAATAGACTAGGCATTTCACAAAAGAGGATCCAAATGGCTATTAATTATATGAAAGGGTCCCCTATCTTTGCATATATAGAGAAATGCAAATTAAGACCGCAGTAAGAGACTACTCCACCAGCATTATTCAAACTAAAAAGATTGACAGCACAAAATGTTGGAAGGATGTGGCACAGTAAGACCTCTCTTGCACTGCTGGTGGGGCATAGCTTATGTGCTGAATGCGGTTGCCCGGGAAGTACAGAATGTCAGGGCTCAAGTGATGAGAGCACAACACAGAGGAGTCATGATCCCAAGTATCTTGGTGAAGTTTCGCCACTTCTTCGCTTAGCTGTAGAAAGTTCTCTCTTTTGGCTACACAGCTGCGGTAAAATCTTCAGCATGCCAAGGTCCAAGAGGCACGTGATATGTCCTGTACATTTCTCTGAAACATATAGTATTCACATGTTCTGATTGTAAACCTAACACAGATTATTTGCATATTATTAGCAAATAGAGGAAATCACCAATGAAAGAGCAAGTTCGTGTTCTGTTTTTATGATGTTGCTGTCTTTAGGTTAGTTTAGCCTACGCTTATGAAACCAAAGATGCCTTGTGCTTGGTGCTCACCATTATGAATGGAGGGGATTTGAAGTTTCACATTTACAACCTGGGCAATCCCGGCTTTGATGAGCAGAGAGCCGTTTTCTATGCTGCAGAGCTGTGTTGCGGCTTGGAAGATTTACAGAGGGAAAGAATTGTATACAGGTAAGAACGGTGCTACCTAATGGAGCCTGCAAGTCTTGGAGCCGGTTTCTCCCAGCCCTAGGCTTCCCTGGTTCACACTGGCTGCTTCCAGGATGGGCAGGAGAATAGCTGGGAGGCCCTCGATGGTGATTCTTAGGGTTGGTCACTTACACTATTGGAAATATGGCCAGTCAGAGGGCCCTGGGTGTTTTTTTGTTTTGTGTTTGAGATGGAGTCTCACTCTGTCACCTAGGCTGGAGTGCAATGGCACAATCTCGGCTCACTGCAGTTCGAGTGATTCTCCTGCCTCAGACTCCCAAGTAGCTGGGACTACAGGCACCCGCCACCATGCCCAGCTAATTTTTTGTATTTTTACTAGAGATGGGGGTCTCACCATGTTGGCCAGGCTGGTCTCGATCTCCTGACCTCAGGTGATCCACGGGCCTCAGCCTCCAAAAGTGCTGGGATTACAGGTGTGAGCCACCGTGCCCAGCCTAAATCTCTAATAAATTGTCTTTTTGAAGCAGAAGTTTGTTTTTTACTGGTTAAGTTGATCAAATAAAGGTGGTGCTACTCATGTAAGCATAAGAAGAGCCCATTTCCAAGGTTCTTAGGTATGTTGATAGTTCTGATAAGGATCTATTATGTCCTGCCATATAACATAACAATTTAATGTCTTGAAATAGTAGTTTCTTTTTTGCATCTTAGAATTTAGTAAAGAAAATTAAATTAAACTTCATAGTTTAGTGTAATCAATGTATTTAGTTTTAGGAAAAAACAATTCCCCCTCCTGTCCCTTAAATGCTGGAGTTCCTGGGCTCTGAGTCTCTTCTCAGTCACTCTCCCTGGGTAATTTCATTTCCTCCCTTCTGTGGGTTCATCTGCCAGTTATAGTCGGTCCCCCATATCCATGGGTTCCATGTTGTAGATTCAAAGAGCTGTGAATCGAAAATATTCAGAAAATCCTGCTCAACAGGATGAAAGGGGGAAAAAAAAGAGAAAATATTCAGAAAAAAAAGGATGCTTGCGTCTGTATTGAACATGTAGACTTTGTTCTTGTCACTATTCCCTAAACAATATAGTACAATTATGATTTACTTATCATTTACATTGTGTCCGGTAGTATGTGTAATCTAGAGGTGATTTAAAGTAATTGGGAGGATGTGTGTAGGTTATATGGAAATTTTGCACCATTTTATATCAGGGACTTGAGGACCCTTGGATTTTGATATCCAAGGGAAAGGGGCCTGCTGTGGGACCTGATGGTGTCTCCCTTGTCACCTTGTAAGCCTGGCCCTCGTGGCCTTTGTGATGCAGCTCCCCACAGAGCCCTCCAGCCTTGGGTCCTGCTGCTCCCACACCCCCTGCCCTCATCATGCGAGGGTTTTAGCTGCTCAGGTGTCCTCACTTCATTGTACCTTTGCACAAGGTGTTCCTGTGTGGGTGCCACTCTCCACCCAGCCCCTCTTCCTGTCATTCTGAGAGACTCCTGCTCATCCGCCCAGAGTTGGCCCACACAGCACGAGGGTGTGAGCATGAGGATGTGCCCCTCCCCCACATCCTCCAACTGCTCCCCGTGTTGTCTGCTCAGATGGTCACGTCAGACGATGAGCTTCTTGGGAGTCCTTGATCTCATTTCTTCCTATTCTGATGGACCTTTGGCTTCTCCTTATCTTATATATCCCACAGCCAATATGGGATAAATATCTCTTAAGGACCAGAGACCAGGCTTGGCAGTGGGGCTGACACCTCCGCACCTTGAGCATTGAGCAAGGGGTGGATTGCTGCCCTGGCTATGAGTCCTCTAGACACAGAGGTGGTCGCCTGAGTTGAGGAAGCCTTGTTGCCATTGCTTAGAGGTAAGAGTCTGGTGGTATTGGACCATGGAACACACCCATAGGAGATTTGATTCTTTTGTTACTCCTGGAGTAAATCACACTTCACAGGTGACTACGGCTGAGCCGCTGTGTTTGGTTTCAGTCTCAAGATGAGCTGGATTTTCTCATGTGAGCTTTGGCTCATCCTCTAACCTCCGGTACCCACTTGCCTCACCCGCCTGCACTCAGTGGGGGCTGCACCATGTCTGCCCCATCCACCGCTGTGTCCACGGGACTCACCATCAGTAGGTATCACTAAGCATTTGTTGAATGAATGACCGATGGTCCCAGTGACATTCCCACCTCAGCCCCCTGAGTAGCTGGGACTACAGGTACACACCACTGCACCCAGCTTGAGGCATTCTAATATGGGGAATTTTCAGTTTTTGAAACACTTAAAAATATGTTAATGGTAAGAGAAATTGTGCCACGTTCATTAAGGACTGTTTGCTTTCCTTCCTACTGGGCTGCATATTTAATCACTGAAATGTCTTCAAATCTGTATAACTATGCAAAGAAGTTCATTTTACACTGTCGTCACATGTGAGTTGTTTGCTGAGATGAATTTTGTAACATTCTTGTCCTGCCTGTTTGCCGTGGCTCATGAAGGGCAGTTTCGTGTTTTGCCGCGCTAGCCCTTGCTCACGCTGGTTGTTCCTACTGGGTACTCAGGAATCACAGTGCCAACTTCTGAATAATTGGGCCTTTTGTTGTTGTTTCTTGTAGAGACTTGAAGCCTGAGAATATTCTCCTTGATGATCGTGGTAAGTGGGCAAGCCTTTCACATCTAATGGGTAGACTTTGTTAGAGGGACTTGGATACAGAAAGTTGGATGCAGAAAGTGGACTTAATGATTAGGAGAGAATGGAAACAATAACAAAAAGAAAAACTCTGTGGTATGTGTTCATTTTAAAAAGATGAAATACTGACAATTTGGTCATTCCCCTGTGTTTAGGCAAGAAGCAGAGATGGTCATAATTTTCAATTAATGATTGAGTTTTAGAAGCCTTTTTTTTTAAGTCAGGGTCTTGCTGTGTCGCCCAGGCTGGAGTGCAGTGGTGTAATCATAGCTCACTGCAGCCTTGAACTACTGGGCTCAAATGACCCTCCCATCTCAGCTTTCTGCATAGCTGGGACTACAGCTGTGCGCCACCATGCTTGGCTAATTTTTAAATTTTTTTTGTAGAGATAGGGGTCATGCTATGTTGCCCAGGCTGTTCTCAAACTACTGCCCTCAAGCAGTCCTCCTGCCTTCCCTCCCAAAGCACTAGGGTTACAGGCATAAGCCACTGTGCCCCACCTAGAAGCACATTAAAGTAAACACAAAGTCAGAACGTTTTCTCCCTCTTGTTTCTTGCTGTTGACCCACCTCTTGCTTTATTCTTTTTTATTTCCATTCCCCTCTAAACTTTGTCATGTTGCCCCTGGTGCTGTCCTCTTGTCACATAGCATGTGTCACAGAGCAGGGTGCAGATGGCTGCTTGGAGACCCTGTAATAGTGGACAGGGAGTGGCCCTTTTCAGCAGGCTCCTTGTCTGCAGCATGGGTGCACACTCCACCTTGGTTCCTCTAAGGGAGAGTCATACCCAGAATGCAAGGATGGTTGCACTGCTGGGGAGGGTGGTTGTGCTCACACATAGCTCACAAGCAGTGCTGGGAGAGAGCTTCTTTCAAGTGAGTTTTCTTGGCAAAGAAGGGTCTTACAGTCTAGTAGAGCACACATGGCAAGGTCAGTGGCTCCTGCCGAGAAGAGGACAGGCGTCTAAGGCGGAGATTGAGGGCAGTCGTGGGGGACTTGGAATGCTAGTCTCCTTTTATGCCTCTGCCAGATGCTTTCATGCTTATCTAATTCATGTATGACACCCTGCCCTGTGAGGAAGGAGGGTACTGGAATTCTCATTTAATGGAAGGCGATACCAAGATTTAGGAATCAGACTTGTCCAAGGTTGTGTCCGTAGCTCCTGACTTAGCCTGTGGTTCATTCCTGGTGCTGTGCTGCTCACCAGAGGTGGCTTTGGGTGGGGAGGGCACTAAGCGAAGCTGCTCACTTACTGAGTTGTTAAAAGGCTTAACAAGGGTAGGTAGAACGTGCTCTGTATGCAAAGTGGAGCAATCTCCAAGCTATGTGGTTGATCGGAACAGGGTACGGTGCAGAGTGTGTGTGTAGTGTGCTCCCTTTTGTGTAAACAAAGCAGGGAATTGTGTGTAGTGTGCTTGCTCATAAACATAAAGAAACATAAAGGGACAATCATGAGAAATGGTTAGAAGTGATAACAAGGCAGGGGAGCACACTGATAACCTTTTTCTGTGTTTTTAGGAGATTTTTCTGTGTAGTTCTCTCTTCTTTAGAACTTTACCCCACATGTTTGAGCTGAGCTGTCTTTCCCCAGTGCTAACTCCTGCCTGGCTAACTTAGCAAGACCCCTGCTCTGCCCAGGTTCCCCTCCTGCGCCACGATCTGAAAGGCACTCCCGGGTGGGATGCCAGGATGGTTGCTGGGCCAGTTCCCTGTCTCTTCTCTTGGGGACCACAGTCCTCTGATGCCGATGACCACAGTTTTCCTTTTTTTAAAGTTCTTTTTAAGGTCAGGGTCTCTCTATGCTACCCAGGCTGGGTGCAGTAGCTACTCACAGGTGCGATTGTGGCACAATTACAACCTGAAACTCCTGGGCCTAAGCGACCCTCCTGCCTCAGCCTCCCACGTAGCTGGAGTTTCAGGCATGCACCACCACATCCAGCAGCGATTAAGGATATTTTAGTTGTTACGGTGCAATTATGCCTCACTGCAGTTTTGACCTCCAGGGCTGTAGCGATCCGCCTTGCCTCAGCCTCCTGAGTAGCTGGGAATACAGGCATGAGCCACCATATCTGGCTAATTTTAAAAAATTGTAGGCCAGGTGTGGGGCTTGTACCTATAATCCTAGTACTTTGGGAGGCTGAGGCAGGTGGATCACTTGAGGTCAAGAGTTCGAGACCAGCCTGGCCAACATGGTGAAACCCTGTCTCTACTAAAAATACAAAAATTAGCCGGGCGTGGCAGTGCACCTCTAATCCCAGCTACTCAGGAGGCCGAGGCAGGAGAATCGCTTGAACCCGGGCGGCAGAGGTTGCAGTGAGCCGAGATTGCACCACTACACTCCAGCCTGGGCGACAGAGTGAGACTCCGTCTCAAAAAACAAACAAACAAACAACAACAACAACAACAAAACCAGTAAAATATTTCTTTGCAGTTCTTTTAGTCATTAGCAAAAGTTCTTTGGTTCTAGGGTTGTTCACTCAAATTAATTTAAAGTCACTCAGAGGCCGGGCACAGTGGCTCTTGCCTGTAATCCCAATATTTTGGGAGGCCAAGGCAGGTGGATCACCTGAAGTCAGGAGTTCAAGACCAGCCTGGCCAACATGGTGAAACCCTGTCTCTACTAAAAATACAAAAATTAGCTGGGTGTGGTAATACATGCCTGTAGTCCCAGCTACTTGAGGGGCTGAGGCAGAAGAATCGCTTGAACCTGGGAGGCGGAGGTTGCAGTGAGCTGAAATCAAGCCATTGCACTCCAGCCTAGGTGACAGAGTGAGACTCTGTCTCAAAAAAAAAAAAAAAAAAAGTCACTCAGTATCATTCCCTTCTGTGCGGTTAAACCACCAGCTGGATACACCATTAGGTTCATTTTCTTAATTTTGCTTTCAATTTTTAGCGATCTAATTTTTTTTTTTTTTTTTTTTGAGACGGAGTCTTGCTCTGTCGCCCAGGCTGGTGTGCAGTGGCGTGATCTCGGCTCACTGTAAGCTCCGCCTCCCAGGTTCATGCCATTCTCCTGCCTCAGCCTCCCAAGCAGCTGGGACTACAGGCGCCCGCCACCACGCCCGGCTAATTTTTTATATTTTTTTTAGTAGAGACGGGGTTTCACCGTGTTAGCCAGGATGGTCTCGATCTCCTGACCTTGTGATCCGCCCGCCTCGGCCTCCCAAAGTGCTGGGATTACAGGCTTGAGCACCGCGCCCGGCCAGCAATCTAATTTTTTAATGTTATAATTATGTAAAACATTTATGTGGTTCCAAAGATAACACCGCAAAATAGAGTGTATCGTAAGATGTCTAGATTCCATCCCTGACCATCCCCAAGTAATTATTTTAACTCATATTTCATTCCTTCATTTACATACTATATATGTATAGATATATTTGTTCCCCACTCATTTCTTAAATAAAGTAGTAGACCACATGTATTGTCCTCCACGTGGCTATTTCACTGAATATACGGTGGAGATGGCTCTGCAACACTCATGGACGGCTTCCGTCCGTCTGCTGTGCCTCCTGCAGGCGAACCTGACCTGTTTGCGCAGCCCTCGCTGGTAAGCGTGTCATCTCCACCGGTGCTGTTTCCGTTGGTGCCGCGATGGAGAGCCTTGGGCACATGTAATTTCCTATTTCGTTGAATGTATCCTTGATAGAGTCCTAGAAGTGGGTGAATTCATACGCAATTTGTCAGATATTGCCAGATTCCGCTCCAGGGTGTTTCCCGTCTGCATTCCCACCAGCAGTGCACGAGAGCACCTGTTTCCCCACAGCCTCGCCAGCAGACCGAGTTCTCGAACTTTGGAGTTTTTGTCAGTTTGTTAGCTGGGAATTGGTATTTCAGTGTAGTTTTAAGTTGCATTTCTCAGTTTAAAAATCCATTTTTATAAGAAAAATAAGACAATGATACGAAAAAAATAAGTCACAACATGTTAGCACTCTACTTAAATGAAAAATACACGAAAGCTGGCCAGGCACGGTGGCTCACGCCTGTAATCCCAGCACTTTGGGAGGCCAGGGTGGGAGGATCGCTTGAGCCCAGGAGTTCAAGACCAGCCTGGGCAACATGACCAAACCCTGTCTCTACAAAAGAAAAGAAAAGAAAATGAAATGTGGATTATTGAAAGAATGCATCTGTACAAGGGGAGGAAACTGAGACATGATAGTACATGGCAGAGCCAGGACTCAGACCCACGCCATCGGGCTGGGTCTGTGCTCCTCACCCCTGTGCTCTCCCGCCTCCCAGGGTGGGCGCGCAGCAAGGGCGGGGTGTGGTGTATCACGTGCATGCATCTGAGTCAGAGGCCGGCTTTCCTCTCTAAAGCATCATGCAGACTGTTTTAAAATGACTACAGTGCCTTGGAGGGCATGTCGCATATTTTTAGTTTTTAGCAAACATTTATTGGTTATTCATTCATTTCACCAATAAATATTTATTGAGCACCTACTGTAGGCCAGGGTATGATATTAGAAGCTGAGGATAAGTGGTGAATAAGTTGAAGATAGTGTCCGCTTCCAGGGCTGGCTAATCTTTCTACACACTCAACAGAATGTTTTCGATAATTTCGTATTTTCTTTATAATTTTTTTGAGACAGATTCTCACTCTTGCCCTGCAGTGGTGTGATCATGGTTCACCGCAGCCTCGACCTTCTGGGCTTAAGCGATCCTCCTGCCTCAGCCTCCAGAGTAGCTGGGACCATAGCCATGTGCCATCACACCCAGCTAATTTTTTTAAAAATCTTTTTTTATAGAGACAGGGTCTTGTCATGTTTCCCAGGCTGGTCTCAAAATGTGGAACTCAAGTAATCCTCCGACCTTGGCCTCCCAAAGTGCTGGAATTACAGGTGTGAACCACCGTGTCTGGCCTAATTTGTTAGTTCCATAGGAATTCAACAAATATTTAAATCCTTCTATATTCAACGCATTAACACATAATATAGTTCCCTAAGTACCTTAATTTTGTTTATTATTTCCCTGACTCTATTACCATTTGTTCTCAAGAGAATAACTCCATATCATTCATGTGTAGCTGTCCCTGTGTATAGTACTGGTACTCTGACAGAAAGTATTTATTTACTGTTCTGTAGTTGATATAATATTCATTATATTTTTATTGATGTACCTGGAAGTTGTATGACATAAAATAATAAATCCAGTGTTTCTGTCTTATCAAGTGGTGGCCTATGATTAAAGGGCTTCCTGATCAATAGCCAGGCAAAAATCGAATTTTCCTGCTGCTAGTGAAAATGCATTGTATGGAATTTTACTAAACATGAAAAAGTTAAATGCCATTTTACGTTTACTGTTCCAGAGTATGAAATGCTATTATTTCCAGCCATGGTTTTTGAGGGGCCTTTTTTCCCATTTTAATTGTTGTTACGGTGTCATTACTTCCCCCGTGACCTGTGTAATAACATATTTGAACACACAGGACACATCCGGATTTCAGACCTCGGTTTGGCCACAGAGATCCCAGAAGGACAGAGGGTTCGAGGAAGAGTTGGAACAGTCGGCTACATGGGTTCGTGAGAGGCTTTCGGCGTCCTTGTCCTTTCTATCCGGGTGCCTGAGTGCCTCAGAACACAGAGAAATCCACCCTGAATGGACCGGGGCCTCGGTTTGGACACACTAGTAGATGGCGCAGTGGTGTTTTGAATCTCTAACCTGTCAGAGTGTTGAGGCTGCTGGGGATCCTGTAGGCTGCCCTCAGCTTCTTACAGATGAGGGGTGAGGCCTGAGAGGTTGTGAGTCCTGAGGTCACTCAGCGAAGTGAGGGCAGAATCGGGATGACACCGCAGGTCTCCTCACTCTACCAGTGTCCTCCCCTGTGCACCACGGCCTCTCGGAGCCTCAGGAAATCACCCCACTCTGGTTATTCCAAAGATCCGGGGGCAGTGCCAGCCAACCCCCAGGGGTGGCCTCTGAGAGCCTCGCAGAGTCCTGCAGGAAGACCCCAAGGTCTTGTGGCTTTCCGCTCTTGCGTCTTGTGGGGTTTTTCACTGCCCTGGGATAGATGGCAAGACGTGACACTTGGGGCGCCCTGGGCATGGCTCTGTGTGTCTGGAGGGAGCCCCTTCAGGAGGTGGAGCCTTCCCTAGACCACCATTTCCCTTGTGAATGTGACTCTGTGGCAATTCAGCTCATCTTGGATGAATCATACAAATGTTTAAAAATATTAGCTTTATTGGGATATAATTCATATATCATCAAGTCCACCAGTTTGAAGTGTGTAATACAACGGATTTTAGTATTTTCACAGAGTCATGCAACCATCACCACCATCTAATTTCACAACTTTTTTTTTTTTTTGAGACAGAGTCTCACTCAGTCGCCCAGGCTAGAATGCAGTGGCACAATCTTGGCTCACTGCAACGTCCACCTCCCAGGCACAAGCGATTCTCCTGCCTCAGCTTCCTGAGTATCTGGAACTACAGGCGCCTGCCGCCATACCTGGCTAATTTTTGTATTTTTAGTAGAGACAGGGTTTCACCATGTTGTCCAGGCTGGTCTCAAACTCCTGATCTCAGGTGATCTGCCTGCCTTCGCCTCCCAAAATGCTGGGATTATAGGTGTGAGCCACCGCTCCCAGCCTTAACATAATGTTTTTAAGGTTCGTCCATGTTGTCACACACGTTGAATGTATACTGTGTTACTGGGAATTATAAGAAAATTTAAAATCAAAATTTAACTTAATTTCCATTTCCTGTATTTGTTATGTAGCACCTGAAGTTGTCAATAATGAAAAGTATACGTTTAGTCCCGATTGGTGGGGACTTGGCTGTCTGATCTATGAAATGATTCAGGGACATTCTCCATTCAAAAAATACAAAGAGAAAGTCAAATGGGAGGAGGTCGATCAAAGAATCAAGAATGATACCGAGGAGTATTCTGAGAAGTTTTCAGAGGATGCCAAATCTATCTGCAGGATGGTAAGTCAGGCTCTGTAGAGGCTGGGAAATGGCACTTCTCACTCATTCTAGTTGTTTTCACTGGCAGCTATAACAAAAAAAATTGGTCTGTCATCTTCAGCAAGTCCTGGTCACCCACCTCCCAGGCCCTGCCCCTGCCCCTGCAGCCCAGTAGGGAGGACACGCGTGTTCAGGAGGCTCGGGTCCACCTGTGTCTTGGCCCAGCAGGGAGGACACGTGTGTTCAGGAGGCTCAGGTCCACCTGTCTCCTGGCCCAGCAGGGAGGACACGCGTGTTCAGGAGGCTCAGGTCCACCTGCCTCCTGGCCCAGCAGGGAGGACACATGTGCTCAGGAGGCTCACGTCAACCTGTCTCTTGGCCCAGCAGGGAGGACACGTTTGCTTAGGAAGCTCACGTCTACCTGCCTCCTTCCCCATGCTCCTGCCACTGGGATTTCATCAGACAAAAAGAGCCAGTGAGAAAAGTTTCCAGACATGATCTGGAAATGACTTAATTGGGTTTTGATTGGAGCAAAACACAGTAAAATTCATGGTTTGATTTCTCAAATAATGCTACTGAAAGGGAAGAGTGGTACCAAGGTTATTAATTCAGTTTTCAGAAAATAGCCAAGCCTTGTTTCATTGACCAATTTTATATGAAGTTAGACATAAAACCAATCTTTCATGTATTTTGAGGTGGGTAAGGGTTTAGCCACCTGCCAGGGATTGTAGTCCC
The DNA here is from genome assembly GCF_000001405.40 of Homo sapiens. Taxonomy (NCBI): domain Eukaryota; kingdom Metazoa; phylum Chordata; class Mammalia; order Primates; family Hominidae; genus Homo; species Homo sapiens. The sequence continues at coordinate 3,030,124 of NC_000004.12, forward strand.
AGAGACACTCTGACCTGAGGGCCTTCTGTGTGCCTGGCTCTGGGCCTGGTGCTGGACAGACCATTCCTTAACTGTGCTAAGGGCCTCTGAGGCTGACGGTGGCACCCGCGAGTCACAGCAAGGAGATGAGCCCCAAGCGGTGGAGACCTGGTCCCTGGTCCCAGAATGAGCCAGTGGCTGTCAGGGTCCATCTGCCTCTGGGACTGGACTGTGTTACCACCCCTCACTGCCCAGACACTCAATCAGTGAGGGAAACTCTCTTTGTTACTTACTTTAAACCAGTATTTTTTTAGCACATTTTTTTTTTCATTTATTTTCATTCAACAAGGATTTATTGAGCATCTTGTATGTTCCAGGCACCGTCCTAGGCATTGGGGGAAACAGCAGCAAATAGAACAGAAGTCCCCGCCCTGCCAGCGAGAACTGACAGGAAACAGAACAAATGCATAGACGTGTGGGCTGTGGGGAGGACCCGCACTCTGGAGGACGGGGAACTGCCTGGAGGGGCGGCAGGCTCTAGGGGGTGAGAGGGGGTCGGCCTGCTGGGCAGAGCAGACAGAGATTGTCTGCAATAGCAAGGCCACAGTGGCAGGCTGCTGGCAAGAGCAGGAGGGGGTTAGAGGGGGACGGGACAGAGAGCAGGAAGCCCAGGCCATGCTGAACCACCTGTCACTTGTTATTGTCATCATTGTCAAGCCTTGAGTGTTGCTTCCTCTGATGGCCATGAAGCCATCGCAGGGCTCTGTGAAGAGTGATGTGATGAGACTGGGCTTGCCGGCCACTGGGAGAGAATGAATGGACAGGGAGGAGGAAGGCCATTGGGGGCTTTGCAGCGATTCAGGTGAGAGTAAAGGTGACGCAGACCTCGGTGATGGCAGAGCAGGTGTGAGAAGTGATGGCAGATGACCGCTGTCAGATTCAGGATGGATCCTGAAGGCAGGTGGTGGAGAAGACTTCAGGCTGACTCCAAGATGGGCTGGAGGGAAGGGGGCACTCGCTGGAGCCAAGTCCTTGCAGTGGGGAGGACAGCAGCCAGCGCACGGGGAGTGTGTGGGCAGTTCCTCCAGTGACCGGAGAGGAGGCAGAGTCTGTGGCCAGTGCAGCACAGCTGGGGAGACGTGAGCAGGGCTGTGAACGGTCTCTTATGGAGCTTCTTTTTCTCAGATGGTCAGCCCCTAGTGGGGAGCAAAGGTGGGAGGCAGGTGTGAGGAAAGGGGAGGCTTGAAGGCTTGGAAAGCAGGGGTTTCCTCAACAGCATCAAGAGCCCATGCGGACCTGAAGGGAGGGGAGTGGCCGTGGTTGTGTGCTGGGCTTCTGCCACACCTGGACGGTGCAGGCTCAGAGCCAGCAGGGAGCTGCACTCGCCCAGCTCTGGTTTGTCCAGCAGCTAGAGAGAGGCCGGGGAGCTGGGCTGCATGCCAGGGAGTGACTAGAGGACAGACCATGGGCTCGACGCTGGCTCCAGTGGACGAGGAAATGGACACAGGGAACGGCAGGTTCAACAGGATGGGCAAAGCATGGTCCAAGTTGGGAGTCCATACACCTCCAGGCCAGAGTTAGAAAGATGAGAGGGACGCTCAGAGAGGAAGCTGCTTGGAGTGGAGCTGACAGAGTGCTTGCTGGCCAAGAGTCTGGGGTGTGACCAGGGAGAGAGTGGCTGGGGGTCACTGGGGGGATGGAGGATGAAGTCACTGGAGAAGAGAAGGCCACAGGACCAAGCAGCCAGGCATAGGCCCCTGCCTGGGTGTGGGCATTCCTAGCAGCTGTGCCTGGGTAACTGACATGGGCTGGCAGTGGCTGGAGAGGAGTTATTCTGATGTCCTTTTCATGTGTTTCCATATATGAAGCCATGGGTGCTACAGGCTCGTCCTGGAGCCAGGGGTCAGCCTGGAGTTCTCCCGGCTACCTCACTCTGCTTAGAGCTGACTGTTAAATAATGGAGTCTTCCTCCCACAGGACACTGACAGGGCTGCAAGAATGTATAAATATGTACCAGAAATGGAGTCTGCCCCTAAGAGCTCACAGTTTAATGTTAGGCCTAAAACAAACAGAAATGACTGCAGTGAAAAAGCAGAATGGGCCGGGTGCGGTGGCTCATGCTATAATCCCAGCACTTTGGGAGGTCAAGGCAGGTGGATCATGAGGTCAGGAGTTTGAGACCAGCCTGGCCAAGATGGTGAAATCCTATCTCTACTAAAAAAAAAATTAGCCAGGTGCGGTGGTGGGCGCCTGTAATCCCAGGTACTCGGAAGGCTGTGCCACTGCACTCCAGCCTGGCGACAGAGCATGACTCCGTCTCAAAAAAGAAAAAAGAAAAGAAAAAGCAGAATGCATACTTGTTCTGCTAGGCTCGGGGAGGGGAAGAAAAATAAAGCAGGATGCAATGGGTGTCGTAAGTGGATAGAAACAAAGGCTCAGGGGCTTTCAAGATGAAATCCGTGGTGTTGGAGGTGCTGGGAAAGGAGGTGTCTGAGTGAGGGCTCTGTGTGAGAAGCTCTAGCTTTGAAGTTAGGGCCAGGTGAGTCTCAGCTCCCATTACAGGATCATCTCTCCCAGCTCAGTTTCTCATTTATGAAATGTAGATGAGAGTAGCTCTTACTTTATAGGATTGTTGGGAGGATAAAATGAAGTAATACATGTAAAATGTTTAGTAGCAAATAATCCTCCATAATTACTAAGAGGAGAAACAGTTCGTTCTTAAAGAATGGGTTCTATGGGTTAACGACGTCACACAGCAACTGCTGGCAGCTGGACCTGAGGCCAGCTTTTGGACCAAGCCCCTCTCCTCTGCTCTGTGCTGCCTGGTCAGGCCATCTGTCTTAGTCCCTTTGGGCTGCTATGACAGAATCCCTTAGACTGAGTAATTTATCAACAGCAGAAGTTTATTTTCTCAGTCAGGAGGCTGGAAGTCCTAGATCAAGATGCCTGCAGATTTGGTGTTGGTGAGGGCTGCTCTCTGCTTCAAAGATGGAGCCTTGGCTGGAGCTGGTGGCTCATACCTATAATCTTAGCACTTTGGGAGGCTGAGGTGGGAGGATCACTTGAGCCAAGGAGCTAGAGACCAGCCTGGGTAACACAGTGAGATGCCGTCTATATTTTAAAAGAAAGAAAGAAAGAAAAGAAAAGAAAGAAAGATGGAGCCTTCTCACTGCACCCTCACAGGGCAGAGGACAAACCAGCTCCCTGGGGCCCCTTTTCTAATGGCAGGAATCCCATTCACGAGGGCAGAGCCTTCATGACCTCATCACCTCCAGAAGGTCCCACCTCTCAATACTATTGCATTGGGGATTAAGTTTCAGCTTACAGATTTGTGGGGGATACACACATTCAGAGCATCCTGGCCCTCGATGGGAGTGGAGTATGCTGGCAGCAAGCTCAACCATGGGGCTGTGGAGTCCCTGAGATGCAGAAATGGTATTTGCATTACACTTAATTTTCAGATCTGTTTTATTAATTTATTTGTTGTTGTTTCTTTGAGACGGAGTCTCAAGAAACAGATCTGGCCCAGGTTGGAGTACAGTGGTGCGACCTCAGCTCACTGCAGCATCTGCCTCCCGGGTTCAAGGGATTCTCCTGCCTCAGGCTCCTGAGTAGCTGGGACTACAGGCATCTGCCACCACGTCCGGCTAATTTTTGTATTTTTAGTAGAGACCGGGTTTCACCATGTTGGCCAGGATGGTCTTGATCTCCTGACCTCGTGATCCACCCACCTCGGCCTCCCAAAATGCTGGGATTACGGGCATGAGCCACTGCGCCCGGTCTTCACATCCGTTTTAAATTAACAAAGCATGCAAAGAATAAACGCATTGAGCAACTGTTACTGAGCGCCTGCTCTGGCTAGGTGCTGGGGTATCACAGTGGGCCAGAGTCACACAGCCTTAGCTTCAGGAAGCTTTGAGTCTAGCAGGACAGCCTGGCAATAATGGCGCGTCCAAATGACTCATTCTCAGCAAGAAATACTTGTCATCGAGGAGAGGTGGAGGATCCCCTCAGGCTGTGGCAAAAAAATTTGGGGAGCCTAATCTAGTGCAGGTATGGGGGCCAGAAAGCTAAAACCTGAAGAATTTAGCAGGAGTCAGCAAGCCGAAGAGCTTTGTAGACACAGCCCTGGAGCAGGCACAGCCCAGCAAGGAGCTGAGAGCGGTGGGAGATAGAAGCGCAGACCAGAATGCTTTCTGGTCTTTGGGACTTTGAGTTGGCCAGGGATCAGCATACTTTTCTGTAAGGCCAGATGGTAAACAGCGTCTAGACTTTGCAGGTCTATTACAGCGATTCAACTCTGCCGCTATAGTGGAAAAGGGTGGTGTCGATAAAGCCTTGTTTCCAAAACCAGGCAGCTGGTGCCTGTGGTGGCTGGACTGTGGTTTCCCAAGCCCAGGTCTAGGTCACGTTTCAGGGGTCCAGGTCTTTCATGTGTTGCTTTTGAGCACAGCCCTGCTTTTTCTGATTGATGAGAATTGCGGAGGAAGGCTTATTTGCCTTTGTGATGATGGTAAATATGTATGTGAGGAATACTTTCTAAAGAGATCCTTTCTGGTAATTTTAAGAATATACTAGAATACCAAAATATTAAGAAGATATTTTGAGAACGAGGTTTGCTAAGTGGTTGCCTCATCTGAGGTCCTTAGTGGTATTTCTGAAATTGACAACAGTTTCTGTTTCCTCTTTAAAAATCCCCACATTTTTATGATTAATTTTTTTAACTTAAGGAATAACATAGCCGACCCCTTATTTATTGATAGCTCAAAGGCGAAACCTTCGCCCCCCTCCTTTGTGAAGTGTCATATAATTTAATGAGTAAAGTCTGAGTTCCTGAGGTCTGCTTGATGCTTGGAAATTATTTGTTAGATGCAGCTGGGCGCGGTGGCTCACGACTGTAATCCCAGCACTTTGGGAGGTCGAGGCGGGTGGATCACGAGGTCAGGAGATGGAGACCACGGTGAAACCCCGTCTCCACTAAAAATACAAAAAATTAGCTGGGCACGGTGGCGGGTGCCCATAGTCCCAGCTACTCGGGAGGCTGAGGCAGGAGAATGGCGTGAACCCGGGAGGCTGAGCTTGCAGTGAGCCGAGATCGCACCACTGCACTCCAGCCTGGGTGACAGAACGAGACTCCATCTCAAAAAAAGAAAAAAAAAGAAATGATTTGTTAGATGCACCTGCTCTGCCCTCCCGAGTCCTTTGGTTATTATTATGCAGGGGAGTTTTGAGTTTTCATTTTTATCCAGAGGCTCAAGTGGGTTGCATTTCTGCCTCTTGCAGTTACTCACCAAGAATCCAAGCAAGCGGCTGGGCTGCAGGGGCGAGGGAGCGGCTGGGGTGAAGCAGCACCCCGTGTTCAAGGACATCAACTTCAGGAGGCTGGAGGCAAACATGCTGGAGCCCCCTTTCTGTCCTGATGTAAGTGCATTGCCAGGACGAGCAGGGCCCTAGGAACAGTGATCCGCACAGCACGGTTTTTCTCTTTCTTTTTTCAAAAATAGAGATGGGGGGTCTCACTGTGTTGCCCAGGCTGGTCTTGCACTCCTGGCCTCAAGTGGTCCTCCACCTTGGCCTCCCACAGTGCTGGGATTATAGGCGTGAGCCACTGTGCCCGGCTGCAACACAGTTTTTTGTTTTTTTTTGTTTTTTATTACAACAGATACAGAATCAGCAGGTACAGTTAGCATGTGGCTTTTGCTCATGGTGCCTGTCCTACCTGGTTCTTCTTCCCTCCCCCGTCACCCCAGTGTGCTTTGGCCACTCACTGGGCCCCTCACAGACCTCAGCGGTGCTCTAGCTCCCTGCCTCGTGTCACTGTCAGCCTCACTGCTGGGGGAGCCCCCCAGGTAGCTGAGACCACAGCCACACACCACCCAGCTCATTTTCACTTCTTTTCTAGAGACGGGGGTCTCCCTATGTTGCCCAGGCTACTTTTGAACTCCTGGCCCCAAGTGATCCTCCTGCCTTGACCTCCCAGAATGCTGGGATTACAGGCATGAGCCACTACGCCTGGCCACCCGTGTCCCCTTTCTGGTCTCAGGGCTGGCTTTCTCTCTCATTCTTGTGTTTCCCACAGCCGTGAGGCCCTGCTTCCTTTGTCTGGAACGCGTGTCCCCACTCTGCTTCTCATGAGGTCCTGGGACTGTGGCCTGGCCCCGTACTGAGGACCCTGAAGTGGTCACTGTGCCTCCTTGTGAGTGTGCTGTTGGGACACCTTCCTCTGGACTGTCCCCGAGGGGCGGGGCCTGCCGGTCCACTTCCGCCTCCCCACCTTGAGGGTATGAATGAGTGAAGAGCAGCTACTCTAACAGCTGTGCTGACCGTGGCCTTTGGAGCCACTGCTTTGCTGAAACACTCACTGTAGTGCACAAGTCCTGGGTGAAAAGTTTCTCAGGACTGCGGGTGCCTCCGGCATGAGCAGATGAGGGTCCCACAGCTGCCGACTTCCGTGCTTTTTGTTCCTTTGCCCTGAAAGTGCAAGGAACTGTACTGGCGGCAGGTGGAGACCCGGACCTTGGCACTCCCTCCTGCCTGCCTGACCCTCTGCCTCTGAGGACAGCAGTGCCGGGATAGGAGCTGCAGACCTGGGTTCCTGTCCCAGAGGAGGGACCTGCTGATTCAGGGAGCTGAGCGGAGGGATGAGGTCCCTTGCAGCCTTGGAGACCACTCAGTGGACCTGCAGGAGGATGGGAAGTGGGAGCTGCTGCTGTTCCTCAGGTTTTCTCCGGGTGCTTTGCCAGGAGTGCACCAAGAATTGGAGGCAGGGGCGAGAATTGTCACTAAGGGATCCCACCGCTGGTGGCCTCTGTCCCTGTTCACACTTCTCCGGTTCTGTGCTGCATCTTCCAATACGTGCAGTCCACCCTGCCCTGCATCCCTGACCTCTGTTTGCAATCCATTTTGCACTACGGAAAGGAGAAGGGCATGGCCTCAGGAGGGGTGTGTGTGTGTGTGTGTGTGTGTGTATGTGTGTGTGTATGTGTGTGTGTGTGTGTGTGAGAAAGAGGGAGAGAGCCAGGGCATGCAAGGGACCTGGCACAGACAGTACCACAAAATTGGTGACACTAAAAGCTGGCGAACCACCTCTTCAGAGGACACATTCTGTGATTTAGAAAATGCCTCAAGTGAGAGGGGCCTGGCAAAAGAATGGAGACAGGGAGAGTGGCGGTGTTTATGCGTCAGTTTGCTGGGCGTTTCATTCTTGGGAACTGAGGGAGCTGAGAATTGCTGTAGTCATCTCAGAGGCTGCCCCTGTTCTTGCTACACAGCCTCATGCCGTTTACTGTAAGGACGTCCTGGATATCGAGCAGTTCTCGGTGGTGAAAGGGATCTACCTGGACACCGCAGATGAAGACTTCTATGCTCGGTTTGCTACCGGGTGTGTCTCCATCCCCTGGCAGAATGAGGTACTGCCCTTCCAGCACAGCCGCTTTACGTTAGTTCCAACAGTGACCCAGGGAAAAGGGTGTGTGTGTGTCCGTGTGTGTGTGTGTGTCTGTGTGTATTTGGGAGATAAAATTATATAAGACGGCTGGGCGCAGTGGCTCACGCCTGTAATCCCAGCACTTTGGGAGGCTGAGGCAGGCAGATCATGAGGTCAGGAGTTCGAGACCAGCCTGGCCAACATAGTGAAACCCTGTCTCTACTAAAAGTACAAAAATTAGCCAGGCATGGTGGCAGGCACCTGTAGTCCCAGCTAGTAGGGATGCTGAGGCAGGAGAATCGCTTGAACCTGGGAGGCAGAAGTTGCAGTGAGCTGAGATTGCGCCACTGTACTCCACCTTGGGCGACAGAACGAGACTTCGTCTCACCCAAAAAAAAAAAAAAAAAGATTGTATAAGACTTTTGACCACAGGACTAGACCATGGGCAAGCCAAGGACCATATCAGCAGCTGTCCAGAAGCACAGCGGCTGTCCCTGGTCCCAATGACAGGAAGTGGACAGGAGGTAGCTATTTTGGGTCTGATGGGAGCTTGCCTGCCACCCCGAGCCCCACTCCCTAAGCAGGGCTGGCTGGCAGCCAGGGTTCCCATGGTAGTTCCCTGCTTTGGGAGTACACTCAGAGACAAGGGGAGAGGAGACCACATTACTTATTCCAAGAAGAGGTCAGGAAGCAGGGAAGGAGGAACCCAGAAAAGGGGCCCCACAGTGGGTGCAGGAGCTCTGAGGTGCCCCGCACGGGGCTGGGCAGGAGCTGCTGGCACTGGGAGACACCCACTGACCTGGCAGTTTCTCTGCGGCTTCTCTGTCCTGTTATTCTGTGCATGCAGATGATCGAATCTGGGTGTTTCAAAGACATCAACAAAAGTGAAAGTGAGGAAGCTTTGCCATTAGATCTAGACAAGAACATACATACCCCGGTTTCCAGACCAAACAGAGGCTTCTTCTATAGACTCTTCAGAAGAGGGGTAAAAAGACTTAAAAACTAATATATGTGTGTGTATGTGAAAAAAAAAAAAACATACTGACTGCCAAGGTGAAAACCTGGTACTTTTTCTGTTTGCGATGGCTCCTACAGGCAGTTTTATACAGTCTGAGAGCCACATGGTGCTAGGTGGAGGCCAGCCAGAACAATGAGAACACCCTCGCAGTGAGGTTTGTTGCTGGGATGAAGACTGTTCTGATCCAAAACAGGACTACCTTCCAGCATTTACAAACAGGTTCCCGTGTCGCTGACAAAATAGTTTACACTGGGCTCAGAAATCGGCATCCTGTGGAACCTTCGTCAGATGGCACTCACAGTGCATCTCTCCCTGCTCTGGCTCTTAGACTCACCTCCTTCGCCCGCTGCACGGGGAAAGTGGATTCCTTTTTGAAAAGGGAATCCTGGCTGGGTGCGGTGGCTCACGCCTGTAATCCCAGCACTTTGGGAGGCCGAGGCAGGTGGATCACCTGAGGTCAGGAGTTTGAGACCAGCCTGGCCAACATGGCAAAACCCCAATTCTACTAAAAATACAAAACTTAGCCGGGTGTGGTGGCACATGCCTGTAGTCCCAGCTACTTGGGAGGCTGAGGCAGGAGAATCGCGTGAACCCAGGAGGTGGAGGGTGCAGTGAGCCGAGATCGTGCCACTGTACTCCAGCCTGGGCAACAGCGCAAGACTCCATCTCAAAAAGAAAGAAAGAAAAATGGAATCCTTTGGAAAGACTTTCTGTAATAGCATTAAATGTAGACAAGCCTTTTTTCCATGCAAAGTGTCTCTCCTTGGATTCGTGGGCCATCCTACTTTGCACCCTGTGTGTTCCCAGGGGGTTGATTCAGAGCTTGGCCACTAACATTCTAATCCATCTTTCTTTCAGTATGAAAAATAGGCTAGGCGTGGTGGCTCACGCCTGTAATCCCAGCACTTTGGGAGGCTGAGGAGGGTGGATCACCTGAGGTCAGGAGTTCAAGACCAGCTTAGCCAACATGGTGAAACCCCATCTCTACTAAAAATATAAAAATTAGCCGGTCATGGTGGCATGTGCCTGTAATCCCAGCTACCTGGGAGTCTGAGGCAGGAGAATCGCTTGAACCTGGGAGGCGGAGGTTACAGGGAGCCGAGACTGCACCATTGCGCTCCAGCCTGGGTGACAAGAGTGAAACTCTGTCTTAAAAAAAAAAAAAAAAAAAGGAAAAAAAAATAAGCTTTAGGTGGGAAATATCTCAAAGTGGCATTTCCCATGGCTGTCTTTCCTCTGAGAACTAAGGGTTAGGTGTGAACTAACAAAATGGCTCTCCCTGACCCTCAGTGTGTAGCCAGCCCTGCATGGAAATAAATGCTCCTCCCTGGGCCCCGGTCCCAGTGTCCACACTTGGAGATGGAACCCAGGTTCCCACGTTTTGGGGAAAACCTGCCGTTGAGAGAATCTGATTGCACAGAGTGAAGCCCATTCTCCCCACACTGCTTCTTAGGCAGCCAGAGACCCTGTGACATTCATGCCTCAGCCATGGTACATGCAGAACTTACCTGCTGCATTTCCTATGTATGTGAGCTAAGCATCTACCACATCATGAAGTAAATAAGGAGAAAATTTTTCAGGTTTTTGCCTGCCTTAAAATTAGCAGCCCCCTGGCCGGGCACGCTGGCTCACACCTGTAATCTCAGCACTTTGGGAGGCTGAGGTGGGAGGATCACTTGAGATCAGGAGTTCGAGAGCAACCTGGCCAACATGGTGAAACCCCGTCTCTGCTAAAAATACAAAACTTAGCAGGGTGTGGTGGCGTGTGGCTGTGGTCCTAGCTACTCAGGAGGCTGAGGAAGGAGAATTGCTTGAACCTGGAAGGTGGAGGTTGTAGTGATCTGAGATCCTGCCATTGCACTCCAGCCTGGGCGACAGAGTGAGACTATGTCTCAAAAAATAAATAAATAAATAAAAAATAAAAAAGCACCCCCCACCCAAAAGTTTGTAAATGGTTGTCTGCACTTAAGGAAAGTGAAACCTTCGCATCAGCCGTGTGCCTGAGGCCGCCGCTGTGTGTTGTAGGGCTGCCTGACCATGGTCCCCAGTGAGAAGGAAGTGGAACCCAAGCAATGCTGAGCACCCCGGTGCGGACCACAGAGCAGACCCTGGCGCCAGGAAGGAGCATGTGTTAGCGTCTCGTCCCACCTGGAATTGTAATAAATACATCTAAATAAAACATGCCTTGGGAGTGTACAGACCTTTCTGCACTAATACCTGAGTTGTCTTTTCACTAAAGCTGGATTGAAGAAAAAGCCCCAAGAGTACCCCTGAGGCCCCAGACACGCCCAAGTGTGGGCGCCTTCCGTGCTGGGGTGCCCAGGTGTGGGCGCCTTGCGTGCTGGGGTGCCCAGGTGTGGGCGCCTTGCATGCTAGGGTGGGAGCTTTCCCTGCACCCAGGGAGAGGCCAGCGGGGGCTTGGGAATGGATGACCCAGCACTGCAGTGCCTCGCGCCACCCCCAGACTTGGTCTCACCACTCGGCCAGAGATGTGGTGGTCCAGGAAGAGAGGGGGCGGCCGGGCCTCCCTTTCCCCAGGGCCCGGGTGTCAGACAGTCCGAGCCCGTTGGCATTCCTGCATCTCCCGATGGCTGTCCCGTTGCCTTGTGCCCCTCACCGAGATTCCTTCGGTTTGTGTGTTTGTGGCCAGTTTTCATTTTCTCTGAGCATATCTATCTGCCCTTGAAAGGGGCGGCTCCCCATGACCCTGCAGTCAGGGCCTGGCGGCCAGGGCTCCAGCAGGTGCGCCCGGCATGCGGTGACAGCCTGCACCGTGGGAGTCCACGTCAGGGCCCCCGAGAGGCCGGTACTGTGTCAGGGATGAGGAGCCCGCCCTCCTGGGCTTTAGTGGCGCTTAGGAGCCTGGGAGCTTCCCGTGGAGGTTAAGGGCGCTGAAACTGCACAAGCTGAGAGCTCACAGCAGTGCGTGGTGCCTCTTCAGCTGGGGTGCTCACCCGCGGGGAGACGTGGCTTTGTGCGCTTGGCGAACCCCACGCCAGGGCGTAGCGGAAGGGTGTGGACCGGCACTGAAGCCCGCGGAGGCACCCGTGCGTGTGCCAGGGCATGAAGATTTCCCAGGGGGCGACGTTGGAGCTGGGCGGGGAGCGAACAGGAGGGACAGGGAGGGCTGAGGCCCCAGAGCTGACCCTGCTGAGGGCCCTCGCTGGCGGCCTTGAAGCTGCGCCCAGATCCTTAGAGAAGGTGCGGAACTTGGGCCTTTTTCCTGAACTGTGCTTCGCAGGATGGGCCGGCCCGGCGCTGGCTGCGGCTTCCGCAGGGCAGGGCAGCACTTGACATGGTGAGGGCTGGTTCAGGGAGGAGCTGACGGGGACACCAGCCGGGTGCCTTCACCTCCGCCCCATCCATTCTCCACTGCTGTCAGGGCTGCCTGGAGCCTGCAGCCGGGATCTCTGTGCTGCCTGCTGCGTGAGAAGCCAGGGCACAGGCCTCGGTGACTTTGAACCAGACAGTGACACATCGGACAGCTGCGCGCGGGAGAGGAACCACAGTGCCTGAGGGACACAGCGCTCCCTGGGCCGCTTTCACAAGAGCAGCAGGAGCGACCAGGCTTCCAGGCGGACGTTTCCCTTGCATCGGGGTGTGGGGAAAATCAGCTTCCGCAGGTGCCCACCGCCGGCTCCAGCAGGGGCACTGGGGCCCGTCCTGGGAGGAAAACACCAGCGGGGATGTCACCATGAGGTTGGGAGCCTTCTTTGTACGAGGGGAAGGGGAAGGGGACGTTATCTTGGAGACTTGGGGTCTTTATTCTTTGGGGGAATGGAAATAGCTTTGCTTTTCTTCTGATTGAGGCAAAACTCATTAAAGAGTAAGGCTTTTTGGAAGCGGGTGACCGCGGCGGGACTCTGGACCCCTCTCCTCTGTGCCTCACTGTCCTCAGCTGCAGAATGAAGATGGCAGGAGTTGGTGCCCCCGGGATGCTGAGAGCAGGTTTCAGAGTCTGTAAATCATGTAGCACAGTGTTGAATACGTGGTCACCATTCAGTAACTATGCCAATAATCGTGGGAAAATAATACCTGCTCATTGCAGAAAATACAGGAAAACATGCAGGAAAGAAAAATCACCATTATTCCACCCCCACCCCCATTTCCACTCTGACTCTTTCCAGGAGTTCTTCCATCAGTGTAGACAAAGTCCACAGCGGAATCACAGTGTAGACGACTCTGCTGGGGGCTGGGGACCTGGCTGGGCTGAGGACCTGACTTCCTTGCCAGCCACAGGGCCTCTGTAAAGGCCTGCCTCGCGCAGGTGTTGAAGTTTAGGGACACCTGCCTGTCAGAGGCATTTGAACAAGAGCAACTCCATCTTGAATGGGGGCTGGGTAAAATGAGCCTGAGACCTGCTGGGCCGCATTCCCAGGAGGTTAGGCATTCTTAGTTACAGGATGAGATAGGAGGCTGGCACAAAATACAGGTCCCAAAGAGCTTGCTGATAAAACAGACTGTTTTAAAGAAGCCGGAGCTAGGCGCGGTGGCTCATGCCTGTAATCCCAGCACTTTGGGAGGCCGAGGCAGGTGGATCACTTGAGGCCAGGAGTTAGAGACCACCCTGGCCAAAATAGTGAACCCCGTCTCTAATACAAAAATTAGCCAGGTGCAGTGATGGATGCCTGTGGTCCCAGCTACTCGGGAGGCTGAGGCAGGAGAATCTCTTGAACCCAGGAGTCAGAGGCTGCAGTGAGCCGAGACCTGGGCAACAGAGCAAGACATCGTCTCAAAAAAAATAATAAAATAAAGAAGTAAATAAAGAAGCTGGGAAACCCACCAAAACCAAGATGGCGATGAGAGTGACCTCTGGTCATCCTCACAGCTCATTACATGCTAATTATAATGCATTAACATGCCAAAAGACACTCCCATCAGCGCCATGACAGTTTTCAGATGCCATGGCAACGTCTGAAAGCTACCCTGTATGTTCTAAAAAGAGGAGGAACTCTCAGTTCTGGGAATCGCCCACCCCTTTCCCAGAAATCTCATGAATAATCCACCCCTTGTTTAGCATATAATCAAGAAATAACCATAAAAATGGGCAGCCAGCAGCCCTCTAGGCTGCTCTGCCTACGGAGTAGCCATTCTTTATTCCTTTACTTTCCTAAGAAACTTGCTTTCCCTTTATGGATTAGCCTCGAATTGTTTCCTGAGCGAGATCCAAGTACCCTCTTTTGGGGTCTGGATCGGGACCCCTGTCCAGTAGCACTCCCTCCATCTTGCCTGCTGAGGAGGAAACTAGACCTGGGAACCGACCAGGGTTGCAGGGCCCAGGGCCCGAGGGCATCGTTCATACCCTGGGCTGGTGGCTATGGAACTAATAAAGTCCTTTTTGTTTCTTTGTTTCTTTTTTTGCTTAAGCTAGTCTGAGTTAAATTTCCCCATGCCCAAGTGAAAGCTTTGACTGAGAGAAATAAACCTAGGCCAGGATTTGTACACAGACCATTTGGTAACTTGTTCAATTAACATGTTGAACATCTCATTTTTCTCTTTCTGTTTATAAGCAAGCATGTATGTATTGAAGAGAACTTTGAAATTAAGAAGAACAGTGCTCGCTGTGGCAGCATATACACTAAAACTGGAATGATACAGAGAAGATTAGCATTGCCCCTGCACAAGGACGACACACAAATTTGTGAAGCGTTCCATACAAAAATATATTTAAAAAAAGAAAAAACACAAAATCTCGTCTTTAATATTAGCTGCTGTGCATAGGCAATCCGTATCAACATTTTGTTTGCTATTTATATAATTAATATAGTGATTTATTTCTTTCCATGTCATTTGGCTGCTTAAATTTTTAATGTTTTTTTTGAGAGTCTCGCTCTGTTGCCCAGGCTGGAGTGCGGTGGCGTGATCTCGGCTCACTGCAACCTGCATTCAAGTGATTCTCATGCCTCAGCTTCCCGGATAGCTGGGATTACAGGCACCACCACCACACCGGCTAATTTTTTTTTTTTAGTACAGATGGGGTTTCACCATGTTGACCAGGCTGGTCTCGAACCCCTGGCCTTAAGTAATCTGCCCATCTCAGCCTCCCAAAGGATTACAGGTGTGAGCCACTGTGCCTGGCCTGCTTAATCTTTTATTACATATTTCAGTCATCCATGATATTGTGAAGTTATATTTGGTTTTCGTTCAGTCTCCTGGCATATATTTCCCCAAATCCTTGGAATCTTCAAAGTGATGAATGTCTTTTTTGTATGTTAATGAGGTGGCTGGTGGCTCCTAGACAGCTTCAAGATAGGAGGTGGGGCTGGTCACCAGAAAGAAGAAGGTAGGGTTAGAAGGTTGGGACTCAGCCCTACTCTTGCCCTCTGGGAAGGGAGAGGGGCTGATGGTTGAGCTGATCGCCAATGGCTAATGATTAAATCATGCCTATGTGATGAAGCCTCCATAAAAACCCAAGAGGACAGGGTTCAGAGAGCTTCCGGGTAACGTGGAGGTTTCTAGAGGGCAGCGCACCTCCCTTCTACGGGGACAGAAGCTCCTGTGCTTGGGACCCTTCCAGAACGCTCCCTATGCATCTTCTCATCTGGCTGTTCATCTGTATCCTGTAAAATATGCCTTGTAATAAACCAGGAAATGTGTTTCTCTGAGTTCTGTATGCTGATCTAGCAAATTAATTGAACCCAAGGAGGGGGCTGTGGGAACCCCCAATGTTTAGCAGGTCAGTCAGAATCACAGGCCAAATAACCAGGGGCTTGCAGTTGGCATTGGAAACGGGGTTCAGTCTTGTGGGAACTGAGTCCTCGATCTGTGTGGTCAGGCGCTGTCTACAGGTAGATGCCGTCAGACTTGAATGAGAGGACACCCAGCTGGTGTCCGCTGCAGAACTGATTGCTTGCTTGTGGGTGGGGAGAAGTATTCTGTGTTGATTCTTGAGTGAGAGAACAGGAAAAGGACACTGCGCTTTTCCCCTAGATCCTCAGGGTGGCTGAATATACATATGGAATACGCTGTAGGAGGAGTTATGAATATCTGTGAGGGGAGCAACACCCAGTGTGCAGTTAGCTTCATGCCTCTTCATGGGTCACGTGTTCAAAAAATGTTGGGGTTAGCGTGATCGGAGGATGTGGTTTTCCTCCCTCTGACGTCAAAAGGTGAAGCAGAGGACACGAGAACCCTCACTGCACCGCCTCTGGAGACGGCCACGGCCACTGCAGGCTCTGTGGTCTCTTACCAGGAAGGGAAGCATTGCCTGGCCGTGGCCTCAGATGATTGGCTAAAGGCAATAGAAGAGTGAGATGTCTGTTCTTTTTTTCTAGAGCTGGTTTCTGTTTATTCTTTAGGAAGGCATTCCAGTGAAAGGGTATTAAGGAAGGGGCACACTGAGGCGAGTCTGACCTGTCCTGTCACGGCCAGGAACTCAGTTTTTAAGGTTTCTCTGAGGTCTCCTCGACCAAGAAGCGGTCCGCTCAGTTGGCAGGGGTTTTAGGATTTTCTTATGTACCTCAAGGGAGCAGTAAACATCACATCATAATTTTTTTTTTAACAAAAAAGCACAATATGCACTCAAAACAGTGTTTGAACATTTTAAAGAATACATATTATATACCTCTGTTAAATGAAAAACTTCAGCCAAATTAAATTTAAATGAGTTTAATTGAGCAATGAACGATTCACGAATTGGGCAGCCCCCAGAATCACAGCAGATTCAGAGGGACTCCAGGGATACCTCGTGGTCAGAACAAATCTATAGACAAAAAAGGGAAGTGACATATAGAAATTGGAGGTGAGTACAGAAACAGCTGGGTTGGTTGCAGCTCGGCATTTGCCTTATTTGGACACAGTTTGAACTCTCAGCAGTGTACGAGTGAAGTACGGCTGCTGGGATTGGCCAAGACTCAGGTACTGCCACAGGTGCAGACTCCCAAGTGAGGATGTCAGGGTTTCAGTCTTGTCTACCAATTAAGTTAGGTTGCAGTTCGTCCACAAGGACTCAAATAGAGAAGTATGGAGTCCTTCTCAGGCCATATTTAGTTTGCTTTAACAATTCCACCCTTTTGGTCATTTTCTCAATTTTGAGAGATTGACCAAAACTTTAGTCATTGATGTCACTATCACCATCGTAAATGTACTTATTTGGTCCTGAAACCCTCTGAGAAACAGTAGAACAGTGAGTTTTGCAAAGGTAGGAACAAGGACTGAGGGTACCTCCTTATGCTGGAACGTCCTGTTTATAGGGGAATCTGTTAGGATCTATGTGTTTCCTTAAAGTCTTAGTTTGATTATGTCACATTTAGCATGAGTGACTCCATTTTTGTTTGGCTTAGTCTGTTGGGACATAGTGCATGAGCTCAGTCCAAAACAATGGCCTCCCATAATTTTATTTTAATAAATTCCCCTTTCTGTCCAGGTTCTCACTTAGGTGAGTGTGGGCGGCAAGCCACCCAGCTGCCAAGGCAAGACCCCGAGGGCACAAGCTGTTCCAGTATAATAAAAAATATATATATAGAATAAGAATAGTTATACTAGGCCGGGCGCAGTGGCTTACGCCTATAATCCCAGCACTTTGGGAGGCCGAGGTGGGCAGATCATGAGGTCAGGAGATCGAGACCATCCTGGCTAACACGGTGAAACCCCGTCTCTACTAAAAATACAAAAAATTAGCCGGGCGTGGTGGCGTGCACCTGTAGTCCCAGCTACTCGGGAGGCTGAGGCAGGAGAATGGCATGAACCCGGGAGGCGGAGCTTGCAGTGAGCCGAGATTGCGCCACTGCCCTCCAGCCTGGGTGACAGAGCGAGACTCTGTCTCAAAAAACAAAAACAAAAACAAAACAAAACAAAACAAAAAGAATAGTTATACTAGAAATAGATTATAGATATGATTAGATATGACTATTATCAATCATTAGTTTGTGGCATTACTCTATTCCAATATTATAATAATCTTTGTTCTACAATTATAACCTAGGAAAAACCAGGCCATACAGAGATAGGAGCTGAAGGGACAGGGTGAGAAGTGACCAGAAGACGAGTGTGAGCCCTCTGTCACGCTCAGACAGGGCCACTAGAGGGCTCCCTGGTCTAGTGGTAATGACAGTGCCTGGGAAGGCACCTGTTACTTAGCCGACCAGGGAAGGGAGTCTCCCTTTGGCCAGGGGAGAGGGGCGGAGGGGTTAGAGAAGACTCTGCTCCACCATCTCTTGTGGAAGGCCTGACATCAGTCAGGCCCGCCCACAGCCATCCGGAGGCCTGACCATCTCCCTGTGATGCTGTGCTTCAGCGGTCACGCTCCTGTTTCACTTTCATGTTCCGCTCTGTACACCTGGCTCCATCTTCTAGATAGCAGTAGCAGAATTAGTGAAAGTGCTAAAGTCTTTGAAATGCATAGAAGAAATAATGACGTAGGCTGTCTCCTCTCTCTCTCCGCCTCGGCTACCAAACAGGGAAGGGCACCCTGTCCGGTGGACACGTGACTTGCGTGACCTGACCTATCATTGGAGATGACTCACACTCCTTACCCTGCCCCCTTGTCTTGTATCCAATAAGTAACAGGGCAGCCAGGCATTCGGGGCCACTACCAGTCTCCGTGTCTAGGTGGTAGTGGTCCCCTGGGCCCAGCTGTCTTTTCTTCTATCTCTTTGTCTTGTGTCCTTATTTCTGTGATCTCTCATCTCCGCAGGTGAGGAGAAAAACCCACAGGCCCAGTAGGGCTGGACCCTACAGGCGAGAGTGTGACCAAAACTTAGGGCCTTAGCACCACTCTCAGTTACCATCGTTTTGGGTTTCTGGTCTCAGCACGTCATTCATAGGTTACGGTGTCCTCATGGTCACACATTTCTTTCAGCTTCTGCCATTCCAGTTGAAGAGAGACCATTTGTTGTTCTAGAGATGGCTGCATGCAGACATTTAAAACCTTTGAGAGAATGCAGCGCACCAGGGAGACTATTATTATGATTACTGGGAGGATAATACCAAGAGTTTGCAGTATGCTCCTTACCCAGGGTCCCTATACACCAAACCACCCCAAATCAAATAGATCAGACAATGAGCTAGATAAGAGGCTACTCACTCAACTAAGTGGCCTTTTCATTAATCTCCCACAACTGAATCTCTATAATACCTGATGTATTTCTCCCTAGGCCACAGGTGCCAGCAGCTGCACAGGTACTACTTTTCTGTTTAGTCAATTCTATTATTTAGCATACCTTTCACAAGGGAATTGAAAGTCTGTTGTGTAACTATAGCCTTTACAGTAGAGTCTGCTATACAGCCTATCATGAGGGATACATTTCTGGTTATGGCCTCTTTTACTCTAAACCATGGAAAAGTGATGCCCTTCTGGAAGAGTAAAGCCCTCCTGGCAATGCCCTCTTTAACCCATAGTGTGGGTTAAGAGGAGTGAACCGATATTCTGTTTCTGACTGATTACAGGCAACATATGTCTCATTAAAGTTTCTCACCTACACTGGACCTTCATCTTTTATCTATCAAAGTATAAAGTTATCCGTGTATAAGGCTGGCTGCAAAATCCTTCACAAATGAAAGTATACCCCATAAGTGCACACAACAGATCGTCTTTTCATTTCTATTATTCATAGAGGCATAAGCAAGGAACAGATACTCAAAGATAAGAGTCTCATGGCCAGGCGTGGTGGTGCATGCCTGTAATCCCAGCACTTTGGGAGGCCGAGGTGGGCGGATCACCTGAGGTTAGAAGTTCAAAACCAGCCTGGCCAACTTGGCAAAAACCCATCTCTACTAAAAATACAAAAATTAGCTTGGTGTGGTGGCAGGCACCTGTAATACCAGCTACTCGGAAGGCTGAGGTATGAGAATCGCTTGAACCCAGGAGGCAGAGGTTGCAGTGAGCTGAGACTGCACCACCGCACTCCAGCCTGGGTGACAGAGCAAGACTCCATCTCCAAAAAAGAAAAAAAAAAGAGAGTCTCATGACAGTAGAAGTCTTGATCCACGATCTTAGCAAAAGCCGTTCACATCAAGGATGCCATCTTCTGGGGAGAGACTTCCTTGGCTTTACCTTAAAGGTTCCAATGGGTGTACAGTTCCAGGAGTGTGGATGGACCCTTCTCAGTTGTGAGATTATGAACCCAAGTTTCAAGATCCCTAAGTTTTGTTGCAGTGCGGATGGCAAGGACAGTCTTTCTCTGATGTTCTCAGAAGATCCAGTCTTCGGGTTCTAGAATGCAAAGGGTTTGACCTCAGTGAACCATAGAAAAATATACTGTAGCATAATAACCTACTGTTAAAACATCAGCCCTCTTAACATGCGAGAGCTTTTATACAACCCGGAAAACATGCATTGAAAATGACGATTGAATAAAATCCCTTTATAAAATATGTAAATAGCCCAGGGTTATAAACTATTTTAGCAATTTGTAAGTTATCACACACACACACACACACACACACACACACACACACACACATATACACTTTTTTTTTTTTGAGATGGAATCTCTGTCACCCAGGCTGGAGTGCAGCGGTGCAATCTCGGCTCACTCCAACCTCTGCCTCCCACACACCAATGTATTTAATTTGGATTACTTTATCTTTTCCATGATGAGTCACGAAATGCAGAACTTTTAATAACAAAAGCTTTAAGGACTCAGGAAGGACAAGGTGGCCGTCCTGGTTCTCCGTGAGTCCATACTTAATTAACATTAGACTTCAGTCCTCTTGAATCCCAGTTGCTTCTCCAAATTAGGTGCATTGCACGGATAACTGATGGGTTATCACAGGTAATTTGACTTAGACCATGGATTTCATTCAAATTGTATATCTGAACTATTTCAGTGTCAGCTGATTTAAGATGAAAATCTGGCAAACTCTTTTCTTGGTATTCAATTAATTTTTGTTCTACTTGGGTTAGCAGTTCTATAAGCCAGTCAGTCTTTTCATTAAAGTTCCAGGAATTCTTACCCAGTTCAAATGATATGATTCTAAAGTTATTAGAAACCTGTATTCCAAGACTGATTTTTAGGGTCCTTTTCATCCTTTTATGAATCTCCTAAAAGACACCATACTTTTGAAGTTTTCAGAAACCGCACCAGCATTAAGCAATTAACTGTGGAAATGACTTTAAATAGTCATAGTTAAAAACACAATTGACAAGGAAATTTGGTTATTTCTATGATTTACAGTAACTTAACCATAATTATATTGATAGCATAGACTCAGGCATATTAGAATTTTAGAAATCCCATTTAATTTTGGAACATATATTAATATCATTCACTAAAATGTAACCTGAAGAGGAGTAAACATTATTTTTTGACAATGCTTCCCATGTAACTTAACATATCAGATTATCCCGTTTACCTCTCTTTGGATGCTTTAGGGGATCTCTGTAACACCCCAAAGTTAGAGGTCAGAAAGACTATTTTGAAGCTGAAATTTGATTTTGGGAAGCCTATCAAATATATTAAAGGTTTAAAACACTTGATGTTATGCTTAACCAGTTTGACCATGAGGTGAGATTCTTATAAACCTTTTATAATCCCTTACAATTTGTGTGTGTGTGTGTGTGTGTGTGTGTGTGTGTGTGTGTGTGTGTGTGTGTTTTAGATGGAGTTTCATTCTTGTTGCCCAGGCTGGAGTACAGTGACAGGATCTCGGCTACCGCAACCTCTGCCTCCCAGGTTCAAGTAATTCTCCTGCCTCAGCCTCTCTAGTAGCTGGGATTACAGGCATGTGCCACCATGCCCAGCTAATTTTGTATTTTTAGTAGAGACGGGGTTTCTCCACGTTGGTCAGGCTGGTCTCGAACTCCCGACCTCAGGTGATCCACCTGCCTTGGCCCCCCAAAGTGCTGGGATTATAGGTGTGAGCCACCGCGCCTGGCCTTTTGCCAGTTTGATATTTGGTGCCCCCATGCAGCCAGTTGGGTGGCAACTTGCTGCTCAAATTTAAAAGTTGAGAGGCTTTTGCCTGTGGTTCAATGAAACAAAAAAAGATCATTTTCCTTTATGATGTGGCTTGGCCCTCAGGGATATGATGTGGAGAGCTGGGTCACTAGGGCTACTCAGGGAAAGGGAATCCAGAAGCCTGGCACACAGCAAAAGGGTAAGAATTTCTTACCAGTCAGATTTCTGACCTCTCTCTCTCTGTGTGTTCAAACTGGTTGAATGAATTAAAAAAAAAAAAATCACTGCTTATCTCCTCTGTAAAGTTTTGATTAATGGAAAAAAGGATTTGTGAGGCTAATCTCAGGCTGTAGTGAATCTCGTAGGCTTTATGTGTCTTCCCGTGCTGTTCTGTGATAAAAAGGGGCGCCTTAGGATAGAACATGGGCTTAAAACCCCATAAGCTTGCTCGCCGCTCAAGATGGCCCAACAAGCTGGTCAGTAACTGCTGCAGATCCCTGAAACAAACAAAAAAACTAGATGAGGTCTCCATCTTGTTTTAAGTCTTTGGGAGTTTGACCTTGTAACCATGTGGCGGTTACTTGGTCTCCACCTTCCAAGTGGAACAGGAATTTTGGGTTCATGTCATAGTTAGCTCTACAATCTATCTTGAGTAGTTACGAGGCTTTGCCAGCTGAAAATTAACTACTCTAGACTCTTTCTGGGAAGGGCAATGGAGACTGCCCAGTGCTATAGTTCAGTGGTGATCTGGGTTTGATTCCTGGCTTAGGGAATGAGTACTTTCTAATTGATATTTGGGTAACCTTTGCCATTTTTTGATTTTCTCCCCCTCCACAAACTGTCTTGAATTGCCTTTCTCAGAGCACCTGGGAGGTTACTTTCAATAGTTTAAAGGCAGGAATATTGGCTGTTTGGCCTGATGAAAGTTGGGTAATAAGCAATTTAAAAGAACTTTTATTAAAGAGTGCAATGGTTAAAAGTCAGCTTAATTAAAAGTAGATATTCTGGCTCTAACAGCCTGGGACTCCTTGGGAAAACAGGAGGTGCCAGAGACCCCGTTTTGGGAAAAAACTCTGTTTTACTCATGAAACCCCAGAAATTGGAAGTAGATAGATTCCTTTCAAAATCTAAGGCTCTGTTCTGTTTTGCATTGGATTATCTACTGTTTTTTACTTGGGGGTATCAGAAATTACTTCACATAGAGACTTGGTGTGTAATAACTAGGCAGGAAATATACTTTAGGGATGTCTAATGGCAGTTATGGGGCTGACTCCCTCTTTTTTGGGGGGGATCCAGGATCTGGTATAAAAACGAGACCTCAGGCTGGGCATGGTGGCTCACGCCTGTAATCCTAGCACTTTGAGAGGCCGAGGTGGGTGGATTGCCTGAGCTCAGGAGTTCGAGACCAGCCTGGGCAACATGGTGAAACCCCACCTCTACTAAAATAAAAATAAAAAAAAATTAGCCGGGCATGGCGGCATGCGCCTATAGTCCCAGCTATTTGGGAGGCTGAGGCAGAAGAATCGCTTTAACCCAGGAGGCGGAGGTTGCAGTGAACTGAGATGGTGCCACTGCACTCCAGCCTGGTGACAGAGCAAGACTCCGTCTCAAAAAAAAAAAAGAGACCCTTAATTTTTGGAGATCCGTTTTGCCTTCCAGCTGTGCCTGCTTATTATATTAGGCCCTAGAAACTGCATGCTTTCCTGGTCCTGTTCTTCCAAGGACTCCATCCTAAAGCCAGTAATCCAATTTAGAAACTTAGAAAGTGGTAAATGAAAAATCTTACAACTATTGGATCTTCTTCTGTCTGTCTGTGTAGTTATATATGTGTTGTGTGTTTAATGTTTATATAAAAGAGCTCTAATTGCCAGGCACATTGGCTCACGCCTATAATCCCAACACTTTGGGAGGCTGAGGTGGGTGGATCGCCTGAGGTCAGGAGTTCGAGACCAGCCTGGCCAACCAGGCGAAACCCCGTCTCCACTAAAAATACAAAAATTAGCCAGGTGTGGTGGCGCATGCTGGTAATCCCAGCTACTCAGGAGGCTGAGGCAGGAGAATCACTTGAACTCAGGAGGTGGAGGTTGCCCTGAGCCAAGATTGTGCCACTGCACCCAAGTCTGGATGACAGAGTGAGACTCTGTCTCAAAATAAAAATAAAAATAAAAATAAATAAAAGAGCTCTAATTAATTGGCTTTAAGAAAAATGAGTGCTTAAATCAAATATTTTGAAAGAAAAATAAAAACTCTAATGCCTTTTAGTGCATGTAACTTCAGTAATCTTTGGGAAATAAAAAGTTTTAAAGGTTACTGGTGAAAATAAAGACATTTGGCCTAAATTAGGCAGGTTAGATATTAGGTTTGCTAACTTCTTTTTTTTTTTTTTTTTTGAGATGGAGTTTCACTCTTGTTGCCCAGGCTGGAGTCCAATGGCGTGATCTAGGCTCACTACAACGTCTGCCTCTCGGGGTTCAAGCAATTCTCCTGCCTCAGCCTCCCGAGTAGCTTGGATTATAGGCATATGCCACCATGCCCAGCTAATTTTTGTATTTTTAGTAGAGATGAGGTTTCACCATGTTGGCCAGGCTGGTCTTGAACTCCTGACCTCATGATCCCCCCGCCTCCGCCTCCCAAAGTGCTGGGATTACAGGTGTGAGCCACTGCACCCAGCCAGGTTTGCTAAATTTTTTAAGGTCATAAACTGCTTTGACTTTTCTAAATTGTTCAAATTATTTTGGAGCATTAGATTCTAGATAAGGCCTGCGGACATGTGGAATTAGCCATGCCCCCAGCTAGGCAAAGAAGATTACAAAGAAAATAAATTTTATATAAGAAAGGATCTCGTATGGTAAATTCTTGCCCTAAAGTAAAATAACTGGTTGTTTAAAAAGAGGGGTGTTTAAAAAGAGGAGTGTTTAGGACAAGTGAGAAAGTCCAACCATGCCATAGATGGCCTGTGTAAGTTGTTAAAGGATTTGTGAAATTCATGCACCAAAAGTAAAAGATGCTAAGAGTTACCATTATAACATGTAATTGAAACTACTAAAAAAATAGTTTTACATGCAAGGTGTGTGAGGAGAGTGAAATGTGTTTTTGGTAAAAGATTATAAGAAGGCATGGGAATGTAAATTTTTGCCTAGTTTAGAGGGTTAAAGGGTTTTTAAGTTAGATAAGATAAAGCTAAAAGTTTGAGCAAATTGTAGGTTTGTAAAAATTAATCTTGTAAAAGAAATTCTGTGTGTGAACATATTGACTAAATTTAAAGGAGTATTATTCATTTTTTCCAGAAATTGAACATTGAAGTAAAAGCACAACAGGGTTTTCTTTTCTTTCTATTTTTTTTTTTTGAGATGGAGTCTCGCTCTGTCACCCAGGCTGGAGTGCAGTGGTGCACTCTTGGCTCACTGCAACCTCTGCCCCCTGGGTTTAAGCGATTCTCCTGCCTCAGCCTCTGGAGTAGCTGTGATTATAGGCACTTGCCAGCACGCCTGGCTAATGTTTGTATTTTTAGTAGAGACGGGGTTTCACCATATTGGCCAGGCTGGTCTTGAACTCCTGACCTCGTGATCTGCCCGCCTCCACCTCCCAAAGTGCTAGGATTACAGGCATGAGTCACCACGCCTGGCCAACAGGGTTTTCTTAAAGCACTGTTCTGCTCTTTCACAAAAATTGTAAGGGCTTGGCCAGGTGTGGTGGCTCACACCTGTAATCCCATCACTTTGGGAGGCTGAGGCAGGTAGATCACGAGGTCAGGAGATCGAGACCATCCGGGCGTGGTGGCGGGCGCCTGTAGTCCCAGCTACTCAGGAGGCTGAGGCAGTAGAATGGCATGAACCCAGGAGGCAGAGCTTGCAGTGAGCTGTGATGGCGCCACTGCACTCCAGCCTGGGCAACACAGCGAGACTCCGTCTAAAAAAAAAAAAAGTCTCAAACTAGCCCTGGGTTGGGCCCTGTCATCTTTAACCCATTTTTAACCCAGAGGGACTTTACTGAGGGGAGGGCCTCTAACCCAATCCCATGCTTTACTTAGGTAAAATGTACCCCATTACTTATTCAAAGTCAGCCAATTTGTGCTGCAGCCTATCTCCTTTGGATTGCGATAGTAACTAAGCTAAAAGGTTAGCAGATTTGATTTTTGGGAGCCTTCATTTTTAAATGCATGTCAGTGCACTGTTGTTCATTCAGAATGTTCCACTGTAGTCATCTTTAGTAAGATTTCACCATTTCTGTAAGACTTCACCACTTTCCATGCCTAACGTGTAAGCCAGAAGGAACCCAGTTTTCCGGAAATTAAGGAACCCATTTTTACCTGAATATTGGCTTTACGCTCAGCTTCCCTTGATTAATTTAGCCAATGATTTTTTCCTACCTAAGTGTGCAAGAAAAATGAAACAAAGGGGTAGAACACAAACATCCCCACGAATTTTCAAAAGCCAAATTTTACACCCCCTGCAATATTACCATTTTCTACCAGTTTCTTTCAGACCCAGTCAGATGTAAGAGGCCTCTAACTGGATCCAGGCCGGTTAATTACCGTATCAAATCTATTCCTGGACCCATCCATTTTCTTTGGCGACTTCCAAACCCAGTTTGGATCAGAAATTTGCACAAAGAAAACTCAGAGAGCTCGAAACACAAACTGTGGATCTCCAAAATCCAAGAGAGGACTTATCCATGATCCCCAGCTGCTCTGAGAAATCAATGGACACAAGTGTGTCCAGCAGGTACCTTACTTGTTCACTCAGTGCCCCAGGGGTCATTAGAAGCTTTACTTTGGATCCCACTTCTGACACCATGTTAAAAGAAAAACTTCAGCCGAATTAAATTTAAAGGAGTTTAATTAAGCAATGAATGATTCGTGAATTGGGCAGTCCTCAGAATCCCAGCAGATTCAGAGAGACTCCAGGGATGCTTCATGGTCAGAACAAATTTACAGACAAAAAACGGGAAGTGACGTACAGAAATTGGAGGTGAGGTACAGAAATAGCTGGTTGGTTGCAGCTCGGCATTTGCCTCATTTGAACTCTCAGCAGTGTATGAGTGAAATATGGCTGCTGGGATTGGCAAAGACTCAGCTACTGTTACAGGTGCGTAAGTTACAGTTTCAATCTTGTCTACCTATAAGTTAGGTTGTAGTTCATCCACAAAGACTCAAATACAGAAGTACAGAGTCCTTCTCAGGCCATATTTAGTTTGCTTTTACACCTATATGACCAAACTGCCCTTCTGAAAATTTAGAACAATTTCCCCTTTCACCAAAAACGTATTATAATGCCCTGTTGCAGTTTTCACCAAAAATCAGGTTTTTCTTTTGGCAAACAATTTCACCAGAAACTAGGTATTTCCTTTTCTTTTCTTTCTTTTAAAATTTGTAGTAAAATACACATAAAATTTACCATCTTAATGATTTTTAAGCATAGGGTTCAGAAACAATGTCATACAGTCACCCCCACCATCTATCATTCATTCAATCAGTTTGCACAGTTAACTCTTTGCATCTTGTAAAGCTGAAGCTCTGTCCCCATGAAACACTAATTCCACCAGCCCCTGGCAATTACCATTCTGCCCTCTGTTTTTATGAATTTGACTACTCTACATCTCCTGTCTCAGTGGAATCAGACAGCATTTGCCCCTTGTGACTGGCTTTTTCTTTTTCTTTTTTTTTTGAGGCAGAGTCTCGCTCTGTCGCCCAGGCTGGAGTGCAGTGGCACAATCTCGGCTCACTGCAACCTCTGCCTCCCGGGTTCAAGCAATACTCCTGTCTCAGCCTCCCGAGTAGCTGGGACTACAGGCGCCTGCCACCAAGCCCAGCTAATTTTTTGTATCTTTAGTAGAGACGGGGTTTCACCGTGTTGGCCAGGATGGTCTTCATCTCCTGACCTCGTGATCTGCCCGCCTCGGCCTCCCAAAGTGCTGGGATTACAGGCGTGAGCCACTGCACCCCACCCTGTGACTGGCTTTTTCACTTAGCATAATGACCTCAAGGTTCATCCATGTTGTAGTGTGTGTCAGAATTTCCCTCCTATTTAAGGCCAAAACTATTCCATTGTACATATGTTACTGGAAAGGGGTCCCAATGCTGACCCCAAGAGAGGGTTCTTGGATCTTGCTCAAGAAAGAATTCAGACGAGTCCACAGAATAAAATGAAAGTAAGTTTACTAAGAAAGCCAAGGAATAGAGAATGGCTACTCCATGGGCAGAGCAGCCCCGATGGCCGCTGGTTGGCTATTTTTATGGTTATTTCTTTTTATTTATTTATTTATTTTTGAGACAGAGTCTCCCTTTGTTGCCCAGGCTGGAGTGCAGTGGCGATCTCGGCTCACTGCAAGCTCCGCCTCCCGGGTTCATGCCATTCTTCTGCCTCAGCCTCCTGAGTAGCTGGGACTATAGGCGCCCGCCTGTAATTTTTTGTATTTTTAGTAGAGACGGGGTTTCACCATGTTAGCCAGGATGGTCTCAATCTCCTGACCTTGTGATCCGCCCGCCTCAGCCTCCCAAAGTGCTGGGATTACAGGCGTGAGCCACCACGCCCTGCTGATTATTTCTTGATTATATGCTAAACAAGAGGTGGATTATTCATGAGTTTTCCGTGAAAGGGGTGGGCAATTCCCAGAACTGAGGGTTTCTCCCCTTTTTAGAACATATAGGGTAACTTCTAGGCCAGGCATGGTGGCTCACGCCTGTAATCCCAGCACTTTGGGAGGCCAAGGCGGGCAGATGACCTGAGGTCAGGAGTTTGAGACCAGCTTGACCAACATGGAGAAACCCCATCTCTACTAAAAATAAAAAATTAGCTGGGCGTGGTGGCGCGTGCCTGTACTCCCAGCTACTCGGGAGGCTGAGGCAGGAGAATCGCTTGAACCCGGGAAGCCGAGGTTGTGGTGAGCCGAGATTGCGCCATTGCACTCCAGCCTGCACAACAAGAATGAAACTCTGTCTCAAAAGAAAAAAAAAAAATAGAACATATAGGGTAACTTCTATATGTTGCCATGGCATCAGTAAACTGTCATGGGGCTGGTGGGAGTGCCTTTTAGCATGTTAATGCATTATAATTAGCTTATAATGAGCTGTGAGAACAACCAGAGATCCCTTTCATTGCCATCTTGGTTTTGGTGGGCTTTGGCCAGCTTCTTTACTGCAACCTGTTTTATCAGTAAGGTCTTTGTGACCTGTATCTTGTGTCAGCCTCCTACCTCATCCTGTGACTATGAATGCCTAACCTCCTGGGAACGCGGCCCAGCAGGTGTCAGCCTCATTTTACCCCGCCCCTATTCAAGATGAAGTTGTTCTGGTTCCAACGCCTCTGACATATTAGCTGCATCATTTTACATTTCTTTTTTTTTTTTCCTTTTAAATGGGGTCTTGCTCTGTCACCCAGGCTGGAGTGCTGTGGTATGATCTCGGCTCACTGCAATCTCCACCTCCGAGGTTCCAGCGATTCTCTTGCCTCAGCCTCCCGAGTAGCTGGGACTACAGGCACCCACCATCATACTGGGCTAATTTTTGTGTTTTTAGTAGAGATGGGGTTTCCCCATGTTGCCCAGGCTGATCTCAAACTCCTGGGCTTAAGCAATACAGCCGCGTTGGCCTCCCAAAGTGTTGGGATTACAAGCATGAGCTACCCCACCCAGCTCATTTTACATTTCCACTTGTTAAACTGAAAACTGGCCCGAGAAAGCTTCTGTACTGCCATCCTTGCGTCCTTGCAGATGAATCGTAACCTAGCATAGTAGGTAGGCAGACTGAAAACCTAACTTAGCAGTAGGCTTCTGTAACAACAGCTGTGTCTCAGCCAGTTCCTGCAGCCAGACTTCAACCACTCACAGGCCGCAAACTGTTCAAACTGTGTTCGGAGAAGGCGAATTCATCTGGCTGTTAACGTGCCTCACTTCTGCTTTCTGTGGCCACTTTCCCTTTTCTGTCCATAAATTTGCTTTGACCACACAGCATCCCTAGAGTCTCCCTGAATCTGCTGTGATTCTGGGACCTGCACCATTTGTGAATTGTTTTTTTTTTCCTTGATCAGCTAAACTCTGTTCAATTCAATTTGTTGGAAGTTTTTAACATACCAATGGTGCACCAAGGTTCCAATTTCTCCACTTCCTCATAAATAAGTCATTTTAAATGGCTTTTCAGTATTCCAATATTTGGAAGTATTAATGTTTCTACCAATTTTCTATTTTTGGACATTGAGGTTGTTTCATTTTTTTTTTCTTTTTTTGAGACAGAGTCTCGCTCCGTCACCCAGGCTGGAGTGCAGTGGCCTGATCCCGGCCCACTGCAACCTCCACCTCCCTCCTCAGCCTCCTGAGTAGCTGGGATTACAGGTGCATGCACCACCACACCCAGCTAATTTTTGTATTTTTAGTAGAGATGGGGTTTCACCATGTTGGTCAGGCTGGTCTCAAACTCCTGACCTCAGGTGGTCCACCTGCCTTGGCCTCCCAAAATGCTGGGATTACAGGCCTGAGCCACTGCGCCTGGCCTCATCTTCTTGATATTAATGTTGCTTTAACATCTTTGTCCCTGTGTTTTTTGTTTTTTTTTTTGAGACGGAGTCTCATTCATTCTGTCACCCAGGCTGGAGTTCAGTGGCGTGATCTCAGCTCACTGCAACCTCTGTCTCCTGGGTTCCAGTGATTCTCCTGCGTCGGTCTCCTGAGTAGCTGTGTTCCTGGGTCTTTCGATGGTTATTTAATACTTCCCTACAGTAATGCCCTGTGCGTACATGCTAAGTGTGATGAAATGGTTGGCACAGTTAAATCTTTTGAAAGACATTGCCAAGTCACTCTTCAGAAAAGTGATAGGAGGTCATAGCAATTTTAAGAAGTCCTCATTTCTACATTTCCTTACTAATCTCGGTTGGTGTCTCTTCAATCTTTCCTCACACTTTTCTTGGGTTTTTCCTGAATCATGAGTCTACTACATTTACACATTTTAAAGCATCTTTAGAAACAGGATCTCATTTTGTTGCCCAGGCTAGAGTTTGGTGGCATGATTATAGCTCCTCATACTCCTGGGCTCAAGTGATCCTTCCACCTCTGAAACCCCAAAATTTGAGAAAGGTCTCATTTAATTTAGAAAGTTTATTTTGCCAAGGTTGAGGGTGCACACCTGTGATGATATACGAGTTAAAAAGAAATTATTTAGGCAGATACTGAGGGTAAGAAAGTCCTCGGTAAGGTTTTCTTTTCAATGAAAAGCAGCCCCCAAGCATTTTCTTTTCTAACAAAGAGCAGCCTGTAAAATCGAGCTGCAGACATACACAAGCAAGCTGGAAGCTTGCACAGGTGAATGCTGGCAGCTGTGCCAATAAGAAAAGGCTACCTGGGGCCAGGCAGATCCAACATGGCGGCTCCATCTTCCCTTTCCTTGTCAACCATGTGCACAGTAAGGAGCAGGCAACATAGTGTCCCCCGAGTAGAGACCAATTTGCATAATAAAAGGTGAGGGTAGGGTGGGCAGCTTCTTTGCATGCTATGTAAACATTATGCCTGGTCCAACCAATCTTTGGGCCCTGTGTAAATTAGACACCACCTCCTCAAGCCTGTCTATAAAACCCTGTCCATTCTGCCGCAGGCTGGAAGACCCACTGGGGCACCCCTCTCTCTCTATAGGAGACAGCTATTCATTTTTCTCTTTCTTTCACCTATTAAAGCTCCACTCTTAACCCCACTCCGTGTGTATCTATGTTCTTGATTTCCTTGGCATGAGGCAATGAACCTTGGGTATTACCCCAGAACCTTGGGTATTATGCCACTTCAGTGACACAGCCTCAGGAAATCCTGATGACATGTTCCCAAGATGGTCGGGGCACAGCTTGGTTTTATACATTTTAGGGAGACATGAGACGTCAATTCATATATGTAAGAAGTACATTGGTTCCGTCCAGAAAGGCGGGGACAACTTGAGGCAGGGAGAGAGCTTCTAGGTCACAGGTAGACAAATGGTTGCATTCTTTTGAATCTCCGATAAGCCTTTCCAAAGGAGGCAATCAGAATATGCGTCTATTGACTGGGCGCAGTGGCTCATGCCTGTAATGCCAGCACTTTGGGAGGCGGAGGTGGGTGGATCACCTGAGGTCAGGAGTTTGAGAGCAGCCCGGCCAACATGGTGAAACCCTGTCTCTACTAAAAATACAAAAAATTAGCTGGGCGTGGTGGCGGGCGCCTGTAATCCCAGCTACTCGGGAGGCTGAGGCAGGAGAATAGCTTGAACCCAGAAGGAAGAGGTTGCAGTGAGCTGAGATGGTGCCATTGCACTCCAGCCTGGGCAACAAGAGTGAAACTCCATCTCAGAAAAAAAAAAAAAAGGCCTGGGCAAAGTGGCTCACGCCTGTAATCCCAGCACTTTGGGAAGCCGAGGCGGGCAGGTCACAAAGTCAGGAGATTGAGACCATCCTGGCTAACATGATGAAACCCCATCTCTACTAAAAAATACAAAAAACTAGCTGGGTGTGGTGGCGAGCACCTGTAGTCCCAGCTACTCGGCAGGCTGAGGCAGGAGAATGGCGTGAACCGGGGAGGCGGAGCTTGCAGTGAGCCGAGATCACACCACTGCACTCCAGCCCGGACGACAGGGCAAGACTCTATCTCAAATTAAAAAAAAAAAAAAAAAAAAAAAAAAAGAGAGAGAGAATATGCATCTATCTCAGTGAGCAGAAGGATGACTTTGAATGGAATGGGAGCAGTTCCTAGCTTGAACTTCCCCTTTAGCTTCAGTGATTTGGGGGCTCAAGGTATGTTCCTTTCACATACCTCAGCCTCCCAAGTAGCTGGGACCACAAGTGCATGCCACCACACGTGGCTAATGTTTTATTTTTTTTGTAGGAATAGGGTCTCACTATGTGTCCAGGCTGGTCTAAAACCCCTGAGCTCAAATGGTCCTCCCGCCTCAGCCTCCCGAAATGCTGGGATTACAGGCATGAGCCAGCATGCCCGGCCTAGTCTACATTTTTATAAATTGCTAATTCAAAGTTCCCTCTCCAAAACCTCATGGTTTTCCCTGTTCTCATCCCCTGCACCCTCCCTTCCCCTGGAGTACTCACCTGGCCTTGGAGGTCTGGTGTGAGCCCGGACTTCGATTCTAGGCACAGCATGTGATGAGCGCCCCCAGGTCAAACACCTCCCCTCTGCGGCCTGTGCTTCACCGCCTTGACAGTGAGAAAGGTCTCCCTTCGGCTCATTCTCGAAGTCTCAAACTTCACTTCTCCTGTGCGCTGATTCTGAATTCAGCCCCCGTCCAAGGTCCTGGCCCCTTTCTCTTCTGCTTGGCGTGTTGTTCATCACCACTGTGCACTGCTGAGGGTAAGTGCGGTTCTCTGGACCTCTGCTTTATCATTAGAACAGACTCTTGCGGTTTCCCACGACATTCCTTTCACTTCTCACTTGGAAGATGAGCCGTGAGGAAATCCTGTGTTGTGTGGTATGTGGGCTGTGCTTCTGCTTGACTTGAGGGCCAAGCAGCATTGCAAGCCATGGTTTTAAATAAGAAAGAACATTTCTAACCTTCATCTTCTAGTAAGGAAACAAGTGGGCTTTAGAGTTCTTGCTCAGGAAAGACCTATGTCCCAGTCCAACCGGACCTTTTACTAAAGAGATCTTCCTGATCCTCCTCCCCAGGCCAGGGGAGGGGTCCTCCCTGGGGTTGGAGCCTTTAGTAGGGGGTCGGAGACACGACGTAGCCTTCATGACATTCATAGTCTAGTTACACGATCCCTGTAAGGGTCAGTTGAAGTAAGTGCTACAAAGGAAGGGAGGTGCTCAGTGGAGAGGGCTCTCTTTTATGTATTATATTTCTTTCATGGGGAGGGATATGGATCAGGGATCAGCAGAGGTGTTTCAGTCCCGAGGGAAAGAAAGTCAGCGTGGCTTGGGAGTTGGGAGCAGCAAGACAGTGGCTCAAGATATCTTAAGACTAGTGGAGTACACCTTGCATGTTAAAAGCCTTGCTCAGGGCTGCCTGGTTCTTGTAGGACGACAGAGATGGCCTAGCTCTGCATACTGCACCCCCAGGGGCTCAGAACAGTGCAAATGTCAGTCTATCTGTCAGTGGCAGAGCCAGCCTTGGAGCAGGGGTGCAAGGAGGTCTCTGCACTGGCCAGGCATGCAGAACATTCTGTTCAGTAGCACTGGACAGAAGGCCCCATCTAGATGAGACAGAGCTGGTGGGGCAGGACAAAGACTCCTGGCAGCTCAAACGGCCTGGCAGATGCTTGGAGAGAGGGGGCTTCTTGAGACAGCACCATTTCTGGGAAGAGAGTCACCTGGGAGGGATGAGGCCACGCTCCGGCTTGGAGGTGAAGAGAGGGGCTGCTGCAAGAAAGAATTAGAGACATGCCAGCCTTTGCTGTGTTGCCCAGGCTGGTCATGAACTCTTGGCCTCAAGCAATCTTCCCACCTCAGCCTCCCCAAGCGCTGGGATTATAGACATGAGCCCCCATGCTGGCCAATAAAAGATGATTTTATGGAGGGGATGGTGGTGAAGGTTGTGGGTGGTATGAAATAGTAAGAAATATATATTGGTCTGCACCCAGTTCCTGCCACAGAGCTCCTAAAATCCTGAGAACTTCCTGGGTGAGCATCTTTTGTTCTAATGAGGTGACTCTTGGTGGCTCCTGGATAGGAGTGAATCACCAGAAAGATCAAGCCAGAGTTAGAAGCAGAAAGTGCTGGCTATAACACAGGAAAGCTGTAACACAAATAATAAAGTTTTTTTTTTTTTTTTTGAGATGGAGCCTCACTCTGTTGCCCAGGCTGGAGTGCAATGGTGCAATCTCAGCTCACTACAAGCTCTGCCTCCCAGGTTCAAGTGATTCTCCTGCCTCAGCCTCCTGAGCAGTTGGGACTACAGGTGTGTGCCACCACATCTGGCTAATTTTTGTATTTTTAGCAGAGACGGGGTTTCACCATATTAACCAGGCTGGCCTCAAACTCCTTACCTTGTGATCCGCCTGCCTCAGCCTCCCAAAGTGCTGGGATTACAGGCATGAGCCACCGTGCCTGGCCAAAAGACATTGTTCTTAAAAGAATCAACTAACTAACCAAATAAATAAAAATCTAACCTAATTAAGAAACTAAAAATACACAAAAATTAATTTCAAGGGGAGAAAAATCATGTAAAGAGAGAAAGATAATGAATACTTTGCAGAAATTTATGAACATAAACATAAAACTTGGATGAAATGCATTTCTAGGAAAACATAATTTATCAAAACTAACCACAAGTAAAATAGAAGCCTAAATAGGATATTTTCAAGAGAAGAAGTAAAGTTGTCAAAGTGCTACCCTTCAAAAAAACACCAGGCTCAAACAATCTGACATGGGAATGTTAGCACACCTTAGAGAGCAAATAAAACTTTGAATGGGCTTGAAATATTCCAGACTCTAGAAAAACAAAACTTCCCAATTCTTTTTATAAAGCAAGTATAAATTGATACCAAAATCTTATAAAGACCTTATACAAAACTTCATACCAATCTCTTTTATGAATACAAAACCCTTAATAAAGTATTACCAGACAGAACCCAACAATACATAAAAATGTCACATCATAACATAGTGGGGTTTATTTCAATAATGCATGGATGGTTCAATACAAGGAAATTCAGTAACACAATATAATAGATCATGTGAATATACCCAAAGAAAAAATAGATTATTTTCATAGATGCTGTAAAGGCATTTGACCAAATTCAACACCTACTTTTTAGGTGGTCAATAAAATAAATTAGTTACTCCTTCTTTAGCATGATAAAATATATTTATCAGCCCAGAAGGCATCATTTTACCCGATAAGGGCACACGCTGGAGGGAATAATGTTAAAATTAGGAATAAGAGGATAGCTAGTTTCTTTCTTCTTTTTTTTTTTTGAGACGGAGTCTTGCTCTGTTGCCAGGCTGGAGTGCAGTGGTGCAATGTTGGCTCACTGCACGCCCCCCGCCTCCCAGGTTCAAGCGATTCTCCTGCCTCAGCCTCCCGAGTAGCTGGGACTACAGGCGCGCACCACCATGCCCGGCTAATTTTTTTTTGTATTTTAGTAGAGATGGGGTTTCACCATGTTGGTCAGGCTGGTCTTGAACTCCCAACCTCACGTACTGGGATTACCGGTGTGAGCCACCACGCCAGCCCAACTACTTTCAACATTATCCTTAATACTGATGCTTATTGACTTACTATGGGGTTACCTCTAGATAAATCCATAATAAGTTGAAAATATAAGTAAAAAATGCCCTTAATACACCTAACCTACCAAACATCATAGCTGAGCCCAGCCTGCCTTAGCTATGCTCAGACACTGACGTCAGCCTACAATTGGCAAAATCACACAGCAGCACAGTCTACTGCAGAGCATCTGCTGTTTGCCCTTGTGACTGCGTGGCTGCCTGGGAGCTTCCCAGCTTCACAAGACAGTATTACGTAGCACATCACTAGCCTGGGGAAAGATCAAAGTTGAAAATTTGAAGTGTGGTTTCCATTGAATGTGTACTGCTTTTGCACCATCATCAAGTCAAAAAATTTTAGTTGAACCAGCCTAAGTTTGGGACCATCTTTATTTTCAGGAGGAACTTCCATGTACATTGATGACGGACGATAGAATCCGTTTCTATCATCCTAATGAACATAATGAATAAATCCAGACAAACATAAACATTAACAGAGTAAGCAGCTTTCGGGGCTGGAAGCCAGAAGAGGGTGGGAGCGCAGAGAGAGAGGCCAAACACCAGGGCTGCTTCTGCTTTGCGGGTATTTGCTGATCTGGACAAGGTATCTGGAAGGCTGAGCTAAGCCTCCTTTTTTTTTGAGGTGGCGTCTCACTCTGTTGCCAGGCTGGAGTGCAATGGTGCGATCTCAGCTCACTGCAACCTCCACCTCCCTGGTTCAAGCGATTCTCCTGCCTCAGCCTCCCGAGTAGCTGGGATTACAGGCTCCCGCCACTACACCCAGCTGATTTTTGTAATTTTAGTAGAGACGGGGTTTCACCATGTTGGCCAGGATGGTCTCGATCTCTTGACGTCATGATCTGTCCACCTCGGCCTCCCAAAGTGCTGGGATTATAGGCGTGACCCACCGTGCCCCGTCTGAGCTAAGCCTCTTGAGCATAGGGGACTAAAAATGAAATCTAGCGCATGCCAAGTTTAGGGTCCCAGGCAATTCCTTTCCACTTTGGGGTCCACTTTGGGGTCCACCCCACCCAAGAAGAAGGATGACTTGGAAGTAAACCAGCTCTGAAATATGGATGGTCCTCTGGGACCATACCAATCCCTTCATATCAACCACATCCAGTTCCTCAAAACTGGAACTTGGATTAAGATGGCCTAGGACTTCTAGTGTCCCAGGAGCCTGGCATTGCAAACAAAAATCCTCTCCGGAAGAAGATAATACCTTAAGCTTCAAATGACTCTCTAATAAATTTCAAATACAATGTCCAGCACACAAACACAAATTACCAGGAACGTGATATGAGGCCTGATGGATGGGAATTAGCAGAAACTTCAGGCATGAGAAACATACCCTCAGAGGCCTAGAATCTATCTAGTGTCTAGATAATGGAGATATGAAATACAGACACTTAAACAACTATGTTTCCCATGTTCAAAGAGGAAATTTGCAAAACTTGAAAGTGTTGGCAGGAAATCAGAAACTATAAAATGTGACAACAGCATACTTTAGAGTCAGTATAAATTACGGTCCCGAAAACTGCAGAATTCCAGAACTTAATGGTAAAGCAAGGGTTTAACAGCAGAATAGAAATAGCCAGAGAGAACTAGGAAGTAAGTCAGATGACACTACCCAGAATAAGGCACTGAGAGGCCAAGGAATGGAAAATGCAGAAGAAAGGATATGGTGAGAGGATCTAATATACATTTATTTGGAGTACCAGGGAGAGAGAGAAGGAGAAGAACAGAAGCCGTGTTTCAAGGACGGTGACTGAGAGGCTTCGAAACTGATGAAAGCCATCAGTTCACAAATTCAAAGCCCAGTGAATTCCAAGGAGAAAAAAAGAAATCCATACTGTGAAAGCAAGTCCAGACAATGACAAACACCATCAACAATACACAGGACAGGCATAAGATGCATTTAATGGGGACACTCAGAGGCAGAGGGTTATCAGAAGGAGGCACTTCTCTCCCAAGTTCTCATCATCCCAGGGCCAGGGACAGCTGGTCACACCTTAGGGAGTTCACTAGGAGAGGGATCTGGCTTCTTGTCATTCTGGGTATTTGTAGGGAAATTGGAAGGGAACCGAGAGCACCTAGCCAATCGCATAGCAATGGGAGATTTCAGGCTGTGGGGAATGTCTTTGCTGGTGAAAAGAACATCCTGACCTTAGAAATCTTTCACCGAGGGGGATCTGCGTTCCAGAACTTCTGGAGCTGGTATAGGTAAGGCTTTGAGCTTTCCTACTGAGCCAGCCTGTTGCTAGGTTACCAAAGGGGACCTCGAGGGCCATCTGGCCAACAAGCAGACTTGTCTCTCCTTACACCCCCAGACGTATCACTGCAAAACTACAGAAAACCAAAGACAGAGAAAATCTTAAAAGCAGCCAGATTTAAAAAATGGCATATTAGTTTCAAAGCAGCAGCCATGAAATTGACAGCTGATGTCTCAACAGCAAGAATGAAAAGTGGAAGACAGGCCAGGTGTGGTGGCTCAGGCCTGTAATCCCAGCACTTTGGGAGGCCGAGGCGGGTGGATCACGAGGTCAGGAGACCAAGACCATCCTGGCTAACATGGTGAAACCCCGTCTCTACTAAAAATACAAAAAAATTAGTCGGGCATGGTGGTGGGTGCCTGTAGTCCCAGCTACTCGGGAGGCTGAGGCAGGAGAATGGCGTGAACCCGGGAGGCGGAGCTTGCAGTGAGCCGAGATTGTGCCACTGCACTCCAGCCTGGGTGACAGAGCAAGACTCTGTCTCAAAAAAAAAAAAAAAAAAAAAAAAAAAAGGGTGACGAAGCTTCAATCTCCTGAAAGGAAGCAACTGCCGCCTTTGATTCGATACCCACCAAAATCCGTGAAGAAGGAAGGCAAAATAAAAACACTTCCTGATTGAACTGGAAAGATTTCCGCAATAGAAGACCCACTGTCCAAGGAATTCTAAAGGATGCTTTCCAGGCAGAAGAAAATGACCCCAGAGGAAGATCAGAGATTCAGGAAAGAAATGGAGAGTGATAAAAATGGAAAATTCGGGGGCCAATTTAAACAAAAGCTGACTGCTCTACAACTGTTGTGTCTCTATCTTTTGTAACATATATGTGTGTGTAGCTTTTTTTTTTTTTTTTGTCAAGATGGATTCTCACTCTGTCGCCCAGGCTACAGTGAAATGGCACGGTCTCGGCTCACTGCAACCTCTGCCCCTTGGGCTCAAATGATTCTCTTGCCTCAGCCTCCTGAGTAGCTGAGATTACAGGTGCCTGGCACAATGCCTGGCTAATTTTTGTATTTTTACTAGAGATGGGATTTCTCCATGTTGGCCAGGCTGGTCTTGAACACCTGACCTCAGGTGATCCACCTGCCTGGGCCTCCCAAAGTGCTAGGATTACAGGCGCGAGCCACTGCATCTGGCCTATGTGTGTGTTTATATGGAATTAAAACACATGGCAATAATACCCTCCAAATTGGGAGAAACCAAAAATAGCATTTAAATGTTGTAAGCTCCCTGCATAATCAAGAAGAGAATAGATTTACGTTAGATTTTGATACCTGGAGGATGAATGTTGTAATTTCTAGGGTGACCATGAAAAGAGGAGACAACGGTGTATGTTTTTTTTTTTTTGAGATGGAGTCTCACTTTGTCACCCAGGCTGGAGTGTTGTGGTGTGATCTTGGCTCACTGCAACCTCCTCCTCTTGGGTTCAGGCCATCCTCCCACCTAGGCCTCCAGAGTAGGTGGGATCACAGGCACCTGCCACCACACCTGGCTAATTTTTTTTTTTTTTTAAATATTTAGTAGAGATGGGGTTTCACCATGTTGGCCAGGCTGGTCTTGAACTCCTGACCTCAGGCGATCTGCCTACCTCTGCCTCTCAAAGTGCTGGGATTACAGGTGTGAGCCATCGCGCCCGGCCAACAGTGATCACTTTCAAACTAACAGAGGTTCAAAAATAAAATCAGACTTAACCAAAAACCAGGTAACAGAGCTGGTAGGATATACAGAAAGACTGACCTCACGTATATCAACGATTACAGTTAATATTAATGAAGGAAATGCTCTAGTTTAAAAACGAGGGTTGTCAAAGACCCCACATAAGAAGCTCCTTACCAGCGGTGCACCTAGAACCTAAGGAAACAGGACAGATGAAGGAGGACGCGCCCCCGCCGCTGTCCTGCGCCTCAGCCATCCTATGAGACGGGAAAGGTTTCTGTCTGCAGCTGGGCCCGTGCTCTTTACCAGCTCCTGGCTTTCTTCTCTGGAAGGTTCCTGCCTGTTTTGCCCTCACACCTGCTCCTCTCTCAGCCCTCTCAGGGGTGGGGCTGGAGGCCACCAAAGAGCCTCCTCTGCTCTCCAGTTGCTCGACTGCTCCTCATTTCCCCCTGGGGTCTGCGTCAGGGTTTCCTTCTTTTCCAGCCCCACCCCGCGTGCATCCCACCTGGTCTCGGGTCGGGGCTGCTCCCGCTTACTGCCCCCTGCCCAGGCTGGTGTGCACCCCCTCTGGCTGCTTTCAAGGCCTCTTCTCTCTTCTCGGCAGGACAGGCACAGGCAGGTGGCCAGGTGTCATGCTTAGCTCCCCGCCCAGTGAGATTCTTTCATTTAACAATCTTCCCCTGAATAGTTCATGTTCATTGCTGAAAATTTGAAAAATATGGAAAAGCACAAAGATTAAGATATAAACCGCCCTCAATTCCCCTGCCCAGAGAGAGTCACTGCTATGACTTGGTGACTAGGAACCTTATTTCTCTCTCGCTCTTTTTTTTTTTTTTGAGACAGAGTCTTGCTCTGTCACCC
Organism: Homo sapiens; assembly: GCF_000001405.40. NCBI lineage: Eukaryota > Metazoa > Chordata > Mammalia > Primates > Hominidae > Homo > Homo sapiens. Next base: position 3,070,334 of record NC_000004.12, read on the forward strand.
AGGCTGGAGTGCAGTGGCTCGATCTCAGCTCACTGCAACCTCCGCCTCCTGGGTTCAAGCGATTCTCCTGCCTCAGCCTCTTGAGTAGCTGGGATTACAGGCACCTGCCACCATGCCCGGCTAATTTTTGTATTTTTAGTTGAGAGAGGGTTTCATCTTGTTGGTCAGGCGGACTTGAACTCCTGACCTCAGGTGATCAGCCCACCTCGGCCTCCCAAAGTGCTGGGATTACAGGTGTGAGCCACTGCGCCTTCATCTCTCTTCTGTGTATGTGTACGCTGTTTTTTCTTTAGAATGGGGGACGTTATCAGGCTCTACATGGTGTGTAGTCGGCTAGCATGTTGTAAGCCTTTCCCTGTGTCACAAGTGCTCATCTGGAACAGGATTCTAATGACTGCCTGTGGCTATGTTGGGATTCCTTTAACTCAGCTCCTTCTGCCCAGCATCTATCTTTTTTCCATCTTTTGTCCTAAGTGTTGCTATAATAAATCATTGATCACACATGCCTGACTGTTTGCATAGGATAAATTACGGGAAATGTTTTTGCTGTTCAGGGACTGTGCCCATTTTTAGGCCTCAGAGACACCATGCCAGACTGCCCAGTATTGATCTTTACTCTTTTTAGATGATGCCAAACTTTTCTGTGAACTTTAAAAACCTGTGTCTTGACAGTCCATTTCTGTAAGTCTTTCACATTAGATTTCCTGTCAGGATGATAGTCAATTCTAGGCAGATGATGTTTTCTCAGCCATGGCTGAAGCAGTTGTGATTTGTTGTGGCCATGTAAAGTCCCGATGATCCATTGCCTCCCTGGATGGGTTGGAATAATTTGGTTTGGGAGCATATAACAGAATGACCTGGAGTCACAGCAGCTCAGACGGAAGTGTATTTCTCCCTTACAGATGAAAGAATTCCAGGCCAGGCTGGAATGACAACTGCACACAGTCATCTGGGCCCCCTCCTTCCAGCTCCCATCACCCCAGGATGTGGCTTTTATGCAGATGATCCAAAATGGCTGCTCAAGTCCCAGCCAACACATCCCATTCCAGGGAGCAGGAAAAAGGTGTGTCTTTCCCTTCATTTTATGTGATTCCTTTCTAGAAGTACTACTCATTACTTCTGCTTGCATCTCCCTGGCTAGCACTTACTTAGTTATATGGCCATAGCTAGCTGAAGGAAGGACAGGGACTGTCATACACTAGCTAAGAGGCAAACTGCTTAGATAAAAAGGTCTCTAAAGAAGGTCAGAGCGGCTGCTAGGGTGCAACTCTATTACTTATTGTTATGGGACGAACTGTGTCCCTCATTCAGGTTGATGTCCTAAGCCCCAGAACCTCAGAATGGGATTGTATTTGGAGACAGGTTCTTTAAGGAGGTAAGGAGGCTAAAATGAGATCATTAGGGTGGGCCATAATCCGACTGATGTCTTACAAGAAGAGATTAGGACACGGACATGCTCAGAGGGACGGCCACGTGAGGACACCAAGAAAGGCAGCTGTCTGCAAGTCAAGGACAGGGCTCAGGGGAAACCAACCTTGCCAACACCTTCATCTCGGACTTCTAGCCTCTAGGACCATGAGAAGATACATTTCTGTTGTTTAAGCTGCCCGGTCTGTGGTACTTTGTTATGGCAGCCCAAGTAAACAAATACAGTCATCTGCTGCTGGAACAAATCACCCCAGCACTGTGGCTTGGCAGCACACATGTCTAGTCATAGAGTTATATGTAGTTACGTGTAGAGCCATATGTATCGTCACACGTTCTGTGGGTCAGGAATTTGGACCCAGCTTAACCAGCTCCACTTCTCGCCAGGGTTCAGTCAAATACCAGCTGCCTCCCACCTGAGAGCTCAGCCGGGGAAGGGTCCCTTTCCAATCTCACGTGGTGTTGGCAGGATCCAGTTCCTCATGGCCTGCTGGACTGAGAACCTCAGTTCTCACTGCCTGTTGGCCAGAGGCCGCCTTTATGTCCTCGCCATGTGGGCCTCTCCAACATGGCAGCTGACTTCATCAGAGCATCCATGCCAAGAAGGCAACAGAGAGGGCCAGGGAGACTGAAGTCATACCCTTTTGCGACCTAGTCATGGGGTGACATTCCATCACCTTTGCCCATTGGTTAGAAGCAGGCCACCAGGTACAGCCCAAGCTCACGGGGAGGGGTCATACAAGGGTGTCAATACCAGGAGGTGAGGGGTGCTGGGGCCATCTTATGAGTCTGCCCACTGAGGTAACTAACAACCTTGAGGCCTGACACAGTGGACAAAGGCCCTTATTAACAGCAGAGAACTGGGAACTTTATTTATTTATTTATTTTTGAGACAGAGTCTCACTCTTGTCACCCAGGCTGGAGTGCAATGGCATGATCTTGGCTCACTGCAACCTCCACCTCCCAGGTTCAAGCAATTCTGCCTCAGCCTCCGGAATAGCTGGGACTACAGGCATGCACCACTACACCCGGCTAATTTTTGTATTTTTAGTAGAGACAGGGTTTCGCCATGTTGGCCAGGCTGGTCTCGAACTCCTGACCTCTGGTGATCTGCCTGCCTTGGCCTCCCAAAGTGCTGGGATTACAGGCGTGAGCCACCGCACCTCGCTGGAACTTAATTTTTTTAGAGACAGTGTCGCTCTATCACCCAAGCTGGAGTGCAGTGGTGCAATCCTAGCTCACTTGCAGCCTCAAATTCCTGGGTTCAGGTGATCCTCCCACATCAGCCTCCCAAGAACTGGGAACTAACAGCTGTTTCTCTGCTGTCCTTCTCAAGAAAAGGGAGGCTACTGCTACCCCACTGGGGACAATGCTGGGTTTCCCTTTAGGACAGGCTCTGAGACAAGGCGGAGGTGCTGTTTGTGGCCACAGAGCAGGGGACTCTGGGTTGCAGGTGTGGCCTGGCTAAAGTAGGCTTTACTGGGCTCCTCTCTGCCTGCATCACCCCCCGGCTGGGCGGTTGTCTCTGAGGCCAACCTTACTCCCTGCTGGGCAGGCTGGACAGCTGCCCTCTCCGTTTGCCCCTCTACCACCCAAAAGGCAGGAGGCTCTGGAGACCAGGACCCTGCCCGCCACGGCCTGTGTCCCAGGCGTGAGGGGGTGCCCCACAGACCTCTGCTGAGCTGCTGCTGAATGACGCCCCTTGGGGGTCCTGCCGGAAGGTCAGAGCAGGGGTGCACTCCCATAAAGAAACGCCCCCAGGTCGGGACTCATTCCTGTGGGCGGCATCTTGTGGCCATAGCTGCTTCTCGCTGCACTAATCACAGTGCCTCTGTGGGCAGCAGGCGCTGACCACCCAGGCCTGCCCCAGACCCTCTCCTCCCTTCCGGGGCGCTGCGCTGGGACCGATGGGGGGCGCCAGGCCTGTGGACACCGCCCTGCAGGGGCCTCTCCAGCTCACTGGGGGTGGGGTGGGGGTCACACTTGGGGTCCTCAGGTCGTGCCGACCACGCGCATTCTCTGCGCTCTGCGCAGGAGCTCGCCCACCCTCTCCCCGTGCAGAGAGCCCCGCAGCTGGCTCCCCGCAGGGCTGTCCGGGTGAGTATGGCTCTGGCCACGGGCCAGTGTGGCGGGAGGGCAAACCCCAAGGCCACCTCGGCTCAGAGTCCACGGCCGGCTGTCGCCCCGCTCCAGGCGTCGGCGGGGGATCCTTTCCGCATGGGCCTGCGCCCGCGCTCGGCGCCCCCTCCACGGCCCCGCCCCGTCCATGGCCCCGTCCTTCATGGGCGAGCCCCTCCATGGCCCTGCCCCTCCGCGCCCCACCCCTCCCTCGCCCCACCTCTCACCTTCCTGCCCCGCCCCCAGCCTCCCCACCCCTCACCGGCCAGTCCCCTCCCCTATCCCGCTCCGCCCCTCAGCCGCCCCGCCCCTCAGCCGGCCTGCCTAATGTCCCCGTCCCCAGCATCGCCCCGCCCCGCCCCCGTCTCGCCCCGCCCCTCAGGCGGCCTCCCTGCTGTGCCCCGCCCCGGCCTCGCCACGCCCCTACCTCACCACGCCCCCCGCATCGCCACGCCCCCCGCATCGCCACGCCTCCCTTACCATGCAGTCCCGCCCCGTCCCTTCCTCGTCCCGCCTCGCCGCGACACTTCACACACAGCTTCGCCTCACCCCATTACAGTCTCACCACGCCCCGTCCCCTCTCCGTTGAGCCCCGCGCCTTCGCCCGGGTGGGGCGCTGCGCTGTCAGCGGCCTTGCTGTGTGAGGCAGAACCTGCGGGGGCAGGGGCGGGCTGGTTCCCTGGCCAGCCATTGGCAGAGTCCGCAGGCTAGGGCTGTCAATCATGCTGGCCGGCGTGGCCCCGCCTCCGCCGGCGCGGCCCCGCCTCCGCCGGCGCAGCGTCTGGGACGCAAGGCGCCGTGGGGGCTGCCGGGACGGGTCCAAGATGGACGGCCGCTCAGGTTCTGCTTTTACCTGCGGCCCAGAGCCCCATTCATTGCCCCGGTGCTGAGCGGCGCCGCGAGTCGGCCCGAGGCCTCCGGGGACTGCCGTGCCGGGCGGGAGACCGCCATGGCGACCCTGGAAAAGCTGATGAAGGCCTTCGAGTCCCTCAAGTCCTTCCAGCAGCAGCAGCAGCAGCAGCAGCAGCAGCAGCAGCAGCAGCAGCAGCAGCAGCAGCAACAGCCGCCACCGCCGCCGCCGCCGCCGCCGCCTCCTCAGCTTCCTCAGCCGCCGCCGCAGGCACAGCCGCTGCTGCCTCAGCCGCAGCCGCCCCCGCCGCCGCCCCCGCCGCCACCCGGCCCGGCTGTGGCTGAGGAGCCGCTGCACCGACCGTGAGTTTGGGCCCGCTGCAGCTCCCTGTCCCGGCGGGTCCCAGGCTACGGCGGGGATGGCGGTAACCCTGCAGCCTGCGGGCCGGCGACACGAACCCCCGGCCCCGCAGAGACAGAGTGACCCAGCAACCCAGAGCCCATGAGGGACACCCGCCCCCTCCTGGGGCGAGGCCTTCCCCCACTTCAGCCCCGCTCCCTCACTTGGGTCTTCCCTTGTCCTCTCGCGAGGGGAGGCAGAGCCTTGTTGGGGCCTGTCCTGAATTCACCGAGGGGAGTCACGGCCTCAGCCCTCTCGCCCTTCGCAGGATGCGAAGAGTTGGGGCGAGAACTTGTTTCTTTTTATTTGCGAGAAACCAGGGCGGGGGTTCTTTTAACTGCGTTGTGAAGAGAACTTGGAGGAGCCGAGATTTGCTCAGTGCCACTTCCCTCTTCTAGTCTGAGAGGGAAGAGGGCTGGGGGCGCGGGACACTTCGAGAGGAGGCGGGGTTTGGAGCTGGAGAGATGTGGGGGCAGTGGATGACATAATGCTTTTAGGACGCCTCGGCGGGAGTGGCGGGGCAGGGGGGGGGCGGGGAGTGAGGGCGCGTCCAATGGGAGATTTCTTTTCCTAGTGGCACTTAAAACAGCCTGAGATTTGAGGCTCTTCCTACATTGTCAGGACATTTCATTTAGTTCATGATCACGGTGGTAGTAACACGATTTTAAGCACCACCTAAGAGATCTGCTCATCTAAGCCTAAGTTGGTCTGCAGGCGTTTGAATGAGTTGTGGTTGCCAAGTAAAGTGGTGAACTTACGTGGTGATTAATGAAATTATCTTAAATATTAGGAAGAGTTGATTGAAGTTTTTTGCCTATGTGTGTTGGGAATAAAACCAACACGTTGCTGATGGGGAGGTTAATTGCCGAGGGATGAATGAGGTGTACATTTTACCAGTATTCCAGTCAGGCTTGCCAGAATACGGGGGGTCCGCAGACTCCGTGGGCATCTCAGATGTGCCAGTGAAAGGGTTTCTGTTTGCTTCATTGCTGACAGCTTGTTACTTTTTGGAAGCTAGGGGTTTCTGTTGCTTGTTCTTGGGGAGAATTTTTGAAACAGGAAAAGAGAGACCATTAAAACATCTAGCGGAACCCCAGGACTTTCCCTGGAAGTCTGTGTGTCGAGTGTACAGTAGGAGTTAGGAAGTACTCTGGTGCAGTTCAGGCCTTTCTCTTACCTCTCAGTATTCTATTTCCGATCTGGATGTGTCCCAGATGGCATTTGGTAAGAATATCTCTGTTAAGACTGATTAATTTTTAGTAATATTTCTTGTTCTTTGTTTCTGTTATGATCCTTGTCTCGTCTTCAAAGTTTAATTAGAAAATGATTCGGAGAGCAGTGTTAGCTTATTTGTTGGAATAAAATTTAGGAATAAATTATTCTAAAGGATGGAAAAACTTTTTGGATATTTGGAGAAATTTTAAAACAATTTGGCTTATCTCTTCAGTAAGTAATTTCTCATCCAGAAATTTACTGTAGTGCTTTTCTAGGAGGTAGGTGTCATAAAAGTTCACACATTGCATGTATCTTGTGTAAACACTAAACAGGGCTCCTGATGGGAAGGAAGACCTTTCTGCTGGGCTGCTTCAGACACTTGATCATTCTAAAAATATGCCTTCTCTTTCTTATGCTGATTTGACAGAACCTGCATTTGCTTATCTTCAAAATATGGGTATCAAGAAATTTCCTTTGCTGCCTTGACAAAGGAGATAGATTTTGTTTCATTACTTTAAGGTAATATATGATTACCTTATTTAAAAAATTTAATCAGGACTGGCAAGGTGGCTTACACCTTTAATCCGAGCACTTTGGGAGGCCTAGGTGGACGAATCACCTGAGGTCAGGAGTTTGAGACCAGCCTGGCTAACATGGTGAAACCCTGTCTCTACTAAAAATACAAAAATTAGCTGGTCATGGTGGCACGTGCCTGTAATCCAAGCTACCTGGGAGGCTGAGGCAGGAAAATCGCTTGAACCCGGGAGGCAGAGTCTGCAGTGAGTTGAGATCACGCCACTGCACTCCAGCCTGGGTGACAGAGCGAGACTCTATCTCAAAAAAAATTTTTTTTAATGTATTATTTTTGCATAAGTAATACATTGACATGATACAAATTCTGTAATTACAAAAGGGCAATAATTAAAATATCTTCCTTCCACCCCTTTCCTCTGAGTACCTAACTTTGTCCCCAAGAACAAGCACTATTTCAGTTCCTCATGTATCCTGCCAGATATAACCTGTTCATATTGTAAGATAGATTTAAAATGCTCTAAAAACAAAAGTAGTTTAGAATAATATATATCTATATATTTTTTGAGATGTAGTCTCACATTGTCACCCAGGCTGGAGTGCAGTGATACAATCTCGGCTCACTGCAGTCTCTGCCTCCCAGGTTCAAATGCTTCTCCTGCCTCAGCCTTCTGAGTAGCTGGGATTACAGGCGCCCACCACCATGTCCAGCTAATTTTTGTATTTTTAGTAGAGATGGGGTTTCACCATGTTGGCCAGGCTGGTCTTGAACTCCTGACCTTGTGATCTGTCCACCTCGGCCTCCCAAAGTGCTGGGATTACAGGTGTGAGCCACCATGCCTGGCTAGAATAATAACTTTTAAAGGTTCTTAGCATGCTCTGAAATCAACTGCATTAGGTTTATTTATAGTTTTATAGTTATTTTAAATAAAATGCATATTTGTCATATTTCTCTGTATTTTGCTGTTGAGAAAGGAGGTATTCACTAATTTTGAGTAACAAACACTGCTCACAAAGTTTGGATTTTGGCAGTTCTGTTCACGTGCTTCAGCCAAAAAATCCTCTTCTCAAAGTAAGATTGATGAAAGCAATTTAGAAAGTATCTGTTCTGTTTTTATGGCTCTTGCTCTTTGGTGTGGAACTGTGGTGTCACGCCATGCATGGGCCTCAGTTTATGAGTGTTTGTGCTCTGCTCAGCATACAGGATGCAGGAGTTCCTTATGGGGCTGGCTGCAGGCTCAGCAAATCTAGCATGCTTGGGAGGGTCCTCACAGTAATTAGGAGGCAATTAATACTTGCTTCTGGCAGTTTCTTATTCTCCTTCAGATTCCTATCTGGTGTTTCCCTGACTTTATTCATTCATCAGTAAATATTTACTAAACATGTACTATGTGCCTGGCACTGTTATAGGTGCAGGGCTCAGCAGTGAGCAGACAAAGCTCTGCCCTCGTGAAGCTTTCATTCTAATGAAGGACATAGACAGTAAGCAAGATAGATAAGTAAAATATACAGTACGTTAATACGTGGAGGAACTTCAAAGCAGGGAAGGGGATAGGGAAATGTCAGGGTTAATCGAGTGTTAACTTATTTTTATTTTTAAAAAAATTGTTAAGGGCTTTCCAGCAAAACCCAGAAAGCCTGCTAGACAAATTCCAAAAGAGCTGTAGCACTAAGTGTTGACATTTTTATTTTATTTTGTTTTGTTTTGTTTTTTTTGAGACAGTTCTTGCTCTATCAGCCAGGCTGGAGTGCACTAGTGTGATCTTGGCTCACTGCAACCTCTGCCTCTTGGGTTCAAGTGATTCTCATGCCTCAGCCTCCTGTTTAGCTGGGATTATAGACATGCACTGCCATGCCTGGGTAATTTTTTTTTTTTCCCCCGAGACGGAGTCTTGCTCTGTCGCCCAGGCTGGAGTGCAGTGGCGCGATCTCAGCTCACTGCAAGCTCCGCTTCCCGAGTTCACGCCATTCTCCTGCCTCAGTCTCCCAAGTAGCTGGGACTACAGGCGCCTGCCACCACGTCCAGCTAATTTTTTTGTATTTTTAATAGAGACGGGGTTTCACCGTGTTAGCCAGGATGATCTTGATCTCCTGACCTCGTCATCCGCCGACCTTGTGATCCGCCCACCTCGGCCTCCCAAAGTGCTGGGATTACAGGCATGAGCCACTGTGCCCGGCCACGCCTGGGTAATTTTTGTATTTTTAGTAGAGATGGGGTTTTGCCATGATGAGCAGGCTGGTCTCGAACTCCCGGCCTCATGTGATCTGCCTGCCTTGGCCTCCCAAAGTGCTAGGATTACAGGCATGAGCCACCATACCTGGCCAGTGTTGATATTTTAAATACGGTGTTCAGGGAAGGTCCACTGAGAAGACAGCTTTTTTTTTTTTTTTTTTTGGGGTTGGGGGGCAAGGTCTTGCTCTTTAACCCAGGCTGGAATGCAGTATCACTATCGTAGCTCACTTCAGCCTTGAACTCCTGGGCTCAAGTGATCCTCCCACCTCAACCTCACAATGTGTTGGGACTATAGGTGTGAGCCATCACACCTGGCCAGATGATGGCTTTTGAGTAAAGACCTCAAGCGAGTTAAGAGTCTAGTGTAAGGGTGTATGAAGTAGTGGTATTCCAGATGGGGGGAACAGGTCCAAAATCTTCCTGTTTCAGGAATAGCAAGGATGTCATTTTAGTTGGGTGAATTGAGTGAGGGGGACATTTGTAGTAAGAAGTAAGGTCCAAGAGGTCAAGGGAGTGCCATATCAGACCAATACTACTTGCCTTGTAGATGGAATAAAGATATTGGCATTTATGTGAGTGAGATGGGATGTCACTGGAGGATTAGAGCAGAGGAGTAGCATGATCTGAATTTCAATCTTAAGTGAACTCTGGCTGACAACAGAGTGAAGGGGAACACCGGCAAAAGCAGAAACCAGTTAGGAAGCCACTGCAGTGCTCAGATAAGCATGGTGGGTTCTGTCAGGGTACCGGCTGTCGGCTGTGGGCAGTGTGAGGAATGACTGACTGGATTTTGAATGCGGAACCAACTGCACTTGTTGAACTCTGCTAAGTATAACAATTTAGCAGTAGCTTGCGTTATCAGGTTTGTATTCAGCTGCAAGTAACAGAAAATCCTGCTGCAATAGCTTAAACTGGTAACAAGCAAGAGCTTATCAGAAGACAAAAATAAGTCTGGGGAAATTCAACAATAAGTTAAGGAACCCAGGCTCTTTCTTTTTTTTTTTTTTGAAACGGAGTTTCGCTCTTGTCACCCGGGCTGGAGTGCAATGATGTGATCTCAGCTCACTAAAACCTCTACCTCCTGGGTTCAAGTGATTCTTCTGCCTCAGCCTCCCAAGTAACTGGGATTACAGGCGTATACCACCATGCCCAGCTAATTTTTGTGTTTTTAGTAGAGATGGGGTTTCACCATGTTGGCCAGGCTGGTCTCGAACTTCTGACCTCAGGTGATCCACTCGCCTCAGCCTGCCAAAGTGCTGGGATTACAGGTTTGGGCCACTGCACCCGGTCAGAACCCAGGCTCTTTCTTATACTTACCTTGCAAACCCTTGTTCTCATTTTTTCCCTTTGTATTTTTATTGTTGAATTGTAATAGTTCTTTATATATTCTGGATACTGGATTCTTATCAGATAGATGATTTGTAAAAACTCTCCCTTCCTTTGGATTGTCTTTTTACTTTCTTGATAGTGTCTTTTGAAGTGTAAAAGTTTTTAATTTTGATGAAGTCGAGTTTATCTATTTTGTCTTTGGTTGCTGTGCTTCAAGTGTCATATCTAAGAAATCATTGTCTAATCCAAAGTCAAAAAGGTTTACTCCTATGTTTTCTTCTAAGAATTTTAGAGTTTTACATTTAAGTCTGATCCATTTTGAGTTAATTTTTATATATGGTTCAGGTAGAAGTCCAACTTTATTCTTTTCCATGTGGTTATTCAGTTGTCCCAGCACTGTTTGTTGAAGAGACTATTCTTTCCCCATGGAATTATCTTAGTACCCTTGTTGAAAATTAATCGTCCTTAATTGTATAAATTTATTTCTAGACTGTCAGTTCTACCTGTTGGTCTTTATGTCGATCCTGTGCCAGTACCATACAGTCTTGATTACTGAAGTTTGTGTCACAGTTTAAATTCATGAAATGTGAGTTCTCCAACTTTGTTCCTTTTCAAGATTGATTTGGCCATGCTGGGTCCCTTGCATTTCCGTACGAATTGTAGGATCAGCTTGTCAGTTTCAACAAAGAAGCCAAGTAGGATTCTGAGAGGGATTGTGTTGAATCTGTAGATCAACTTGGGGAGTATTCGCATCTTAACAATATTGTCTTCCACCTATGAACATGGGCAAACTTTGTGTAAATGGTCAGATTGTAAGTATTTCGGGCTGTGTGGGCACAGTGTCTCTGTCACAGCTACGCGGCTCTGCCATTGTAGCATGAAAGTAGCCATAAGCAATATGTATGAGTGTCTGTGTTCCAATAGAATTTTATTAATGACAAGGAAGTTTGAATTTCATATAATTTTCACCTGTCATGAGATAGTATTTGATTATTTTGGTCAACCATTTAAAAATGTAAAAACATTTCTTAGCTTGTGAACTAGCCAAAAATATGCAGGTTATAGTTTTCCCACTCCTAGGTTAAAATATGATAGGACCACATTTGGAAAGCATTTCTTTTTTTTTTTTTTTTTTTTTTTTTGAGACGGAGTTTCACTCTTGTTGCCCAGGCTGGAGTGCAGTGGCGCGATCTCGGCTCACTGCAACCTCTGCCTCCCAGGTTCAAGACATTCTCCTGCACGGCCTCCCTAGTAGCTGGGATTACAGGCATGCGCCACCACACCCAGCTAATTTTGTATTTTTAGTAGAGACGGGGTTTCTCCATGTTGGTCAGGCTGGTCTTGAACTCCTGACCTCAGGTGATCCACCCGCCTCAGCCTCCCAAAGTGCTGGGATTACAGGGTGTGAGCCACCACACCCTGCTGGAAAGCATTTCTTTTTTGGCTGTTTTTGTTTTTTTTTTAAACTAGTTTTGAAAATTATAAAAGTTACACATATACATTATAAAAATATCTTCAAGCAGCACAGATGAAAAACAAAGCCCTTCTTGCAAGTCTGTCATCTTTGTCTAACTTCCTAAGAACAAAAGTGTTTCTTGTGTCTTCTTCCCAGATTTTAATATGCATATACAAGCATTTAAATGTGTCATTTTTTGTTTGCTTGACTGAGATCACATTACATATGTATTTTTTTACTTAACAATGTGTCATAGATATTGTTCCATAGCAGTACCTGTAATTCTTATTAATTGCTATGTAATATTTTAGAATTTCTTTTTAAAAGAGGACTTTTGGAGATGTAAAGGCAAAGGTCTCACATTTTTGTGGCTGTAGAATGTGCTGGTGACATATTCTCTCTACCTTGAGAAGTCCCCATCCCCATCACCTCCATTTCCTGTAAATAAGTCAACCACTTGATAAACTACCTTTGAATGGATCCACACTCAAAACATTTAGTCTTATTCAGACAACAAGGAGGAAAAATAAAATACCTTATAAAGCACTGTTTAATATTGTATTAAATTGGATCAATTTGGGGGCTAGAATGTATGTTAGAGACATGATATGTCCATAGGTCCTTGCTATCACAGTGAGGTCTCAGGGACAGTCGTTTGGTATCATTTGGGATCTCATAAGCAGACTCTCTCTGCTTGACCTGACAAATCAGAGTCTGTGTTTTAACAGGTTCAGTGAGTGACTTACATGCACATTGGAGTTTGGGAAGCTCCACTGTAGGTGCTTAGACCTTACCTTTGTTGTTGCTAATAACAATGCAAGCATTTGGGAGGAAGACCTGTGTTGCTCATATGTGTCCAGGTGTAGCTGAGGTGGCCTTGCTTATCTGCTGTAGGGCCGTTGAGCATTTCTGTAGCTGTGATGAGTGAGCTGAGGTGAGCCTGCGGAGAGCTCCCAGCCATTGGTAGTGGGACTCGCTTAGATGAACTGGAAGGACCCTTTCATCTGAGCAGCCACTATGGAGAAAAACAACCGAATGAGGGGAGAGACAATGTGCAATTTTATTTAGGGCACAAAGGAGAGCTGTGGTTAGAAGGTGACATTTGAGTGGAAAGGGGGCAAGCCATGTGTATAGCGGGAGAAGAGAGGTCCAGGCAGAGTTAACAGAAGGCAGAAATGCTTTCCATGTTTGAGAACCAGTAAGGAGGCCAGTGGCTGAAGTAAGGTGAAGGGCAGAAATAAGGATGAGGCTGCGAGAGATGAGAGGTTAGAGACGAGCGTCTTGTGCACCAAGATAAGCTTGTGTGGTCAAAACAAGTAGTTTAATTTATGTTTTTAAAAGATCATTTTGGCTGGGCACAATGGTTCATGCCTGTAATACCAGTAGTTTGAGACGGTGTGGTGGGAGGATTGCCTGAGGCCAGACGACCAGCATAGCCAACATAGCAGCACCTATAAGGTCTCTACAAAAAACTTTAAAAAATTAGCTGGGCATAGTGGTGTGTGCCTGTAGTCCCAGCTACTCAGGAGGCTGAGGAGGCTGGAGGATTGCTTGAGTCCAGGAGTTTGAGGCTGCAGTGAGCTATGATTATGCCACTACACTACAACCTGGGCAAGAGAGTGAGACCCTGTCTCTAAATATACACACACACACACACACACACACACACACACACACACACACACACACACACACACATATATATGTATATATATGCATTTAGATGAAAAGATCACTTTGACAATACCACATGCTGGTGAGGATTTAGAAAAACTAGGTCACTTATTGCTGGTGGGAATATAATATAGTACGGCCACTCTGGAAAACAGTTTGGCAGTTTGTCATAAAACTGAACATACCGTTAGTATACAGCCCAGCAGCAACTACAATCCTGGGCATTAATCCTAGAGAAATGAAACCTTAATGTTCACATAAAAACCTATACTCAAGTATGCATAGCAGCTTTACCCATAATATCTAAGAACTGGAATCAGCTCAGATGTCCTTCAACAGGTGAATGGTTAAACTACTCAGTAATAAAAAGGAATGAGCTACTGATAGCATGCAACAGTTTAGGTGAAGTTATGCTAATGAAAAAAGCCAATCCCAAAAGGTTATACATACTGTATGATTCTATGTTTTTTTGCAATGGCACAGTTTTAGGGATGGAGAATAGATTAGTGGTTGCCTGGGGTTAGAGATGGGGTAGTAGAGTAGGTTAGTGGTGGCAGAGGAGAGAAAAGAGAGGGAGGTGAATGTGGTTATAAAAGGACAACACAGGGGAATACTTGTAATGGAAATGCTTTGTCTTTTTTTTTTTTTTTTTTTTTTTGGCGACAGAGTCTTGCTCTGTTGCCCAGGCTGGAGTGCAGTGGCATGATCTTTTCTCACTGCAACCTCTGCCTCCTGGGTTCAAGTGATACTTGTGTCTCAGTCTCCCATGTTCAGAGTGAAACAAACCAGAGGTAATGTTCATCCAAATAATCCAACACACATGACATTAAAACATCAAGATCAGGTCGGACGTGGTGGCTCATGCCTGTAATCCCAGCACTTTTGGGAGGCCAAGGTGGGCAGATCACTTGAGGTCAGGAGTTCGAGACCAGCCGGGCCAACATGATGAAACCCCATCTTGACTAAAAATACAAAAATTAGCCGGGCATGGTGGTGTGCACCTGTAGTCCCAGCTACTTGGGAGGCTGAGGCAAGAGAACTGCTTGAACCCGAGGGGCAGAGGTTGCAGTGAGCTGAGAGTGCGCCATTGCACTTCAGCCTGTGTGACAGAGTAAGACTCCATCTCCAAAAAAAAAAAACCAAGATCAATTAAAATACAGCATTACTGGGCCGGGTGTGGTGGCTCACACCTGTAATCCCAGCACTTTGGGAGGCCGAGATGGGCAGATCACGAGGTCAGGAGATCCAGACCATCCCGGCTAACACGGTGAAACCCCGTCTCTACTAAAAAATACAAAAAATTAGCCGGGTATAGTGGTGGGTGCCTGTAGTCCCAGCTACTTGGGAGGCTGAAGCAGGAGAATGGTGTGAACCCGGGAGGCAGAGCTGGCAGTGAGCTGAGATCGCGCCACTGCACTCCAGCCTGGGCGACAGAGCAAGACTCCGTCTCGGGGGAAAAAAAAAAATAAATAAATAGAATGCTGTAGTGTCCTTGAGTTTACATGCCCCTCCTTACGCTTGTGTGCCCGTGCAGATTGCTTGATTACACAATTAGAGGAGGCTGGCGGAGGATTGTTTTAATTTTTTTTTTTTTGAGACAGTCTGGCTCTGTTCCCCAGGCTAGAGTGCAATGGCGCAATCTTGGTGCACTGCAACCTCTGCCTCCTGGGTTCAAGCAGTTCTTCTGCCGCAGCCTCCCGAGTAGCTGGGATTATAGGCGCCCGCCACCACGCCCAACTATTTTTTGTATTTTTAGTAGAGCAGCGTTTCACCATGCTGGCCAGGCTGGTCTCGAACTCCTGACCTCAGATGATCTGCTGCCCCAGCCTCCCAAAGTGCTGGGATTACAGGCGTGAGCCACACCTGGCCGTTTGTTTTAATTTTGAAGGTGAAGTGAAAGTGACTACATTTACCAAAAGTGATTGAAAAGCCAGGACTGTTCTTACCCTGTTTTTCCAGTTCTTGCTCAGAGCAAGGTGGTTTCTTTTTCACTTAATCACCATACTTACTTTTCATGTAGAACAAGTCAGTTTGAGTTATCAGTTCATCATCTTAACTAAATTCCATGGGGGAAGGAATTAGTTTTAGTTTCTTAAACTTCCAGGTTTGCTTATTGGACAAAATGAGATAGCAAGGCAGTGTTTTTAAGTTAGATTTTTTATTTCTTTGGTAATACAATTTTCTCAGAAACTTAGTAGTCTTTTAGTTTAGTTGTTTTTAGTTGGTCCTATGTTTTGGATCACCCCTCTCTACTTTATTTTGATAGTGCCAACTGTGAAGACATCTGAAGCCATAGGTTTGGATGGGAAGGAGGCATCTTTAGCCTGATCATCTTCGCCAGGCTGTTTATCTCCTTTTGCTTGGCTGAGAAGTCTTAATAGGAGGCTTATTCCCAGCTATTTGGGGACATAGAAGCAGTTAGCCATTGCTTATATTTTACTGAGGTCTGTGTGGTATGTTGATTGTAGTCAGTTAACGATTTTGAGAACTGAAGGCAGCCTGGTATATATAGAGTAGGTATTAGACTGTGTTTCTTCTAATTGAATTTCCCATCTCTTGTAATCTATGCCATCATCTTCTGTACTGCTGAGAAAGAAAGAAAGTTTCTAATCAAACTATACCACTGGTTGTAAGATGCAGTTTGGCTTTAGTGATGTTAACACATGATTCAAACGTGAAATTGATTGAGTATTGGTGAAATACAGAGGAGATTTAAAGCCAGAAGACCTGGGTTTAAATGCTGGCTGTATGACTTCATATCTGTGTGATCTTGGGCATGTCATGGTTGGCACTTCAATTTCTTCTCTCTATAATGGGGGAAGTGAGGCCAGTCATGGTGGCTCATACCTATAATCCCAGTGCTTTGGGAGGCCAAGATGGGAAGATCGCTTGAGGCCAGGAGTTTGAGCAATTGGGCAACATCGTGAGGCCCCGTCTCTACAAAATATTTTGAAAAAATTAGCCAGGCCCAGTGGTGCGTGCCTGTGGTCCGCGCCACTCAGGAGGCTGAGACGGGAGGATCCTTTCAGCCTAGGAGTTTAAGGCTAAAGTGAGCCATGATTGTGCTATCGTACTCCAGCCTGGGCAGCAGAGCAAGATCCTGACTCTAAAAAAAAGTAAAATAAAGTAAAATGGGGGAAATGAACTGCTTTAGTAACATCATCTGTTTTTTCTGTGAGCAGCGTAGCTTGACAGCCATTGGTGAACTCGTGCCCTGTGCTTCCCTGTCCAGATCCCCATTCTGCCCGCAACATGGAGTATAACGGTTTATTCATAGTAGTCGAGAAACACTCACTGAATGAATGAATGAGGTGTAGAACTAAGTGGAGTGGGTAATTCAACACATATTAATTTCCTTCTTTTTTTTATTTTTAGAAAGAAAGAACTTTCAGCTACCAAGAAAGACCGTGTGAATCATTGTCTGACAATATGTGAAAACATAGTGGCACAGTCTGTCAGGTAATTGCACTTTGAACTGTCTAGAGAAAATAAGAACTTTGTATATTTTCAGTCTTAATGGGCTAGAATATTCTTTGTGTCCCAGCTATTTTAAATGGATTCAGAAATCCATTTAAGATGAAGAAGGACCCTTTTCCCATATTTCTGGCTATATACAAGGATATCCAGACACTGAAATGAATAATGTTCCCTTTTTGTAATCTTTTATGCAAAAATTAAAACCATTATGGTAATTGAACAACATGTTTATGTTTAGTTAACACCCTTAGCAACTATAGTTATTTTAAAACCATCTATGGTTTGATATTTTTGCATTTGTTGCAATAGTAGGAACAGCACAAGACAGTTCAGTTTGTCTCTCTTATTTGCTTTTTCTTGGCAGTTTGCTGTCCTATTGTACCTCTGCTCCTAGCAGTGGCTGGAGCCCACTCCTCTGTGCTTCGGGATTAGTGGGGATCGTGGGGCATTGACTGTAGGTCAGCTTTCCTTGCTTGATCTTTCTCACTGGGATGAACTAGCAGCACCTTCTTTTGTAGCTGCTTTGCTTTTGACTATCTTTCTGACCGTTGTTCCTAGTAGCTGTAGATGGTAAATATATTTAGGCCTGTTTCCAATGGCTCAGTAGGAGACATATTCACCTATGATATCTGAATTCTGTTACCCACATGGGCATGCGTGAAATAGTTGCCTTGCCTTACTTTCCCTTGGAATAAATAATTCATGTTATTCTCCTGGTAGAAGCTAGAAAAAGCCTTTATAGTCAGTCAGAAAAAAATTTTTAGACAAATAATCTTGATTTTAGTACTGACAAAAACGTGTGGTGATTCTTTTTTTAATTTTTTTTTGAGACGGAGTTTCACTCTTGTTGCCCAGGCTGGAGTGCAATGGCGTGATCTCGGCTCACTGCAACCTCTGCCTCCTGGGTTCAAGTGATTCTCCTGCCTCAGCCTCCCAAGTAGCTGGAGTTACAGGCATGTGCTACTGTGCCCAGCTAATTTTGTATTTTTAGTAGAGATGTTGGTCAGGCTGATCTCGAACTCCCAACCTTAGGTGATCTGCCCGCCTCAGCCTCCCAAAGTGCTGGGATTACAGGCGTGAGCCAGGGCGCCCGGTGATTCATTTGTTTTTTCAAAAAATTTCCTCTTGGCCATTGCTTTTCACTTTTGTTTTTTTTTTTTTTTTGAGACGGAGTCACGATCTGTCACCCAGGCTGGAGTGCAGTGGCATGATCTTGGCTTACTGCAAGCTCTGCCTCCCAGGTTCACGCCATTCTCCTGCTTCAGCCTGGCGAGTAGCTGGGACTACAGGTGCTCGCCACCACACCCGGCTAATTTTTTGTATTTTTAGTAGAGATGGGGTTTCACCGTGGTCTTGATCTCCTGACCTCATGACCCGCTCAACTCAGCCTCCCAAAGTGCTGGGATTACAGGCGTGAGCCACCGCGCCCGGCCCTCTCTTGTCTTTTTATTGTGGTAAAATGCACATAAAATTGACTGTCTTAACCATTTTTAGGGGTACAGTTCAGTATATATATTCGTAATGTTGTACAGCCATCACTGCCATCTACTTCATAAGTTTTTCTTCTGTCAAAACTGAACATCTGTCTTCATTAAACTCCCTATCATCCATTCTTTCCTGTAGTCCCTTTCTACTTTCTGTCTGTATGAGTGTAACTGCTCTGGAGACCTCATGTAAGTGGATTCCTACAGGATTTGTGTTTTTTTTTTGGTGATCTGCTTATTTTTAATGCCTCTGTGCATTTGTATTATATACTTTCAAAGTGATTTCACAAAACCGTTTCATTTTAGGTTAACTCATTTCTGTTGTTTGTGAAATACTGTGTATGATTCTGTTCTGTTTCTGTCTAATTTGTGGAAATGTTGTGGGAAGAAAATGAAATAACAAATGAGCATATGTCCTGAAAATAAAAATATAAAAATTCTAAGTTAGCATGCTATTGTAGAATACAACGCTATGATAAAAGTAGGAAAAAAAAAGGTTTGAATTCTATCTCTGCTACCTGTGTAAGCTGGGTGACTTTAGATAAGCTGTAACGTGTTTGAGCCTTACTGGCTCATTTTTGAAATGTAATCCCTAGTTACACAGTTCTTGTGGGATCAGATGGTACATGTGAAACACTGTGAAAAAGCAACTGCATAGATATGTTCATTAGCCACCTGAGCGGGAAGCGTATCCCATTGCGATGCCCATCATCCAAAGCTATATGTTATCTTTACTTTTTTTTTTTTGAGACAGAGTCTTGCTCTGTTGCCCAGGCTAGAGTGCAGTGGTGCAATCTCAGCTCACTGCAAGCTCCACCTCCCGGGTTCACGCTATTCTCCTGCCCCAGCCTCCCAAGTAGCTGGGACTACAGGCACCCGCCACCATGCCTGGCTAAATTTTTGTATTTTTAGTAGAGATGGGGTTTCACCGTGTTAGCCAGGATGGTCTTGATCTCCTGACCTCGTGATCCGCCCGCCTCGGCCTCCCAAAGTGCTGGGATTACAGGCGTGAGCCACTGCCCCTGGCCATCTTTACTTTTTTTGTGAAATGACTTTAAATACTTGGCAAACATTTGGTCATTGTTCATCTGATCTCCACCATCCAGGTCTCAGAGAACATAATTTCTCTCTGAAAGCTTATTGACCCAGGAAATAAGATCTCTTTCAATCTGAGTGCGTCAGGCTTTATTCTTGTCATTTTGTCTTTTGATAATTTTCAAATGGAATTCATGGAATGTTGGCTTATATTCATATATTAGTAAAGTATGTTGAGACATCTTAAGATTGATTTGTGGTTCTATATGCCATATTAAATCAAAATAATAGCTGTTAATGGTTTTCACATTAGTCTGTCTCTTGTTTTTATGGAGTAATGCTGAGAGTTCATTATGCTTGTTCTACAGAAGAGCATGTTAAAAGGAGTTTTTGGAGTCAGAGAGGTTATTCTTGGTTTCATAGGATACACTCTATACTTTTTAGGGATTTCAGAGTATATAGCTGAAGGTGATATTTTATGTAAATATGTTTTATGGAAACTTATTGCTCATCGCTGTTTCCTGTTAACTCTCCTAAAATATAATTAAACTTTTGGAACTTTTTTATAGCTTTTGTGCTAGACTAATTTTTGTCTCTAATGAGGTTATATAAATGGCAGCTTCTGACGTTTTCAATGTAGGAAGTCATTTAAAACTTCATGTATATTGTGAAAATGTAGTCTGCTTTAAGCTCTCTAAAGTGGTCTAAGTTACTGGTTCCTAAGTATGGATGAGCATCAAAATCATCTGGAAAATTTGTTAAAAATACAGTAATGAAGGCACCTCACTGTCCTTTTTCCCAAACATACTTCTGCATTCTGTTTGAGTAGGTAGGGACTACACATTTTTCACAAGTATCCTCTTGGGAATACCCAGGAATGCTTACTTGAGCAACCTCTTACTAATATGTACCTTGATAAGGTGGCTAGGTAAACATAAATATACAAAAATCCATAGATCTCCCATATATTAGCATAAATCAGCTAGAAAATATAACGTTTAAAGATCTAGTTCACAGTAGCACCAATATATCGAACTCTAAGGAATCGATAAATATGCAAAAACTTTATAAAAACTTCTGTTAATGTTTCTGAAAGATATAGGTGACCACTTTCTAGATAGGAAGATTTTATATTACTAAGTTGAATTTTCTCTAAATTAACACAGAAATTTAAAATAATCTTGATCAAAATTCTAGTAGAGGTATTTTTGAACTTGTTCACTGCAAGAATAAATACATAATTGCAAAGAATATCTCAAAATCATCACCAGGCCTGGTGTGGTGGCCCATGCCTGTAATCCCAGCACTTTGGGAGGCTGAGGCAGGCAGATCACCTGAGGTCAAGAGTTTGAGACCAGCTGGACCAGTGCGGTGAAACACTGCCTCTACTAAAAATACAAAAATTAGCTGGGTGTGGTGGTGCATGCCTGTAGTCCCAGCTACTTGGGAGGCTGAGGCAGGAGAATTGCTTGAACCCAGGAGGTACAGGTTGCGGTGAGCCTAGATCGCACCACTGCATTCCAGCCTGGGCGACAAGAGCAAAATTCTGTCTCAAGAAAAAAGAGAAAAAAGAAAAAGAAATCAACACTAATATGGTGAGACTTAATGTATGTGACATTAAAATAGTGATTGGATGTTAAAACAGGTATAGAACAGAAAGAAGAGTGTATGTGTGTATCTGTATGAATTTATGATGGGTGTAACATATATGTATTAGGGAAATGAGGGAAATGATACATTTCTCTGACTTTGGGAGAACATTATATCTCTACCTCATATTGCAAACAAACATAAAGTTCAGATTAATTACCTAAATGTGAAAAAATGAAATAATTTCTTTAAAAAATGTAATCTTAGTTTGAGGAAGGTTAACATTATAAAGGAAAAAACTGTTTTGAGTGGAATATAGTTCAATATGTCAAAATCCACCTTCAACAAAATTGAAAGTAAATTGAACTTGGGGAAAGTATTGACAGCATATAGATCAAAGGTTACTAGCCTGTGTAAAGAGCAGTTATAAATATCGTTAAGAAAAACACTGTCGACCTGTCGGCACCTTGTTCTCCGACTCCCAGCCTCCAGAACTGTGACGAGTAAGTGCTTATTGTTTAAACCACCCAGTCTGTATGTGGTATTTTGTTATAGAAACTCAAGCTGATTAGGACACTAGTAATCAGTAGACTGAAACTGAAACAAAAATAAGAACCTTTTTTACCTGTCAAATTGGCAAACATTAAGAATATTCAGATTTTTGTCAGAGGTGATACAACCTTCTAAGAAGGCAATTTGGGAAAATATAAAGCTTTAGATTATTATATGTCTGACCTAGCAGTTTTACCTCTAGGGTGCTTACCCCTAGGAAAGTGTGTAATGATATTGGTGCAGTGCCCTTCATCCCATTAGAAAATTAAAAATAACCTTAATGGCCTACCACTAAAAGGGGATTGAAAATTTAAGATATATTTATTTATGTGTTTATTGAGATGGAGTCTTGCACTGTCCGCCTGGGCCAGAGTGCAATGGTGCGATCTCGGCTCACTGCAACCTCTGCTTCCCGGGTTCATGTGATTCTCCTGCCTCAGCCTCCTGAGTAGCTGGGATTACAGGCTCACACCACCGCACCCGGCTAATTTTTTGTATTTTTAGTAGAGATGGGGTTTCACTGTGTTGGCCAGACTGGTCTCGAACTCCTGACCTCATGATCCGCGCCCCTCGGCCTCCCAGTGTTGGGATTACAGGTGTGAGCCACTGCGCCTGGCCAGATACATTTATACAAGAGAATGTTAGTTAACATTCATAGATATTTATATTTTGTTTACTTTTTATTAAAAAAATTTTTTTTAGAGACAGGATCTTACTCTGTCACCCAGGCAGGATGCAGTTGCACAATCATAGCCCACTGCAGCCTGAACTCCTGGGCTTAAGTGATCCTTCTGCCTCAGCCTTTTGAGTACCTGGGGGACTTTAGGCAGTGCTACTATACCTGGCTAATTTTTAAATGTTTTATAGATGAGATCTTGCTGTATTGCCCAGGCTGGTCTAGAATTCCTGGGCCCAAGTGATCCTCCCACCTTGGCCTCCCAAAGCGCTGAGATTACAGGCATGAGCCACCACTTCTGACCAATAGATATTTATATTTGTGACTGGAAAATATATTAACAATGTGTTAAAAAATTCAGTTAAAAAATAATGAAAGATTTTTGCTTCTGGCTAAGATAGAATAACAAGGACAGCATTTATCTTCTTGCCTTGAAATAGTTGAAAACGGAAGAAATATATGTAACAGTGGTTTTCAAGTTATTGGGCATCAGGCAAAGAAGAATAGTTATCCCAGGAAAATGAATGTGGAGAGCCCTACAATTTCCTTACATTACTGCCTGGTCATGGCAAGAGGAAAAACTGAGAGGAGACTGAGGCTGAGCCAGTGGTTTGCTGGGTTGAGGAGGCAGAGCTGGGAGTGCAGAGATGCAAGGTGGTGAGAGCCCATATGGAAGAATACCAGGGAAGAGAGCTGCAGAGGGAGCTCCGGAGACCTGCACCCTGCCCTCTCAGTACCCTGTCATGTGTGTAGCTGAGTACTGACGAGCACTTGCTTGTGCGGAAATGACCCAGGGCTGGAGGTAGAGCCACCTGAAAGGATTAGAAGGAACAGTTGCTGAAAGTCACACAGGGCCAGGAAGAATTTCTAATCACACCAGTTGGAGTGGAAAACCTCAGCTCTCATAGAGCAGGTAGGGTACTCAGAAGGGTTTGCCCACCTAGCCCCAGACTAAGTTTCGTTACTCTGACCCTACCTAATATTAAAAAGAGATTAATTAAATTGTTCGCAACAAAAATAATATATTTCAGTGTTTGTAACACGTAGAAGTGAATTGTATGACAATAGCATAAAGGCTGGAAGAGCAGAAATTGACATGTATTTGCGCTGGGCAGAATAATGCTCCCCTCTTTCCCCAAAAGATATCAAGTCCTAATCCCTGGAGCCTGTAAATATTACTTTATATGGAAAATTGTTTTATGATGTGATTAAATTCAGGATCTTGAGATGAGGGGGCTATCTTGGATGATCTGGGTAGGCACTAAATGCAATCACATATATATAAAAAGGAGGCAGAGGGAGATTTTACACACAGAGAGAAGGCCCTGTGAAGATGGAACAGAAAGATTTGAAGGTGCTGGCCTTGAAAATTGGAGTGATGAAGCTATAAGCCAAGGAATGCAGCAGCCACCAAAGCTGGAAGAGGCACGGAGCAGTTCTCATTTAGAGCCTACTCCAGAGGGAATGTGGTGCTGCCAATTCCTTTTTTTTTTTTTTTTTTAAGATATCATTTACCCCTTTAAGTTGGTTTTTTTTTTTTTTTTTTTTTTTTAGTATTTATTGATCATTCTTGGGTGTTTCTTGGAGAGGGGGATTTGGCAGGGTCATAGGACAATAGTGGAGGGAAGGTCAGCAGATAAACATGTAAACAAAGGTCTCTGGTTTTCCTAGGCAGAGGGCCCTGCCACGTTCTGCAGTGTTTGTGTCCCTGGGTACTTGAGATTAGGGAGTGGTGATGACTCTTAACGAGTATGCTGCCTTCAAGCATCTGTTTAACAAAGCACATCTTGCACCGCCCTTAATCCATTTAACCCTTAGTGGACACAGCACATGTTTCAGAGAGCACGGGGTTGGGGGTAAGGTTATAGATTAACAGCATCCCAAGGCAGAAGAATTTTTCTTAGTACAGAACAAAATGGAGTGTCCTATGTCTACTTCTTTCTACGCAGACACAGTAACAATCTGATCTCTCTTTCTTTTCCCACATTTCCTCCTTTTCTATTCGACAAAACTGCCACCGTCATCATGGACTGTTCTCAATGAGCTATTGGGTACACCTCCCAGATGGGGTGGCGGCCGGGCAGAGGGGCTCCTCACTTCCCAGATGGGGCGGCCGGGCAGAGGCGCCCCCCAACCTCCCAGACGGGGCGGCGGCTGGGCGGGGGCTGCCCCCCACCTCCCGGACGGGGCGGGTGGCCGGGCGGGGGCTGCCCACCACCTCCCGGACGGGGCGGCTGGCCGGGCGGGGGCTGCCCCCCACCTCCCGGACGGGGCGGGTGGCCGGGCGGGGGCTGCCCCCCACCTCCCGGACGGGGCGGCTGGCCGGGCGGGGGCTGCCCCCCACCTCCCGGACGGAGCGGCTGCCGGGCGGAGGGGCTCCTCACTTCCCGGACGGGGCGGCTGCTGGGCGGAGGGGCTCCTCACTTCTCAGACGGGGCGGCTGGTCAGAGACGCTCCTCACCTCCCAGACGGGGTGGCAGTGGGGCAGAGACATTCTTAAGTTCCCAGACGGAGTCACGGCCGGGCAGAGGTGCTCTTCACATCTCAGACGGGGCGGCGGGGCAGAGGTGCTCCCCACTTCCCAGACGATGGGCGGCCGGGCAGAGATGCTCCTCACTTCCTAGATGGGATGACAGCCGGGAAGAGGCGCTCCTCACTTCCCAGACTGGGCAGCCAGGCAGAGGGGCTCCTCACATCCCAGACGATGGGCGGCCAGGCAGAAACGCTCCTCACTTCCTAGACGGGGTGGCGGCTGGGCAGAGGCCGCAATCTTGGCACTTTGGGAGGCCAAGGCAGGCGGCTGGGAGGTGAAGGTTGTAGTGACCCGAGATCACGCCACTGCACTCCAGCCTGGGCAACACTGAGCACTGAGTGAGCGAGACTCCGTCTGCAATCCCGGCACCTCGGGAGGCCGAGGCTGGCAGATCACTTGCAGTCAGGAGCTGGAGACCAGCCCGGCCAACACGGCGAAACCCCGTCTCCACCAAAAAACACGAAAACCAGTCAGACATGGCGGTGCGTGCCTGCAATCCCAGGCACTTGGCAGGCTGAGGCAGGAGAATCAGGTAGGGAGGTTGCAGTGAGTAGAGATGGTGGCAGTACAGTCCAGCCTTGGCTCGGCATCAGAGGGAGACTGTGCGAGGGCGAGGGCGAGGGCGAGGGAATTCCTTAATTTCAGTTTAGTGATACTAATTTTGGACTCTGGCCTCTAAAACTGTGAAAGAAAAAATTTTTTGTTTGTTTGTTTCTTTTAAGCCACATAGTTTGTGGTAATTTGTTACAGCAGCTGCAGGAAACTAATTTATGCTGCATGTGAAATGGTGTAATAAGGTAGATTGTGATGAAGATACATAGTATAAACAATTAAGCAACAACTAAAAGCACAACAAGGAATTATAGCTAATGAACCAAAAAAGGAGATTAGAATAATAAAAATGGTGAATCCCAAAGAAGCCAGAAATAGGGGAAGAGGCAAATAAAGGAAAGAAAGAGCTTGATGGTAGATTTCAACCTAACTATGTCAAAAAGGACATTACATGTAAAAGGCAGCGATTTTTCAGATTGAATGGAAAAGTAAGACTCGGTATATGCTGCTGCCTGCAAGAAACACATTCTAAATATAAAGGCAAAAATAACCTACAGGTAACAGAACGGAAAGAAGTTCACTGTGCTTACAAGAATTAGATGCAAGCTAGACTGGTTCTGTTAATATCAGACAAAGTGGATTTCAAAGCAAAGGCTCTTGCCCAGGATGAGATGGTCATTTCATAATGATGAAGGGGATTCGTTCATCAGCCTGGCATAGCAAGCTGAAATGTTTATGCACCGGACTACAGAGCTAAAATACATGAAGCAAAGCCTGACAGAACTACAAGTAGAAACAGACAAATCCACAGTGATAGAGATTTCAGTAGCCGCTCTCAATGATTTGTAGAACACGTAGCCATAATATCTGGATCTAGAACACTTGACCAACACTGTCCCCTGTGCAACCTCATTGGCATTTACAGGACACTCCACCCAGCACCAGCAGAAGAGACACTCTCTCAAGTGCTCACAGAATGTTTGCCAAGATAGAGCAGATGCTGGGCCATAAAACAAGTCTCTAAATTAAAAGCATTCAAATTATTCAGAGTATGTTTTCTGACCTCAGTATCATTAAGTTGGAATATATTATAGGAAGATAACCTGGAAAAGCCTCAGATATGTGGAAAAACCCATTTCCACATGGCCCATGGGTCAGAAGTGAAGTCAAAAGGGAAATTTGAAAGTCTTTTGGATTGACTGATATAAAAACAATAGATTTCTAAACTTGTGGGGTGCTGTTACAGCATAGTAAATGGAAATTTCTAGCATTAAATGCCTGTTTTAGGAAAGAAAGATTTCAAATCAATGACCTCAGCTTCTACCTTTGGAAACTTGAAAATGACAAGCAAATGGAATCCAGAGTTACCAGAAGGGCCAGGTACGGTGGCTTATGCCTGCAGTTCTGCCACTTTGGGAGGCCGAGGCAGGTGGATTGTTTGAGACTGGCAGTTGAAGACCAGCCTGGGCAGCCTAGGGAGACCCCATATCTACAAAAAACAAAAAAATTAGCCAGGTGTGGTGGCATGTGCCTGTAGTCCCAGCTAACCAGGAGTCTAAGGTGGGAGGATTGCTTGAGTCTGGGAGGTTGAGGCTGCAGTGAACTGTGATTGTGCCACTGTGTTCCATCCTGGGCAACAGAATGAGACCCTGTCTCAAAAACAAAAACAGTTACTAGAAGAATGGACATCATAAAGATAGGAGCAGAAGTCAGTAAAATAGAAAACAAAAATACATAGGAAATCAATAAAACCAAAAGCTGGTTCATCAAGAACATCAATAAATTGGTAAAGCTGATAGGAAAAACAGTGAAGTCACAAATTAGCAATATCAGGAATGAGGGAGATGACAGTAGTATAGATTATATAGATATTAAAAGGACTGTATGAGGCAGGTGTGGTGGTTCACGCCTGTAATCCCAGCACCTTGGGAGGCCGAGGTGGACAGATCACCTGAGGTCAGGAGTTTGGGACCAGCCTGGCCAACATGGTGAAACTCTGTCTCTACTAAAAATACAAAAATTAGTTGGTCGTGGTGCTGTGTGCCTGTAATCCCAGCTACTTGGGAGGCTGAGGCAGGAGAATTGCTTGAACCTGGGAGGCGGAGGTTGCAGTGAGCTGAGATTGTGCCGTTGCACTCCAGCCTGGGTGACAGAGCAAGACTCCATCTCAAAACAAATAAATAAATAAAAAGGACTATATGGTAATATTATGAACAACTTTATGCCAATAAATTTGACAACTTATAGATGAAATGGATGAGTTCCTTGAAAGACACAGAAACTATTAAAGCTCTCTCAAGAAGATATAGATAAGCTGATTAGCCCTATATCTATTTTATTGAATTTAAATGTAAAAATCAATATTTAGTTACTGGAAAACTTTTAAGTGTGGTTGGAAATGGTATACGAACTTTTTCAACTGAATTTTATGAAGTCTAATCACAGGTAAAGGTTTTCTGATGAAAATTTAGTGTCTGAATTGAGATATACTGTAAAAAATGTTATATATCTTAATTATTTCTTCACATTAATTACATGTTGAAATAATACTTTGGGTGTATTGGGTTAAATTAAATATTATGAAAATCTTGCCTGTTTTCTTTTTACTTTTGATGCGTCAGCTAGGAAATATAAAAGTGTAGCTCACATTCTGTTTCTGTTGACAGTACTGCTTTGGAGCACAGTGTTTGAATGATCTATCATTTCAAAGACCTTTCCTCAGTTCGTTATTCATGGCTGTCTGTATTCCACATAGATAAGGTCTGAAATACTGCTAAGTGGCATGTTTTGTTTTATGCTTTTATAAGTTTGTTGATCATTACTGATGTGGACTTTTGGTGCCTCTTAGGCTCATTGCTATCTTCCAACCATTGTTTGCAATTTTTACCTAGAGATAAAGAGAAAGAGACATTTGGTTTCAGAGTAGTTAGATTGGGATCATGAAAGAGCAACCTCATTTTGATGCTTCAAAAATAGCACATCCCCCGTATTACTGGGATTTGCTATTCTTGGGATTACTTCAAGAACATCCTTGTGTTACTGGTTTGGATGCTTCTGAATGCTGTGAAGTCAGTTTCATGTACATGGCTCATCAGTTTAGCTCTCTCTTGGCTTTGTTTAGACAGTTGGAGCATGATGGCCTAAACAGCTTCTTTCAATTAAACATTTTAAAATAGTTTACAAATAGTAAACAAACTCCAGTTTTTGTGACTCTTTGTCTCGCACAACAAAAACACAATCTGACCATGATCATCTGGCATCTTAGGGTGAAATATGGTTATACTTTGGCCCATACCGAAAGCAAGATTAAAAAGGGGCAGGAGAGATAGACTGCTGAACTGATTTTCAAGGTTCCAAGAATATTGTAGGTTAAGAGTAAAAGTAAACTTTTGGTAGAAAGCAGTGGGTTGTCTAGGATTGAAGTATCTGAAGTTTTTAAACGAAAATTTAAAAAGAAAAATGAGAATTGCCTTACAAGTACAATCTCTTCTTTTTTAAAAAATAAACTTTATTTTGAAATAGTTTTAGATTTATAGAAAAAAATTAGATAGGGTAGGAAGTTTTCATATACCCTACATCCAGTTACCCCAGTTATTATCATCCTAATTTAGTGTGAGACATTTTCATGTTTAATGAATCAATATTGATATGCTATTAACTTAAGTCCAGACTTTATTCAGATTTTCTTAATTTCTATGTAATGTCCTTTTTCTGTTCCAGAATTCCATGCAGGACACCGGATACCTCATTACATTTCATTGTCATGTCACCTTAGGCTCCTCTTGACAGTTTCTCTTCTTTTTTTGCTTAGAAATTCTCCAGAATTTCAGAAACTTCTGGGCATCGCTATGGAACTTTTTCTGCTGTGCAGTGATGACGCAGAGTCAGATGTCAGGATGGTGGCTGACGAATGCCTCAACAAAGTTATCAAAGTAAGAACCGTGTGGATGATGTTCTCCTCAGAGCTATCATTGTTGTAGGCTGAGAGAAGAAGCGATCATTGAGTGTTCTTCTGTTTTGAGTCCCTGAGGATGTCTGCACTTTTTTCCTTTCTGATGTATGGTTTGGAGGTGCTCTGTTGTATGGTTTGGAGGTGCTCTGTTGTATGGTTTGGAGGTGCTCTATTGTATGGTTTGGAGGTGCTCTGTTGTATGGTTTGGAGGTGCTCTTGTATGGTTTGGAGGTGCTCTTGTATGGTTTGGAGGTGCTCTGTTGTATGGTTTGGAGGTGGTCTTGTATGGTTTGCAGGTGCTCTATTGCATGGTTTGCAGGTGCTCTATTGTATGGTTTGGAAGTGCTCTTGTATGGTTTGGAGGTGCTCTTGTATGGTTTGGAGATGCTCTATTGTATGGTTTGCAGGTGCTCTATTGTATGGTTTGGAAGTGCTCTTGTATGGTTTGGAGGTGCTCTTGTATGGTTTGGAGGTGCTCTGTTGTATGGTTTGGAGGTGCTCTGTTGTATGGTTTGGAGGTGCTCTTGTATGGTTTGGAGGTGCTCTATTGTATGGTTTGGAGATGCTCTGGTATCTGCCTGCATTGCTTGCCACACCTGCCCGGTCAGAAGGCGCTATGTTGACAATTGTGCCTGCACGGTGCCTAGGTCAATGAAGGGAACCGATGGTAGCCACTGGATGCTCCTGGGAAAATGTCACTACAGGCACCAGAGAAGCCAGAGCTATGCCCAAATTTCTATGAGTCTCAGTTTTCTTAACCATAAAATGGGATCAATGTTTTTGTGGCATGTGTATGAGTGTGTGTCTGTGTATGTGTGAGGATTAAATTGTGTATGTGTGAGGACTAATTGCCACTACTGGATCCTCAAAGTGGTAAGAAGTGTTCTTATTAATAATGACATCCTTACACTCTTACCCAGCAAGATTGATGGGTGTGGCACTGCTTCTCTTTTTCCATCACATGGTTTCCATGGTATCCTTTTGCCCAGGGAATCTTTGCTTTGTGGCTAGCACTTTGTTGTTTGGCTAATCACGCTTTCTGTGGTCAGGACGCTGGCTTCTCTGGAGCCATGGGATTCTAGCTCCCTGTCTTGTCCCTAGAGTGGTCACTGTCTTCTCTCTCCGCTTGCAATTCCTGCTTTGCTCGCATCTCACTTATGCAGTGACGTATATCAGTTTCACCTTGTTCTCCGTGCCTGCTGATCATTGGCACCACTTGCATGGTGCCATTTAGGGCCTGCTTCCAGTTAAGCTTGCTTCTCCACAGGCCTAAATATCCTTGCTTGCTTCTTTTATTCTCACTGGCAGGACCAGGGCGGTCTGTCTTTGCATGAGACAGGGTCTCGCTCAGTCACCCAGGCTGGAGTGCAGTGGCTGATCACGGCTCATTGCAGCCTTGAGCTACCGGGCTCAAGCTATCCTCCTGGCTTGGCCCCTTGAGTAGCTGGGACTACAGGCGTGCACCACCATGCCCAGCTAATTTTTAAAATTATTTGTAGAGATGGGATCTCGCCAGGTTGCCCAGGCTGGTCTTGAACGCCTGGGCTCAAGTGATCCTCCCTCCTTGGTTTCCCAAAGTGCTGGGATCACAGGTGTGAGCCACTGTGCCTGGCCCTTGATGTTTCAGTTCTTGATATTTGATCCTCAGAGTCAGAAAATCTAAAAAGAGGGCTATCCCAGGTTGCCTTGGTTCATGGCAAATGGGACGTTAAGAGGGCAGAGAGAATATGAACAGAAACTGTTCTAATATTGGTCATTTAATGTGTAAGTATTGTTCTTTTTTAAACCTCCTTCATTTTTTTTCCAGGAATTGCTGGACACAGTGGCTTGGTGTGTGTCTGAGGACTGTAGGCCATGGCCCTAGGTTGTGGTTTTAGGTCTCAGGTGCTCTTCCTGGCTGTCTCCTTGCTTCTTTCCCATGTCCTCTTCTTTGTTTCCAGCCATTTCTCCCTTATGCTTAAGTTTGGTGCAGCAGGGTTTGGCTGCTCTCAGATTCCTGCTTCCTCAGATGCTGTAGTTGTCAGGCCCAGCGGGCTGGCAGCGGGATCAGGATCTGGCTAGGTTTGCTCTCACTGTGGCAGAGTAGGGGGAGGCGTGGGAGAGCACGTGTGACCCCAGGCCAGCTGTAGGGAGCATAGGCATGGTCACGTAGCCTTCAGGTCCTAGACTTTGTCTTCTCATGAGTATGGCTGTGTGTGTATGGTGAAAACTAGGTTCTACTTAGCCCAAGAAAATGGGCACATTTTGCATGTGGTTTCTGTAGAGAAATGCACTGGGTATCTGACATAGCCTGGCAGCATGCCTCCCTCAGGTAGGTTAGTCTCAGGCGGTGAAGCACGTGTGTCCAGCAAGAACTTCATATGTGGCATAAAGTCTCCGTTCTGTGAGGTGCTGGCAAATCACCACCACCGTCAAGAGGCTGAAGTGATTTTTGTCTAGGGAGGCAGGAAAGGCTTCCTGGAGTCAGCAGCCAGTAGGTGAAAGAGTAGATTGGAGACCTTCTTAATCATCACCGCCTCTTGTCTCAAGGGGTGCCAGGAAGCTGTGGAGGCTGAACCCATCTTATGCTGCCAGAGAGTGGGACACCATGAGGGTCAGGTCAAGGGGTTGTACCTTGTTTGGTAGAGAATTAGGGGCTCTTGAAGACTTTGGATGTGGTCAGGGGAGTGTATCATTTAGGAAGAGTGACCCGGTGAGGACGTGGGGTAGAGGAGGACAGGTGGGAGGGAGTCCAGGTGGGAGTGAGTAGACCCAGCAGGAGTGCAGGGCCTCGAGCCAGGATGGTGGCAGGGCTGTGAGGAGAGGCAGCCACCTGTGTGTCTGCGGAAGCAGGGGCAAGAGGGAAGAGGCCAGCAGCGTGCTGCCATCACCCAGCGACTGGCGTAGATTGTGAGAGACCATTCCCTGCTCTTAGGAGGGGCTGAGTTTTAGTTTTCTCTTGTTATACAATAAGCTTGGTATTTGTTTACAAAACATTTGTAAAGCTAAATCAAGGTTTGATAAGGCTTCTAGTTTTATTTAAGAAGTAATGTTGAAATAAATGTTTGTCCAATTCGCTTTGCTCATTTAAGGACTTTCAGTACAAACTGCAACAACAGGATTAGGATTTAAACGTTTCTGAGATGTTTTTACTCCTCAGAATTTCCCAGAATGTGATCTGGTTTTGATTTTCAAGCTTGCTGACCCAATAGGTTAACCCACAAGTTTTACGAAGACCATCTCAGTCCACTTACATCAACTGCCCATGCCACGGTTAAAGAGATCATCGACTGATGTTTGGCACAGCTTCCTCCCTCTTGGGTGGGCAAGCATTTGGAAGAGAAGGCTCCTATGGGTGAGAGTGGGGCACCAAAGTCTTCCCTGTCCCATCCCCTAGCTTGAGAAGCCCTTCTCTAATGTGGACTTTGTGCCGTTAGCATCGTTACTAGCTTGAAGTTGACCATCTGGACGTACTTTCTGGTTTAGCCTCACAAGTGAGCAAGGAGGGTTGAGAGATGTGCTGTGAGGAATGTGGGGCCCCAGCTGGCAGCAGGCTCTGGGTCAGGGGGGCAGGGACCACGGGCATACCTGACAGTGAGGAGGGGCCACACCTGCAGAAAAGGATGCAGGACTCCGCCTTGGGAAGTGTTCTAGGCCAGAGCGAGGGTCTGTGGTTTATAAGTACACCCACAGTGCTCGGGACCCTGCAGATGTCCAGGGTGCCGTCTGAGCCCGTATCATCCAACAGAATGTTCTGCTAGTGAAGATTAAAGATTTACTCCAGGGGCTTTAGGATTTATTATATATATATAAATCCTATATATATAATTTTTTTTTTTTTTTTTTTTGAGATGGAGTTTCGCTCTTGTTGCCCAGGCTGGAGTGCAATGGCGTGATCTTGGCTCACTGCAACCTCCGCCTCCCGGGTTCAAACTATTCTCCTGCCTCAGCCTCTCGAGTAGCTGGGATTACAGGCGCCCACCACCACACCCGGCTAATTTTTGTATTTTTTAGTAGAGACGGAGTTTCTCCATGTTGGTCAGGCTGGTCTTGAACTCCTGACCTCAGGTGATCTGCCCGCCTTGGCCTCCCAAAGTGCTGGGATTACAGGCATGAGCCACCCCACCTGGCCAGGATTTATTGTATTTGAACCATCTACCATTTTAATTTTGATGTTATGTAGTATTTGATGATAATGAAAGTTAAATTGTTTTTCTTTCCATTTTTCTGTTTAAGTGAATGACCTGTATCTAGTTTATTCAGTAACTTCCTGCATATATTTGTTTCTTTCATTCTTAATGAATATATTCTTAATTTAGTTGCTATTATGTTTTGCTTTGCCCCAAAATTGAAATCTTAGTTTCCTTTTAGCTCGTTTTAGAACTAGTGATGGGATGTGTCTTCCATAAATCTCTTGTGATTTGTTGTAGGCTTTGATGGATTCTAATCTTCCAAGGTTACAGCTCGAGCTCTATAAGGAAATTAAAAAGGTGGGCCTTGCTTTTCTTTTTTAAAAATGTTTTAAATTTTAAATTTTTATAGGTACACGTATTTTGTAGGTACATGTAAATGTATATATTTATGGGGTACATGAGATATTTTGATACAGGTATACAATACATAATAATCACACCATGGAAAGTTGGATATCCATGCCCTCAAGCATTTATCCTTTGTGTTACAAACAATCCAGTTACATGCTTTACTTATTTTATTTTATTTTTGAGACAGAGTCTTGCTTTCACCCATGCTAGAGTACAGTGGCATGACCTTGGCTCACTGCAACCTCCGCCTCCCGGGTTCAACCGAACTTTGGGCTGGTCTCAAACTCCTGACCTCAGGTGATCCGCCCGCCTCGGCCTCCCAAAGTGTTGGGATTACAGGCGTGAGCCACTGTGCCGGGCCTGATTGTACATTTTAAAATAACTAAAACAGTCAGGGCACAGTGGCTCATGCCTGTAATCCCAGCATTTTGGGAGGCTGAGGCAGGTGATCACCTGAGATCAGGAGTTCGAGACCAGCCTGGCCAACATGGAGAAACCCTGTCTCTACTAAAAATACAAAAATTAGCCAAGTGTGGTGGCGGGCGCCTGTAATCCTGGCTACTCGGGAGGCTGAGGTAGGGGAATCGCTTGAACCTGGGGGTGGAGGTTGCAGTGAGCCGAGATCACGCCACTGCATTCCAGCCTGAGCGACAGAGTGAGACTTTGTCTCAAAAAATAAAAATGAAATAAAATTGGGCCGGGTGTGGTGGCTCACACCTTAGTCCCAGCACTTTGGGAACCTGAGGCAGGTGGATGCTTGAGACCAGGAGTTTGAGACCAGCATGGGCAACATGGCAAAACGCTGTCTGTACAGAAATTAGCTGGGTGTGGTGGTGCACAACTATAGTCTCAGCTACTTGGGAGATTGAGGTGGGAGGATTAATTGAGCCTGGAAGGTTGAATCTATAGGTAGCTGAGATTGTGCCACTGCCCTTCAGCCTGGGCGACCAAGTGAGACCCTGTCTCAAAAGAAAAACAAAAAAACAAAAAACAAACCACTATTATCGACTATATATTATTGTCTATGATCCCTCTGCTGTGCTGTCGAATACCAGGTCTTGGGCCCTTATTTCCATCACTGAGCAAACTTCACTCTGTTAAGCAGCAGGTGTGGGATTTCATCGTTATTCAGTAATTCACAATGTTAGAAGGAAATGCTGTTTGGTAGACGATTGCTTTACTTTTCTTCAAAAGGTTACTCTTTATTAGATGAGATGAGAATTAAAAATGGTAACTTACTTTATATCTTTATAATTGAAGCCCACTAGACCTTAAAGTAGTTACCAGATGTTTTATGCATTTAAATGGCCTTTTCTCTAAAATTAGAAAGTAACAAGGAAAGAAAATGCTTCGTTTCTATGCAACCCTCTTGGTGACTAGTATGTGACTCTTAATGCAACCCTCATTGCACCCCCTCAGAATGGTGCCCCTCGGAGTTTGCGTGCTGCCCTGTGGAGGTTTGCTGAGCTGGCTCACCTGGTTCGGCCTCAGAAATGCAGGTAAGTTGTACACTCTGGATGTTGGTTTTTGTCGGGGGCCAGCTGCTACTGATCCTTTATGTCTCAGCTCAGATGTCATTTCAAAAGTCTGCTCTGCCCTCTCCAAATTGCAGTCGACCTTGCCCTGTTTATGTTTCCCTCATAGCACTAATCCATGTCAGAAATTGTCACGTACAGTCTATCTGTGTGCTTGTTTATTTTCTATCCCACCCTTCCGCAAGAGACTTATGGGATGTGTGCCCCAGGACAGCAGGGGTCTTACTGTCTTATGCTCTGTTGCAGCCCAGCAGCGATAACAGTGTCTGCACATAGTACTTGCTTAAAAGATACTTGCCAAATTGTTGAAGGTTGAGGTACCAATTTCATTATTGCTGACTATAGGAGTTATAGCAAAATATCCATTTGTCTGTTACATGAGTTAAAAATATGGTTGTTGCACTGTGAATAGTTTGGTTTAGTCAAAACAGTTGTATCTTAACGGATTGAGAAACAAAAGCAGGACCACTTTTCATCAGCTCCCTCCTTCTCCTTAACCAGCAATACATGCTGATGCTGATATCCCATAGACCCTCAGCTCCATCCTGAGTCACTGGGAATGTGGTCTAAACCCTCACTATTAATATGAACTGAGTTTCAATAAGAATCTTATATGGGTCGGGCATAGTGGCTCATACCTTTGATCCCAGCACTTCAGGAGGCCAAGGCAGGTGGATTGCTTGACCCAGACTAGGCAACATGGTGAAACGCCGCCTCTACAAAAAATACAAAACTTAGCCAGGCATGGTGGTGCGTGCCTGTGGTCACAGCCACTCGAGAGGCTGAGGTGGGAGGATCACTTGAGCCTGGGAGGTGGAGGTCGTGTTGAGCCAAGATCGCACCACTGCACTCCAGCCTGGGCAACAGAGTGAGACCTGTCTCAAAAAAACCAAAATCCAGAAAAGAACTTATATGGCTGCAGAGGTATAATCACTAAGGAAATTTCCTTTTGTATAATCTTTTTTCTTTTACTATCATTTAAAAAAATGTGTTATATTTCTGAAGCAACACATCCAGGTTCTGCACATAGCAGCCAAAGTGACCTTAAAGAATATAACTGGGTCTTGTCATTCCCTTATTTAAACTCTTGTACCCATTTCCCAGTGCCGTTTAGATAGAGATTCCAGACTCGTCAATGGCTCTGTCACCTCAGACACCCTGCATTGACTCATTAGTCTGATTAGAGTCAGGTTTTTCTTCCTCCTGATGGTTTTTTTTTCCCCCTTAGTTCTCAGCGGAACAGTCACTTCCTTAGGGAGGTTTCCCCAGCCACCCTCTGAGGCCGTGCTTGTTGCCAGACTCTGCCACTAGAGGGCAGGGCTGCACCACTCCTGGCACCTCGCACCCGGCCTGCCCTGTCACTCTGTGTGTTGGGTGAATTCCTGTGATCTGTGACTCACTGCTCTGTGTCCTACACATTCGGCTTTTCTTCTCTCCCCACAACCCCATTTTATAATTCTCCTTTTTCAGGAAAGCTTTATTCCCATTTAAAAATTTTTGTTTTTAAAATGGTATTTTCTTACACTTATTTTCTAATTAAAAATGAGTGTTTTAAGAAGTATTATGATTTACTGCAAATAATTTTTAAACCCAGCCTTTTAGATCCTCTGTGATCATAAGAGAAATGAAGGATGTCTCCCAACACTTGAGCTTCATCCACATTTCATCCTCCTGTTCTTTCAGCTGAGTTTTCCCCATCCCATTAGGGACTGTTGGAATATAAAACTGGCTTTTCCCTAACAGGGAATGAATTGCTTCTGTTTCTCCTGAAGGAGAGCTGGAAGAATGACTTGCGTTCTTTTGCATACACAGGCCTTACCTGGTGAACCTTCTGCCGTGCCTGACTCGAACAAGCAAGAGACCCGAAGAATCAGTCCAGGAGACCTTGGCTGCAGCTGTTCCCAAAATTATGGCTTCTTTTGGCAATTTTGCAAATGACAATGAAATTAAGGTATGATTGTTGCCTCAGGTCACAAACATGCGAGTGATGCTGTGAGTGAGTCTGTGGAGGGTGAGGGCTTCTGAACAGGGAGTCCTGTGGGAGTGCTTCTTGGGGTATGTTGTATGTCGTAATTTAGACTACCATCATTTGTGTTATTTTTGAGGCACCTAAGGACTTCTTTCCACTTCTCATTTCTTACTGTGGGGTGAAGAGTTGAATTGGGAGATGGTTTCTAGATGCAAATTGAAAAGGCATTTTTCCAGAGCAGATTTGTTTTCGGCGTACTAGAGTGACTCTTTAACCTAGCTGCGGGAAGATGACTGTGCCAAGACTGCAGGTAGGAGAAAGCTCACTGACGAGGCCTTGTGGGTCTGAACGTCCTGCAGCTATCAGAGCCTGTTGGCTTCCTGTTGTGCATTCCAACAAATCATCTTCAAACCCACTTTAGTGTTTTGTTTATAATGTCCAGAAATAGTGACCCTGTCACATGCTCTACAGATTACAGGATTCTTAGCCTCTTCCTTTTTGGTAGGTCAGTCCTGGGTTTGAGCCCAAGTGACCCTCCTGGGAGGTGATGATACACACTGGGTAGAGTGGAATCAGATGGACTTGGATTAGAATTCTGTCCTCTTTACTAGTTATTTTCCTCTAGGCAAACTGCCCAACAGCTCTAAGCTATTTCCTTCGTATTCTGAAAAATAAGCCTTAATGGGACCCATATAGGGCAACTCTGAGAGTAAAATAAAGGAATATGTGTTAGAGTGTAGCATAGTCACCCACGGGAAGGGCTTAGATGTTAGCTGCTACTGCTCTTATTAGC
This sequence comes from Homo sapiens, assembly GCF_000001405.40. Taxonomy (NCBI): domain Eukaryota; kingdom Metazoa; phylum Chordata; class Mammalia; order Primates; family Hominidae; genus Homo; species Homo sapiens. The sequence goes on from NC_000004.12 coordinate 3,108,235, forward strand.
TGAATGATTTGGAATAAACTGTTAGCCTCTCTCATGTTTTTTCTCTTGAGCTTCGAAGTTTTCTTGTTAATACTAAGGAGATATTCAAACTAGTCATGGGGTTTTGGAATGACGAAGGGAGATGATGAATCTAAAGAATTTAGTGTAATATTTCTTCATGCTCAGTAAATGGTAGTTTCTGCTGCTGTTATTTTTATTACCATCTCTTTGGAATGGGAGTAGGTGCTCCTTTGTGGTCAGAGGCTGTGAGAGCTCCACAGCGCCAGTTTGCCCATCTGTACACTGGGGTCTGTTGAAGGCAGTCCCCTCTGTGATATCTCTGGCTGTCAGAGCTCAGATGATAGATGGTATTTTTGTACTCTTAGTTCTCATCATTTTCATGATTTCGATCACCATTTGAGTATGATGATGCTAACACTTTGTTGAACGTAGAATCCGTTAATTACTTCCTTCCTGAACCTTTGGCATTAAAAAAAATCTATTCTGCTACCTCTCTGCTCATTTATGGTTATTCAAATTTATTATCAAGAGCCTGGTACAGTGGCTTGTGCCTATAATTGTAGCTACTTGGGAGGCTGAGGTAGGAGGATTGCTTGAGGCCAGGAGTTTGAGACCAGCCTGGGCAAGATAGTGAGACCCTATCTCTAAAAAAACTGAAAAAAAATTAGCTGGACATGATGGCATGTGCCTGTGGTCCTAGCTACTCAGGAGGCTGAGACAGGAGGCTCGGTTGAGCCCAGGAGTTGGAGTTCGAGGCTACACTGAGCTGTGATTGTGCCACCACACTCCAGCATGGGTGGTAAAACAAGATGCCATTTCTTAAAAAAAAAAAATATATATATATATATTATCAATGAAATTCAGTAGTACCAACAGGATTATAAACAAAGATAGTAGTTCCCTTCCTACTTTTTCTCTTAATCCTTGTGTCTCACAGGCAAACATAACTCTTAGTATTTCTTCCAATATTTACTTTCATGTTTCTTTCTTTCTTTCTTTTTTTTTCTTTGAGATGGAGTTTTGCTCTTGTTGCCAAGGCTGGAGTGCAATGACGCAATCTTGGCTCACCACAACCTCTGTCTCCCGGGTTCAAGCGATTCTCCTGCCTCAGCCTCCTAGTAGCTGGGATTACAGGCATGCATCACCACGCTCGGCTAATTTTGTACTTTTAGTAGAGATGGGGTTTCTCCGGGTTGGTCAGGCTGGTCTCGAACTCCTGACCTCAGGTGATCCTCCCACCTCAGCCTCCCAAAGTGCTGGGATTACAGGCGTGAGCCACTGCGCCCAGCAACTTCCACATTTCTAAATAACATGCTTCTACTGCTATTTTTTTTTTCAATTTTAGACATTTTTTTACTTTCACTATAGTTCTATCAGAATTCAGTGTGTACGTTATTATGCCTAAGTAAATAGTCATGGTTGCTTACGTATTATATTTCTTTGATTGTGTTTCTTATTTGATGAGAAAGCTGTGTTTTTTGCTCTGGGTTGAAACTGGAGAGAGGACCTGGGGAGGAGGAGGAGGACAGATGAAGTTGGTGACTGTACCTTCATGGCCATAGCTGGGTTCTCAGCACCCGGGGATCTGCTGATCACCTACTCATAGGCCAGGCCCCTATCGAAGTTCTAGGTGACCCAGTGCTGGGGACGGGGGGGCCACCTGCAAGGTCTAATCATGGAGGTGGGGGCTACAGTGTTGGCTTGTGCTGGGGCCAGCATCCTTAGGAAGGCATCTTGGAGGTGGAGGAGACAGCCGCCCACTTCTTGATTGGGGCCTTCAGCAGCACCAGCTTCTTGGGCAGGCTGGTGCTGGCTTTCATCACCATGTCGTGTTCAATCTTCTTCCAGATCCTGACTTCTAGGTTCAGCTTTCCTCAGACCCTGGTTCCTTTCAGAGGCCATTGCTGCTGCCTTGCTCTTTGCTGGCTTGTGCCTTGATTATATGTCTTTGTACAACTTTTTGTTTTCCTGGAGTTAATCTTCACATCTGTTTTCTTGGAGTTAATCGTTACCTCTATATCGCTTGCTTATTATTCTTTGGCCTTTTTGTCTTCTCACACCTTCCAACTTCTTTGTAATATGTGTTTAGTACAATTTTTCATGACAGGTAGTTTACTGAATCAGTTTTTCCCCAGTGTGGTCATCCAACTTGAGTTATCCAGCTCTCTGCCCCAGTCTGGGCAGGTTGATCTTCAGGTCTGTAGTACACTTGTATCCTAGGACTTCTCTTTGCCATTAGCCTGGAATTTCCTTTGCAGTTCTCCCGTTGGATGCCCAGTTCCTAGATGCCATATGTTTTTCTATCGTCTAGTAGCTTCCTGAGAGAAGATGAATGGGAGGGAAATTGTATGAGGTTTTGCATTCATAAAAATGCCATTTTTTTTCCTGTACACTTGGCTGGGTATGGTGTTCTGGGGTAGAAATCATTTTCCCTCAGAAATGCAAAGTCTTTGCCCTGTTGTCTTAAAATCTCCAACGTGACCCGATTCCTTAACCTATGAATGTACTTTTCTTTGGAAGCTTTCCATTTTTGGGGAGGTGAAGTGCTAGGTACTTAGTAGGCCTTTTAATTTGGAAACTTACATCCCTTCAGTTCTGGGAAAATTTTCTTAACATTTCTCTGAGAAGTTCTTGCCTTTTATTTTCTGTGTTCTCTCCTGAAATTGGTTAGTTGGATGTTGGTCCTCCTAGATTGACTCACATCTTACCTTTTTCTTTTCTTTTTCTGGTACTTTTTAGATATCCATCTCAAACTCTTCTATTCATTGTTATGTTTTTAACTTCTTTCTTTTCTTTGTCTCTTGATGGGGTCTTGCCCTGTTGCCCAGGTTGTGGTGCAGTGGTGCGATCATAGCTCACTGCAGCCTCAAATTCCTGGGCTCAAGCAGCTGTTCTGCCTCACCCTCCCAAGTAGTTGGGACTACAGGTATGCACCACCACGTCCAGCTATTTTCTTTACTTTTTTTTTTTTTTTTTTGAGATGGAGTCCTACTCTGTCGCCCAGGCTAGAGTGCGGTGGTGGGATTTTGGCTCACTTAAGCCTCTGCCTCCCAGGTTCAAGCAGTTCTCCTGCCTCAGCCTCTCAAGTAGCTGGGATTACAGGTGTGCACCACCATGCCCGGCTAATTTTTGTATTTTTAGTAGAGCCAGAGTTTCACCATGTTGGCCAGGCTGGTCTCGAACGCCTGACCTCAGGTGATCCGCCTGCCTTGGCCTCCGAAAGTGCCGGGATTACAGGCGTGAGCCCATCATTAGATCTTTAAATACCAGTATCTATAAGTCTTTTCCTCTTGAGTCAGCTAGTATCCCTGGAAGGAAATTACTCATTTTCCTGCTTGGAGGCTATAAGCTTGGCTATGTTTATCCTGCAACCGGGGACTGGAAGGGAGGGGACTGACAGTGTTGCTGGTCAGGGTGCCCTCTTACTTTTTGTTTTCTGTGTGCATCTCACGTCTGTCCTCAGCCTATGTAAACACCTCTTGAGATTATCCCTCTCAATCTTTGCCGGAGGTGGGGGAGGGGCTGCTTCCTGGGCTGCCTTGGATTGGAGGGAAGACCTCAGGTGAGTGGGTGGGAATTTGCCCAAGGAGCCATGAGACCAGCCACTATTTCACCCTCTCCATCCCTCCACTTTCAGATGTATGTGGCGCCTCCAAAGCCCGAGCTCTTCTTGGCGTCTGTGGCTTCAATAAGCTTGCTTTTTGCTGGTATCCCTCCTACCCTCCCCTGTCCCCAGCAAAGCTTGCATTTGAACTTCTTCCTACGGGCTAACAAATCAGTCAGTTATGTAGCTCTTGTTACTTTTTAGCTTCCGAAGTTTTGTTGACACCCGTAGTCTGCTAATGTCCCTGTTCTGTTCTTTCTGTTCGTGTAAATATATGCTTTATACAACTTCTTTACATGATTTTTGTGGGGTTTCTGGGTAGCAGAGCTTCACAAGTTCAATCCAGCGTGTTGGATTAGAAATCTCCCACCCTCTGGTTTATTCTTATTCTCAAAATTACCTGCCAAACACTGATACTCCCTTGTTTTTCCTTTTCCTGACAGGAAATGTACATACCATACAGGACAGAAATCATTAGTGTATCCCTTGGTGAATAACCACAAAGTGAACTTAACCCTTGTAACCGCCACCCAGGTCAAGACAGAATATTACCAAGCACTCAGAAGCCTCTCCCCTATTCCCCCGTCACTGCTCCTGCCTTCCTCCCCAAGGTCATGACTGCTGGCTTCTAATTCCAGAGTCTGTTTTTAAATTCTGTGTACATAGACCATGGATTAAGTGTTCTTTTTGTCTGGTTTATTTTGGTCGACATTAAGTTCATGAGAGTCTTCTATATTATCGTGTGTATTAGTATTCCTGTAGTTTTAGGAGCTTCATAGCATTCCATTGTAGGGATATACCACAGTTTATTCATTGTATTATCACTGGGTTGTTTCTAGTTCTTGGCTATTGCGAGCAGTGCTACTGTGACCACTCTTAGGTGTGTCTTTTGGAGTACATGTGCAGGTTTCCATCTTGCACAGCTAGAGGTGGAGTTGTTGGGTGATAGGGTGTGTGCATCTCAGCTGCAGTAGAAACTGCCAAATAGCTTTCCTTGAGTGCTTGTACCAGCTCACCCTTTTGCCACTGTGTATGGGGATTCCAGGAGCTCTGGTCCTCGCTAGCACTTGGAATTGCTGATGCTTTTACTCTTAGCCTTCCTGATGGGTGTTTTCTGGAATCACATTATGATTTTAATTTCCATTCCTTAAAGTACCCTTGGCTCTGAAGTTTAATGATTCATGCATCTCTTCCCTTTTGAAGTACTCTTACAGGTATGTTGTGCATGTGTTGAAAAGTGGCACTATCTATTCTAAAATACAGTATGCCTCCTCTGTGTTTGAACAGTTGTAGCGTGGCCTTGGGGCCTCCTGTTAGCTGGCTTGGAGAAGGGATTCTTGGGATTGTAGAGATTAGACCTGAGGAGGCCCCTTGGAGCTCTCTGACTAAATTTTATTCTTTATTATTCCAAACTATTTAAGCTCACCGTGTGCTGACTCATCATAATAATGAGTAGCTCTCATTGTGCTTGTCTATTTGGACTCATACAATGATTTTTTTTTTTTCTTTGAGACAGAGTCTTGCTCTGTTGCCTAGGCTGGAGTGCAGTGGCACAATCTCGGCTCACTGCAGCCTCCACCTCCCAGGTTCAAGTGATTCTTGTGCCTCAGCTTCTCAAGTAGCTGAGACTGCAGGTGCGTACCACCATGCCTGGCTAATGTTTGTATTTTTAGTAGAGACGGGGTTTCACCATGTTGGCCAGGTTGGTCTCAAACTCCTGACCTCAAGTGATCTGCCTTCTTCAGCCTCCCAAAGTGCTGGGATTACAGGTGTGAGCCACTGAGCTTGGCCAAAGTAGTTTTTTAAGATGTTAGTATCTTTTCTTGCAGCTAAAAAAGTTTGTCAGAGATGATTCTACTTTGTTCTCCAGGTGTTTTCTCAGGGAGAAATTGGAGGCAGTAAGCCACTGGGGGAGTCCTGTGGCTGGGGGGTGGGGTAGTCCTGTGGCTCCTTGTCAGGGAGTCCTGTGGCTGGCAAGGAGAGAAGTCCTGTGGCTGGGTTGGGAGGGAGTCCTGTGGCTGGGGTCTCATCCTGTGCCTAACAGTGTCCAGAGGTGCCGAGACCAGCTCAGTCGGGGAGACCCTAACCCAGCAGCGCTAGAGGAATTAAAGACACACACACAGAAATATAGAGGTGTGAAGTGGGAAATCAGGGGTCTCACAGCCTTTAGAGCTGAGAGCCCTGAACAGAGATTTACCCACATATTTATTAATAGCAAACCAGTCATTAGCATTGTTTCTATAGATGTTAAATTAACTAAAAGTATCCCTTATGGGAAACGAGGGGATGGGCCGAATTAAAAGAAGAGGTTGGGCTAGTTAACCGCAGCAGGAGCATGTCCTTAAGGCACAGATCGCTCATGCTATTGTTTGTGGCTTAAGAATGCCTTTAAGCGGTTTTCCACCCTGGGTGGGCCAGGTGTTCCTTGCCCTCATTCCTGTCAACCCACAACCTTCCAGTGTGGGCATTAGGGCCATTATGAACATGTTACAGTGCTTCAGAGATTTTGTTTATGGCCAGTTTTGGGGCCAGTTTATGGCCAGATTTTGGGGGGCCTGCTCCCAATACAGAGGTCTCGTGTAAATTCCCTGGGAGGCGATAAGCCTCTGAGAAACAGACTATGCTAACCACGCCATGAAAGAGAAACTTATTTATAAATCAGATGCCAGTTACTAGTTTACTGCTTATTTGCCCAGGCGTAGCTCTGACAGAGTCCCCGACTCATAGTGCTTGCTCAGTGCATGCTGAACAATGATTGGAATCAAGTCATGGCTCAGAGCATAGTTTTGAATAATGGGAAATGGATGTTCTTAAGTAACATAGTCACCAAGATAATGCGACTAGCTGGGTCACCCCTTTTCAATTTTAGGATATTTTTATCAAGATTTAAATGGCCATCATTAGAGTTATAGCACTTTCTCCTTTGGATTGTCCTAGAGGCCCATGAGAAAGTATTCCCTAATTTCTTAGGAGAACAGTTTGTGGGTAGTATGCGGTCATGTCCAGTTAAATTGCAGATATTTCCGATCGAAGATGTTCCAGTCCTGAGAACTTCGTGACATTAGCAGGACTTCTACAAGCCATCTCTTAGGGTGGGGCATTTACTGCAGTTGGCTAGTACTCTTTTCTCCTTAACTTTGTCATTTGTTGATTTTTTTTTAACTGTCCCCAAATACTGTGGGCAGAGTGTATCTAGAATTGAGGCCTCCACCATTGCGGAGAGGACATGGATGCTGAGCAGTCCCCTGAGTGAAGGTTATAAAGAAGCAAATAGACTACACATGTCTGTAAACTGCTCTTGAGTGTCCCAAATTTGGGGTACTTCAGTTCAGCTGTAGGAAAAGCCTCAAACTGTTTATACTTTGCAAGAATTGGAAACTTCTAATTCACGTTAAGTTTTATGTAATACATGATAAGCTTCATAGGAGCTTCATCTTTTATCTACTTGGACTTTTGCTTCCGTAGGTTTTGTTAAAGGCCTTCATAGCGAACCTGAAGTCAAGCTCCCCCACCATTCGGCGGACAGCGGCTGGATCAGCAGTGAGCATCTGCCAGCACTCAAGAAGGACACAATATTTCTATAGTTGGCTACTAAATGTGCTCTTAGGTAAGGTGGAGGCATATGAGTGGAAGAGTCTCCAGCATGTACTCAAGATAGACCTTTGAAATAAATAAAACCAGATGATCCCTCAGCTTCTAGACCAGGCTATTTGGCACTGGTTGATTGAATGTGAACTGCACTGGGGCTGCTGTGAGCCCGCATGGGTCTCTGTGACCCTGCAGATGCAGCCGTGCCCAGGGACTGGGCAGTGGGTGTGGGCTGGTGTGAGCCCTGTCTGCCACCCAGGGCCTGGCCCTCTGTCTGTGTCGGCCATGACTATGGTGAGTCTTGTAGGCTTGAGACTGTGCCTCGGGTTCCTGCGGGTTCTCTGTAGGTCAGTTGACAGTTTCTCCTGTTGTTTGGGTAACTGTGGAAACGAACACTGGCAAGTGCTGAAGCGAGCATGTGGACGTGCGATATGAAATAACGACCTGGCTTTCAAAGGCAGTGAGGCTCTCTGGAAAGGACCTTGCTGAGCTAGGGATGTGGGTGTGTAGCCATTCCCAGTGGGCCTCATGGCGTACTCGTTCATGATCATGTTTGTGCCATCTTGATCTCTCAGGATCTCTTCTTTTTTAACAGATTAAGCCGGGAATCTCCAAACAGTGAGTCAGATGTTAAGATGTCTTGCTTCCACCCCCACAGGCTTACTCGTTCCTGTCGAGGATGAACACTCCACTCTGCTGATTCTTGGCGTGCTGCTCACCCTGAGGTATTTGGTGCCCTTGCTGCAGCAGCAGGTCAAGGACACAAGCCTGAAAGGCAGCTTCGGAGTGACAAGGAAAGAAATGGAAGTCTCTCCTTCTGCAGAGCAGCTTGTCCAGGTAGGAGCACAGGGTTTACTCTAGGCCCTGCATGTGAATGACTGACATTCAAAGAACCGATTAATTTGGAAGAGAAGCGGCAGAACCGAGAGTTAGAGGTGTGGACTCTGGAGCTGCGCTGCTCGTTTCCAACCCTAGGTGCTGACCTCTAGCTGTCTTCCCTCTGTATGTCCCTGTCACCGTGAGTCAAATGCGGGTGATGCCTCCTCAGGTGCCGTGTTACCTAAGCCTCTCAGAGACCACTGCTACCCTGTTTCTAAAACCAGAGGTCACGATATGTGTTCATCCACCCAGTAAATACTGATTGAGCACCCACTGTGTGCTAGGCTCTGGGATAGGGGCTGGGTATACAATGGTGAGTATTTCAGCTGCAGCTTCTGCCCCGTGGAGGCTGTGGCCTAGCACACTGGTCTAGGCACGGTGGTATATGCTCACTCAAGGAGATAGGGACGTGGTCGTTTGGGGTGTCGGAACAAAATGTCGGAACTTCTCTTTCCAATGCAGAGAAACCTTGCAGTAATTCTAATGTACTGTGATTGGCAGTTGACTTCAGTTCTTTGTAGCACGCTTACTCAGGTTATTTCACTAACTATGTAACCATGCAGCCTCATTTTAAGCAATTGGATTTTTTGAACTTTACTTAAAATGTTATGTCAGGGTTTTTATTGTGCTTAATGTGTGCCATTTAGCTAAGTTTTGTAGGATACGAAATTGTAAGTGGCTTAAAATGATTCTTAATAGAATCATGAATTGAAGATAATGCTAATAATTTAAGCACTGAGTTAGGTAGTGTTTGTAAAATGCTTAGAATGCTTCCTGGCACATGTTAAGGCCATGTAAGTGCTGCGTGTTGATAAACAGCTGAGCAAAAGTGGACTCTTAAGAAAGTATTGGGGCTGAGAGTTCTGTTCCAACCAGCTGCCCTTTGGTTATTTTTCAGAATAAAAGCAGAGTCTCATGGGATATGACATTTATATTTCCTTCACAAAAAACACTGCTGAGTGTTTTGTTGAGTAAAAAGGGTGTAGCCATGGTAATAATACATTTAAAATATAGTTTATTTCATCTTTACCTTGCCTTGTTTTTTTTTTAAGCTAGCTTTTTATTGAGAATTCCACACATACAAAAGTATCAACTCATGACCAGTTATATTTCATTTATAATCCTACTTCTCCCTTTTTTTATTATTTGAAAGCAAACCCCAATTATCCTCTTATTTCATCTATAAGTATTTCAGTATCTCTATAGATGAGGACTCTTCTTTATTTTTAAAACTTTATTTTTAAAATGATGGTCAGATGCAGTGTTCATGCCTGTAATCCCAGAACTTTGGGAGGCCAAGCTGGGCGGATCACTTGAACCTGGGAGTTTGAGACCAGCCCGGGAAACATGGCGAAACCCCATGTCTTAAAGAAAAAAATCAGCCAAGTGTGGTGATGCATGCCTGTAGTCCCAGCTACTTGGGAGGCTGAGATGGGAGGGTCACATGAGCCTGGAAGATCAAGGCTGCAGTGATCCATGATTGTACCACTGCACTCCATCCTGGGTGATGGAGCAAGATTCTGTCTCAAAAAAACAAAACTGCAAAACAACGTCACAAAACAGTGCCATTGTTAGACCTGAAAATATTAAACATTTCCTACATCAAATACCCACCAACTCATTATCAATTTTTCTCTCTACTCTTTTGGAATCAGCATCTAAATAAAATTGGTCGATAAGGATTGTAAATCTCTTTGATGAACTGGTTCCCCTCCATCCCAGTTTTTTTCCCTTAGAGTTCATTTATTGAGAAACCAGATTGTTTGTCTTCTAAGTTTTCCTGTGGTCTGATATACTGCTTCCATCTCCACTGTGTAAATTAACACCTTTTTCTCTTCTCTGTATTTCCTGTAAATCAATAATTGGAGGAAAAGCCTTGTCAGATTTAGTGTATATTTTATATCTGAGTCCAGTATTTCTTATATAATATTTTAAGATAAGTGTACTCTTTTAAAAAGTATTGAAACTATATGCTCAATTTTTTTTAACTGATGCTTTTAAGAAGGCTGCTTGATCATAAAAGTTTAGAGATCATTGGTCTGATGGGAAAAGCAAATAATTACTAAACCGTTTAGCAAGGTTGAGGTGCACATGGTGGGGCCTGGAGAAGTTCAGTCATGAGCCGTCACTTATGGGCACGTGGAATCTGACCCGGCACAGAGTTGGGAGAAGACAGGAGCTTTATAGACAGAAAATGTGGTCTTTGCTAAGTCCCAGGAGTGAAAGGGTGAGACAGTGCTCACAGCACACGAGTGTGGGTGCGTAGACAGAGCAAGGGTGGGTCCTGAAAAGGCCTGCAGGCTTTCTCATAGATTAGCAAGAGTGCTGGTTACGGAGGTTTCTAACATTTGTGAACAGATCGAAACTGTGTTAAATTGGGATTGCAGTAATCCTGGAAGGACAGGGATAGAGGGTGAAGGGGAAAAAAGGGTATGGATGTGAGACTTAATTGCTGATTTTCTTAAGACCTTTCTCCAAAGTAAATAAATGATGTGGCACATTTTTGAACTGGCAAATTCTAAACTCTAGATATGATTATCTCTATAACATATCTTACTCCATCTTCTTTTGACTAAAAACTGTTCTTAATTAAATTACCATGAGACGTTCAATTCAGCAAATGTAGTTTGGCTAACCATATTTAATTAGAATTTAATATAATCCTAGGCCTGGCCAAACTATTAAGCAAGTGTGGGCAAAATATTGATAATTTTAGATATGCAGGAACTTAGTTTGCTTTCCATGTGTGCTTTTCGAAAAAGGAATAAATTGAAAAATAGAGGAAGCCCTGAAATCCAAGAAGCAAACTCTCTCACCTAGGCATGCAGTAAAAGCAATTCTAGGATGATTGCTGTTTGGCGCGTAGTTCGTATTAGAAACCATTCTTCTTGAATAAATAGTATGTTTAAGAAGCTGGGCAGAGGGAAGGCATATGCATATATTATCAACAAGGAGGGAGAAAAAGGCAATTAGTAACCATCCATAGGAGGGTCAGCAAGATTTATAAAGGAAATTTGTGATCCAAGTATGAAGCAAAATAAGGTGCAGAATAAATTTTAAGCAAGTAATAGATTAGAGTAAGAGAACCCATTTGACCATTAACCTTGGGACATTCTCTTTCAAATGACATGGAGTAGTACTGAAATCTTTCTTTCTTTCTGAGTCTAGGTTATTGTGACTGGACTCAGAAAGAAATATTTCATTATTGCAGTGAATAACATTTGTGAACATTATTGTTCATAAATTATGCAGTGAATAACATTTATGAACACGTGATGTGTAAGATACATACTGTTTATTTTTAGTTAAGTTTTTTGGCTCAACTTCTAGGCAGAGAACATTAAATGTAAATAGTGTTACCTAGGAGCATGTAAATGGAAATCTCCATAGTATGAAAGCAGTGCTGTTGCTAACAGAATTTAGGAGGGGGCAGATGAGGTGAAGGAAATGTGGGTGCTGATTTCCTTATTACATTGAGAGGAGCCAGGAGATTCTTTGTTCAAAATGGATGGCTTAAGAAGTCAAAGTATAAGCTGATTACGTAGAGCAGGTACCCAAAAATGTTTTGTGTAAGGGGCCAGATAGTAAATATTTTCAGTCTTGCAGGCCATCCCAAGTCTGTGGCAGCTACTCAACACTACCTTTGTAGCATGAAAGCAGCCACAGGCAGCCCATAAATGTGGCTCTGTTCCGGTGAAACTTTAGGTACAAAAGCAGGTGCAGGCCAGACCTGACCTGTGCACTGTGGTTTGCTGACCTGGGATTCAGGGGTATAGAAGTTACCATCAGAAGAGCTAAAAGTGAGACTTTTTACTTTATACTCTTCTACACTGTCTGATTTTGAAAAAAAGAAACATGTATTTTATAATATTAAAGATAGGGTTGGCAAATAGCAAATAAAAATACAGAATACCAGTGAAATTTGAACTTCAGATACATTATGAGTAATTTTATGGTGTAAGTATATTCCAAATCATGTGGGACATACTTACACTACAAAATTATTTGTTGTTTGTTTACAGTTTAAATTTGAGTGCCTTGTATTTTATCTGGCAACTGTAATTAAAGGGAAAAAGAATAAATTCATTATGTTCATATAATGTGATATAGCAGGGGTCCCCAACCCCCAGGCTGCAGAGTGGTACTGGTCCATGGGTCCCCAACCCCCAGGCTGCAGAGCGGTATTGGTCCATGGCCTGTTAGGAACCAGGCTGCCCAGCAGGAAGTGAGCAGCAGGTGAGCTGGCATTCCCACCTGAGCACCGCCTCCTGTCAGATCAGTGGCAGCATTAGATTCCCATAGGAGTGCAAACCCTATTGTGAACTGCACATGTGAGGGGTCTAGGTTGTGCGCTCCTTATGAGAATCTAATGCCTGATGATCTGAGGTGGAACAGTCTCGTCTTGAAACCATCCCCTGGCCCTGTGGAAAAATTGTCTCCCATGAAACCAGTCTCTGGTGCCAGAAAGGTTGGGTAGCACTGTGATATAGTATTAAAAGTGCTAATAAATATGGCATACTGCCTTTAAAATGTCTGGTAGCTCTTTCTCAGTGGCACTCATAATAGTGTTTTTTGATTTTTAAATGTGTGTCAAGCTGACTCTCCCCTCCGTGTATGCTGGGCTTTATTTTCCCTTTCCTAGTCACCAGTTTTGGGAAATAGAGATCTTCATTCTCATGCTGCTCCTCTAGTGCAAGTGCTCCATTTATTTTTAAGGAATTAATATAACAAAAAATCATGGGAATTTAGAAAACAACATGGAAGCTAATGATCACATTGGTGGAAGTGATAGGGAAATATTTAGGGGGAGAAGTTAAGGTATAAACTTTGTCAATGAAGTCCTATTAAAAACAACAAAAAAGTGAAGCTTAGGATGCATTTTATAAACTCTGACCAGAACACCTGTGTTTCTCTGTTTCTAGGTTTATGAACTGACGTTACATCATACACAGCACCAAGACCACAATGTTGTGACCGGAGCCCTGGAGCTGTTGCAGCAGCTCTTCAGAACGCCTCCACCCGAGCTTCTGCAAACCCTGACCGCAGTCGGGGGCATTGGGCAGCTCACCGCTGCTAAGGAGGAGTCTGGTGGCCGAAGCCGTAGTGGGAGTATTGTGGAACTTATAGGCAAGTTATTAGCAAGGTCTACTCTTACAATTAACTTTGCAGTAATACTAGTTACACTCTATTGATTATGGGCCTGCCCTGTGCTAAGCAGTCTGCATTCCATCTTCCTTGCCAAAACTTATAATACAAATTTCATCTTTATTTTATAAATAGGGGAGTTGGGCTGGGTGTGGTGGCTCACGCCTGTAATTTCAGCACTTTGGAAGGATCGCTTCAGCCCAGGAGTTTGAGACAACCTGGCCAAGTGAGACCCTGTCTCTACAAAAAAAAAAAAAAAAAAAAAATTAGCTGGGCATGGTGGCACATGCCTGTAGTCCCAGCTGCTTTGGAGGCTGAGGTGGTAGGATTGCTTAAGCCCAAGAGGTTGAGGCTGCAGTGAATCTTGATGGCAGCTGCACTGAGCCTGGTGACAGAGCAAGATGCTGTCTCAAAATAAATTTAAAAATAAAATAAGAGAATTAAAGTTTAGCAGGTTGGGTGGCAAAATGAGGCCACACATTTAAAGCCCCTCCTCCTGATTCTTTTCTCTGCCTTGGCTGCCTCCTGTGGCATTTTAGGTGCTGAGAAATGAAAACAGTAGGGAAAATAGTTCCAGGATCCTCATGTTAATTTGCCAGAAATGGCATCTTCAAGTCGTCAGAGGGATCTGAGAGTTCCTTCCTGGCCTGACTTGAGAAAATCCGTCTGTCCCCAGCTCTGCGTCTGCCTCCACTGCCCAGTCACCTCCTCTCCATGCTCTTGGGGCTGGGCCCTACCCCACCATGCAGTGCTGCCCTGGAGCAGTGAGCTTGGTGGGTCCTGTCTGGCATGAGAGCTGCCTTTGGGAGCTGGATCCCAGCCTCTACCACTGGGTCTGGTGCCTAGCAGGCTATGGATAAACTTCTGCTGACTCCGGCCTCTCCTAAGCCACTGCAACGTGGTCGGTGTAGTGCACAGTGTGTGTGCAGCGTGGCCTTACTCACAGCCTCCACATTAGAGAGAATCTGACTGAAGTCTTACTGCTGCCTCGTGTGAACATAAATGTTTGCCAGAACCATGAGCAGGAAATGTTAATCTGCCTTGTTTCCTGTCCTTTACACGGAAGAATTTTTTTCTGTATGGAATGCGTGCCTTACAAATAATGAGTGGAAATACCCATCGCTAATGAAAAGTTATACTTGACTGTTAGTCAGCTAAATAATCTGAGATTTCTAATACTTTTAATTTGGCTTTTACAATGCAATTTATCTTAGCTTTTTTGATTTCTTAGGTCATATCTTTAGAACTATATATTTGAATGTTAATGTAATTTTCATATTGAAATTAAAATGTTGAACTGCGATGTTAAGTGTTTCCTGTGGAAAAACGTTCACATTTTCTCTAGTTTTAAAGTTGAATCAAGCTGTTTGAAGATTTTCACATTTCTTCTAGATTTTATCAGCTTGTTACTTTATCTGTCACTTTCTGTGATTTGCAGCTGGAGGGGGTTCCTCATGCAGCCCTGTCCTTTCAAGAAAACAAAAAGGTGATTATTTCAGAAATCAGAGTCTTGTGTTGAATCTTACTGATTTTCTTGTATTTCTGTAATGTAATGTATCTTGTATTTCTTGTAATACTGTATTGGACTCTGTGTATATCTCTTCTCAGATGAGTGATTATATGTGTGAATGTTGCTGGAATCTGATAACCAGGCCTGAATAGTTTTGTAGGGTGGCTTTTAAAAATTACTTTCATATCAGAATTGCTTTGTCATAAATTTTGAACGCATCATAAATTTCTAATGTTCGGGGTCAGCAGACTTTTTTTGTAAAGGGACAGAGTGTAAACATCTTAGCTTTATGGGCCATATGGTCTCTTTTGCAACATTCAGCTCTGCCCTGTGACAGGAATGCAGTTGTAAAGACATGAGCTACTGGCCAGCTATGTTCCAGTAGAACTTTACTTACAGAAACAGACAGGCTGTAGTTTGCCAATACCTGCCTTAGGGAATGTGTTGTTATATTTTGTGAGTTACCTTCTCAGTAAATTTTATTTAGTATTAGTCAGGAATATTATTAAGTAGCTTCTTTTCCAGCCTGGTCAACATAGTGAGACCCGGTCTCTACCAAAACAAAACAAAACAAAAAAACAGCCACGCATGTGGCATGTGCCTGTAGCCTCAGCTGCTGCTCAGGGGGCTGAGGCAAGAGGATTGTTTGAGCCCAGGAGTTTGAGGTCACAGTGAGCTGTAGTCATGCCACTGCACTCCAGCCTAGGCAACAGAATGAGACCTTGTGTCTTAAAAAAAAAAAGTTTCCTTTGTTGGGTTATTTTAATTTGGACCTGGTTATCATTTTTCAGCCATATTTAACTTTGTACATATCAGAATGTTCTGATAAAACTTAACTTTTATTAAAGTGTTTGTGATATAATCTGCTAGTTTTGGTACACATTATCTTTTGCAATGCCAGTTATTTTCTTTTCCAGTGTGGGTTTGCATAGGAAAAGAATTGCTGTCACTTTCTATTTTGAAATCTTAAAAGACTGATCCTTTTTTGTGTCATGATTTGAGTATTTAATTGAGAGCCTAATGCCTAATATTATTTGCAGTATTAAATGGGATCTTAACAGGAATAGCATTCTAGCCTTCATTGAATTAAGTAAACATTTCTTAAGAGAACTTGGAATCTATAATATTTGCGTCATCATAGTATGAGATACTTAATCAAGTTTGAGATTTTAGTGAAACATTGTTTAGAAGCCAAAAGGATTCTAGGAAAAATTAATGTCTATATTCTTGAATTAGGAGAGATTTTGGGACGTGTGACTAAGTTACGCTGACACTTGTTTGTTTCTTAGTCGCTTTTTCCAGTGGCGGTGAGAACGAAGATGACTGATTCACATTGCTCAGATGAGTTTATCCTCTTCTGGCTGGGACATGGGATATATCCTGTCTCTTTTAAGCCTTTTTGGTATTTTTCCCCCATTGAGAGCTGTGTCTTCAAACTCTTCTGTTATAGCTGGAAAATCCTTTTTAAGTGAAATCTGCCCAAATTATAAGACAGATGAAGGTAGAGTTGTGTTGGATATAGGATTAGGGTGAAAGTAGTGGGGGTGTCCTGGAGCCTCTCTTCTGGTGGCAGCCTAGCTCTTGTGCCTTTGAGGAAATTACCCTGGGGACGGCTCTGTGGAACATATTTGCAAACCACTGATTTGGAAGATAGAGATGGCTTTTGTTAAGATCTGAATTCACCTTTTTGGCATTTTATTTGATTTCTCAAGGTAAAGAACTTATTTTGTAATAAAGTTTCCTATTATTTAGTAGATAGGCCAAGTTGCTGTGTTAATTCCATGTAGATTTTGGGTTTCCTTTGCTCATTTTTTCACTCTTAATCTCACATCATTGTAAGTTTATGGAAGTTATCATACTTCTGACTTTTTCTTTGAAGAGCAGAAATTAGAAATTCCCAATAATTATTTTGATAGTGTCATTTAATGACACTCACATGTGATGTAGCCACAAAGATTTAATGAGTTCAGTTTTAAATCATATTAAGACTGTTGGTTTCATTTGTTCTCATTAATGTAATTCTGAAGATGAACAATAAAATGTATTTTTAGAACTTTCAAATGAAATATTATTTCATCCTTCCAGATCATATAATGCTTAAGTTCTGATTGTTAATCATAAAGTCTAGAAAATTAAAAGATAATAAAATGAAAGTGACTTTTAGGTATTAGAGTTTTATTATAAATTCTGGTGTGTCATTGGAGCTATGACATGAATATTTCAAAGGCCAATAGCATTGGATCTTTACAGTTATAACTTACCATTTTTAAGTTTAAGTAGTAATATAGATTATTTAATAATCAAAATCAATAAATATTAATTATTAAAATGTTTTGTGGTATAGTTTGAGAATCATTGCTTTTAACTTTTTCCATATAGGTTTATTGACTTTAATAGCATTCTAAACATAACATCTCTACATTCTTTGTGTTTAATACTGTGGAGGTATAAAAATACTTATATATGATGATAAACTATATTAGAGTAAATTAAATATTCTTATGAGTTTCATTTTAGAGTGCATTTACTTAATTTTGAAGTCCTTATTTTTAGCAAACTAAAAGGAATGTTGGTACATTATTTACTAGGCAAAGTGCTCTTAGGAGAAGAAGAAGCCTTGGAGGATGACTCTGAATCGAGATCGGATGTCAGCAGCTCTGCCTTAACAGGTAGTTCTCACTAGTTAGCCGCTGGTGTGGACCTTCACTGTCTGCCTTCCACCCCTTGCCCTTCCTGCTCGTCCCCCTGCACCTGGTGGACAGCACGACTGGGGGCAGCAGTGGAGCCAGGTTGCTTAAATGGGGCATATTCGGGCTTCTTTTATAATACTTACTCTGAAGCTTGTGTGTCTGTGGTGTTTGCATCATATATTTGTTGTTTTCCATGGTTTAGGCTGTTTTAAAATTAGGTTTATGGCTTGAGCATAGGGCTTTGTGAGTAGGGGATGGCAGGTCGAAACATCTCATGAGTTGGATGGGTTATGCTGGGGGTTGGGAAATGGGATGAAAAATTATGGGATGAAAAATTGCCTATGGATAGTTTAACTTGAAAGAATCTGCCTTTGTTTACAGATAGTTATCTTTTTTCTTTTTTGAGATAGAGTCTCACACTGTCACCCAGTGCAGATACCCAGTGTCACTGGAGTGCAGTGGTGTGCTCTTGGTGCACTGCAGCCTCCGCCTTCTGGGTTCCAGCGATTCTCCTGCCTCAGCCTCCCAAGTAGCTGGGACTACAGGTGCCCGCCACCACGCTTGGCTAATTTTTGTATTTTTTTGTGGAGACGGGTTTTTGCCATGTTGGTCAGGCTGGTCTTGAACTCCTGACCTCAAGTGATCTGCCTGCCTCAGCCTCCCACAGTGCCGGGATTACAGGAGTGAGCCACTGTGCCCGGCCAGTTACAGATACTTATCTAATGAAATTCTCTGTGTACTTTATAAAAGATGAGGATTAACTGAAGGTACTAATAACTGGATTATATGAGGGTGGTTTTGGTTGTATAATCCTATCTAAAAGAATATTTTAGCTATAACTGAAAGTAAGACTTAAATATTTAGAGAGGAAAATCTGAATAATTCTAGTAGTAATTATTTATTTACAAAATAAAAATAGATTTTTTTTTGATTACACAAATTAAACAACAATAAAACATCACAGCAATCCGGATACTATAAAGCTCACATGCTTACCGACCCAACTGCCCCAGGAGTGACCACTGCCAACAGCTTCATGTCGACCTTTTTGCCATAATTTTTATATAGCCTTTTTTGTTTTTAAATGGTAATTTAGAAAGTCAACTAGGAAAATGTGTTACAGGTTTATCTTCCAGGAGAATAGGACTGGAGTCGAGATCTTGAATGTGGCTTGGAAGAAGGCAAGCCCACCCCAGAGAGATGAGTTGACAGTTGTTTCTGACCACTGCTTGCTTAGAGGGCCTGCGTGTCTGTGACCGCCTAGCTTTGCGCCCCTGACTAGGCTGCCCCTTAATTACAAATGTCTTTATATATTGCTCCAGCTAAGGCTTGGAGTAGTCGGTTAAGAACTTGAACTTCGGTTTTTGCAGTGAAACAGCATTTGAGAATATCACCTTCTGATAAGCCTTATTTTATAAGGTGGGTACTGTAGTGGGAGGCAGTGTGAGAGATGCTTGAAGGATGCACTGCTGTCCTGCATTTCAGCATCTTCAGGATGCTGTGCAGCTGAAACATTTGATAACGGTGGAACTGTTCGTTATTTTGCAAGCCTGTGATTCCCTATTGAATGTTTTCTCTCGCCATTTGACAAATGAGTGTTTCTCTGTCTTCAGCCTCAGTGAAGGATGAGATCAGTGGAGAGCTGGCTGCTTCTTCAGGGGTTTCCACTCCAGGGTCAGCAGGTCATGACATCATCACAGAACAGCCACGGTCACAGCACACACTGCAGGCGGACTCAGTGGATCTGGCCAGCTGTGACTTGACAAGCTCTGCCACTGATGGGGATGAGGAGGATATCTTGAGCCACAGCTCCAGCCAGGTCAGCGCCGTCCCATCTGACCCTGCCATGGACCTGAATGATGGGACCCAGGCCTCGTCGCCCATCAGCGACAGCTCCCAGACCACCACCGAAGGGCCTGATTCAGCTGTTACCCCTTCAGACAGTTCTGAAATTGTAAGTGGGCAGAGGGGCCTGACATCTTTTTTTTTATTTTTTATTTGAGACAGAGTCTCACTCCATAGTGCAGTGGAGGCCGGGCACAGGGGCTCATGCCTGTAATCCCAGCACTTTGGGAGACTGAGGCAGGCGGATCACTTGAGGTCAGGAGTTCGAGACCAGCCTGGCCAACATGGTGAAACCCTGTCTCTACTAAAAATACAAAAATTAGTTGGGCGTGGTGGCACATGTCTGTAGTCCCAGCTGTTAGGGAGGCTGAGGCAGGAGAATTGCTTGAGCCTGGGAGGCAGAGGTTGCAATGAGCCGAGATCGTGACACTGCACTCCAGCCCGGGCAACAGAGCAAGACTCCATTTCAAAAAAAATAAAAAAATAAAGTGCAGTGGCTCGTTCTCAGCCCACTGCAACTTCTGCCTCCCAGGCTCGAGCGATTCTCCCGCCTCAGCCTCCTGAGTAGGTGGGATTACAGGTGGGCACCACCACACTCAGCTAATGTTTGTATTTTCAGTAGAGACAGGGTTTCACCATGTTGGCCAGGCTGGTCTCAAACTCCTGACCTTAGATGATCCACCCACCTTGGCCTCCTAAAGTATTGGGATTATAGTTGTGAGCCACCATGCCCGGCCCTGCCACCTGCCATCTTTTGAGTTCTTCCCTGGAGACCTAGACCTGAACCCTCCTGCTTGTTCTCTTGTTATCTAATACCCCTATTGACAGCGCAGCTTAGATCATTAATGGAGAGCTTGACCTCATCTGATACCTTCACTGAAGGAAACAACTTAGTGTCTTTTGTGTTGAACACTGAGGTAAAAAATTGGAATAGTTGATTATATGAACTCTGCTAAAATTGAGTGCATTTTACATTTTTTAAGGCCTTGTTGGGCCCTGGTTAAATAATTATTTTTAAAAATCCTTAAGGAGCCTATTATAAACAGATCTGTGGTCTTAATGAAATGTGATTAATACTGTGCATTATTTTAAGAACTTTTGACTTTTCAAAAAACTTTTACAACATTTCCCATTTGATAGCGGCATAGGTTTAAGCACTTCTCATCTCTAAGTTAGTGGACAAAAAACCCTCATGGATAGTCTAATAATGTTTGCTACAAGTCCATGTTGAGTTTTATACTCCATTTTATTTTCAGTTTTAAAAACTGTGGTTAAATATGTGTAACATAAAATTTATGTTCTTAACCATTTTTTGCGTATACAGTTCGCTGGTATTAAATACATTTAAATAATGTCATGGAATCATTGCTACCACCCATCTCTGTAACCTTTTGATCATGTAACACTGAAGCTCTGTTCCCATTGAACTCTATTCCTCCTTTCCCGCCAAGTCCCTGGCAACCACGATTCTTCTTTCTGTCTTCTGAATTTGACTACTTTGGGTTCTCATATACTTTAGGAGTCACACAGTATTTGTTTTACTTAGCATAATGTCCCCAAAGCTCATGCATGTTGTAGCCTATGTTAGAACTTCCTAATGTTTCAGGCCAAATACTATTCCATTGTATGGATAGGCCACATTTTGCTTTTCCATTCCTCTGTCCATGGACACTTGTATTGCTTCATGTTTTAGCCATTGTGAATCATGCTGTTATGAACGTGGGTGTACAGATAGCTCCTGGAGACTCTGCTTTCCATTTTTTTGGCTAAATACCCAGAAATGGAGTTGCTTTTACATTCCAATTTTAATTTAAAACATTCATATCATTGAGTGTTTTACTTAATAGTATAGTAGTTAACAAACTTAATAAAATAGTATTTTGGTAATAATTTGCTGGTAGTCCATTGTTCAGTTTTTTTAGGTAAATTACACAGGACATTTCAAGTGGACATGAAACATCTTGTGATGTGGAATCATGCCCCAAGCTGATGGCTAAACATATGAAATACCATACCCTAAATTTAGTAGATTTAGTCTTTGCAATTTAGGAGATAACCTGTTATATTGTTAGGTTTTTGTCGAAAAGCTTTGTCCTCATATTTCCAACTTGCTGTAAAATTTGTTTGTGAAGACAAATATTTTTGTATGGGTTTTTTCTTTTTCATATTAAAAAGAAATGTCCACATTGGAATTTTTTTGGAGTTTTTAGAGCTAATAGAGCTTTTCATAATGTAGTGGGAATGAGTGATCAGTAAGCTCTTAGCAGTTTCCATGCGTGCATTTCTGTGCCTTGAAATAAATGACAGATGAGTACATTTGTGTTCTGTGTGTAAAATGTGCTCTTTCCTCATTGCACTTCCATGTTGGAGGGCTTGTCTCTTGGTGATCACACTTCAAAATTCTCACAGCCCCCCTTGAACCGTTTAGGTGTTAGACGGTACCGACAACCAGTATTTGGGCCTGCAGATTGGACAGCCCCAGGATGAAGATGAGGAAGCCACAGGTATTCTTCCTGATGAAGCCTCGGAGGCCTTCAGGAACTCTTCCATGGGTATGTGGACTACAGGTGATGCGCTACAAAGTGGTTTGTATTCAGACCTGGACATCTTAATTATATCTTTGCTTCCAAGAAGAAGTCCTTTGATACTGTTTTCTGAGTTCTGAATAGCTGATGAAAATGACCAATTGAGGAATAATCATACTTTTTCTTGATCTAAATCTTATACTTTTGAGTTATCTTAGCATAAATGTATAATTGTATTTTAAGTGGAAATTTGTCACTTA
Organism: Homo sapiens; assembly: GCF_000001405.40. Classification (NCBI taxonomy): domain Eukaryota; kingdom Metazoa; phylum Chordata; class Mammalia; order Primates; family Hominidae; genus Homo; species Homo sapiens. The sequence continues at coordinate 3,130,281 of NC_000004.12, forward strand.
ATCTTGATTTCTCTGTTTTTAAAGCCCTTCAACAGGCACATTTATTGAAAAACATGAGTCACTGCAGGCAGCCTTCTGACAGCAGTGTTGATAAATTTGTGTTGAGAGATGAAGCTACTGAACCGGGTGATCAAGAAAACAAGGTGAGGGACATAGGCTTGAGACGACTTGGTGTTTCTGAGCTTGTGTGAGGATTTAAAATCGCCCTGGCTACTGTCTACTTTATTGCTTTCCCATCCCTGGGCCTTTAAATTTCCCCTTTAAATACCAGCTCTTCCCAGGCCTGTTGTTTTCTGCCTTTCCAGGTACTACCCACAGCCTTGAGAATTGCCTGAGTTCTGCCTCCTTTGAGAGTGTGCCCCAGACAAATCTATTCTGTACTGAATGTTTCCTTGTCTGATTTCTTGGATCATTCATTTGATGGTTGCGTATGGCCTGCAACGTTTCTTGTTTTGGTTCTACTGAACTGTTCTAAAAGTCTCTCTTCATATTATCTTTTTACATGTAAATGTAACTGTCTTCACTTTTAATTCCTCAAGGACAAGGAATAGCGTTTCACAGTTCGTCCCATCAATCAGAATTATAGCCTTTGGCATCTCCCTATCTACCAGGCCCACTTCCTCTTAGATTTGGGCTTCCCCAGGCTGTTGCCTTTCCCCAAGTAGCTTCTGCTTGTCCTGTAGAAGACCTTTCATGCTTTGCTTCTGCAGCAGCCGTTCCTGAATGCCTAGTGTCAACTGCCTTCTTACCACGCCCACCCTCCCTGCATGCTGCATTTATCCCCTGCCACAGCCCTGTGACCCTGTGTCCTGCTGCCTCTGACTTGTCTGTTTCTGCTTGGCCATGGTCTCTGTGAGGTCAGGTGTGCATATGGGCACAAACCAGGGCATCTCTTTATCCCCAGCACCTGGCTTAAGTGCTGCTCTGGAACTATCTGTTGAATGAACTAATGCATGAATGTATTGTTGAGTATGAGACAAACAAGTGTCATTGTCTCCTTTCTAGCCTTGCCGCATCAAAGGTGACATTGGACAGTCCACTGATGATGACTCTGCACCTCTTGTCCATTGTGTCCGCCTTTTATCTGCTTCGTTTTTGCTAACAGGGGGAAAAAATGGTGAGTACAAAAGGGGATGTGCACAGTTGAAGGAAATAACTAGGTTTCAGAGGTCAGCTTGGTGGCCTGTTTTTGCCTTGCGTGCAGCAGAGGAAGTAGAATCTGAGGATGAGTTTGGTTTTCACTAGCCGAGGGGAGGGAGGAAATGATGGGAGCAGGTAGGTTATTGGGTCTGGTTTTGTTCATTTGAAAACAATCTGTTGTTTGAGGCTGAAGGTGGCTTGGGTGATTTCTTGGCAGTGCTGGTTCCGGACAGGGATGTGAGGGTCAGCGTGAAGGCCCTGGCCCTCAGCTGTGTGGGAGCAGCTGTGGCCCTCCACCCGGAATCTTTCTTCAGCAAACTCTATAAAGTTCCTCTTGACACCACGGAATACCCTGGTATGTTAAAAGTTCACATCTTATTTTCTCAGATTTAATCATTATTGTAAAAACTATTTCAGTATTGACTATTTTAGTTTTAGAGCAGTAAGTGTTTTGAGTTCATTTGGGATATTTGACCTGCGTTGTAGCTCTTCAGAAAACACATGAATAGTGAAGTTCTTTGTTTCATGGGTTCCCTTTAGATGAAACCCATAGAGGAGAAAAGTAGAAACCTCAGCACGTAAGAGCCAACATATATACACATCGGATTTAAACCTAAAGCACAAATTGTGCCTGGTCGCAGTGGCGCTGAGTCGCACTCAGCCAGGCCAGGCATTCACACTCAGGGTGAGTGGGAACCAGGACTGGCTGAGGCAGCAGTGGACCCAAGTCTCCATCGCGCCCATGCTTACTATGGAGCCTTCTCGTTCTCTCTTTTTCTTTGGGTGAGAGGGTACACTTGTGTTTTTGAATTTATATGAGGTAAGTGTGTAATAGGGTTTTTTCTAATCTTTTTTAAGTGGAATCTGGAATTTTAATCAGATTTATTATCTGACAACCTAGAATTATAATCCAGAAAGTCTGTGGTATTGAGGACATATTGGCAATATGATGAATCTCTAATTCTTAAATCCTGAAACTTTTTTTTTTTTAATCACTTAGGGTTATTATAGTGAAGTCATTTCTGAATTTGGATCTTCTCTTCACACCTCTTTTTCTCTTTCCTGAGAATTAAGCTTTTGTTTCGAGTTAGAAAGTTGATAGTAGGGAATTGTTCCATGGCTGAGCAATTTATCTCCACAGAGGAACAGTATGTCTCAGACATCTTGAACTACATCGATCATGGAGACCCACAGGTTCGAGGAGCCACTGCCATTCTCTGTGGGACCCTCATCTGCTCCATCCTCAGCAGGTCCCGCTTCCACGTGGGAGATTGGATGGGCACCATTAGAACCCTCACAGGTAACGGCCAGTTTTTCAGCTGTGTTTTTTCTAGTTATGCTTACTAAGGTTTAAGTTTAGATGATGATGTTTGTTGCTTGTTCTTCTGGTTAGGAAATACATTTTCTTTGGCGGATTGCATTCCTTTGCTGCGGAAAACACTGAAGGATGAGTCTTCTGTTACTTGCAAGTTAGCTTGTACAGCTGTGAGGGTGAGCATAATCTTCTGTGGAACCATTTCTTCACTTAGTGGACATTTTATCATTGCTACAATTAAAATTGGAGCTTAATAGGAAATATTTCCATGCACTCTAAAGCTGTAACCAGTAATACCCACCATGTATCCATCTCTCAGCTTTAGAAAGAAAACGTTGCCAGTAAAGTTAATGCTTCATAAACTTCAGTTTAAGTTCTAATTCTCAGAATATTTGTTTGAAATAGACCTCTTCCTAAAGGATATATTTAGAAATAACCTATCATTAAGTGTAAAGTCTGTTGAATATGCTGGGCACGGTGACTCACACCTGTAATCTGACCACTTTGGGAGGCCAAGGTGGAAGGATTGCTTGAGCCCAGGAGTTCAAGACTATGGGCAACATAGTTGACCCTGTCCCTACAGAAAATTAAAAAAAAAAAAAAAAAAAGTAGCTGGGTATGGTGGTGCATACCTGTAGTCTCAGCTACTCGGGAAGCTGAGGTGGAGGGGGGATTGCTTGAGCCCCAGAGATCAAGGCTGCAGTAAGGCGTGGTTACACCACTGCCCTCTAGCCTGGGCAACAGAGTGAGACTGTCTCAAAAATAATAGTAATAATAATCAGTTGAATTAAAAAAAAAAAAAAAAAAACCACTGTGCTAGGCCCATAGTATGGTAAGAGTTAAAGTGAGCCTTAGGGATTATTTACTCAACCTCTGTTTCTGTATAAAGTGGAATAGGCTCAATTCTTTAAGTGATAGCATGTTGAACCTTTCCATACCAACTGGCTCATAAGTCACAACTGGCCAGTCAACAAGAGTAAAAATTAACTGGTAAAAATCAAAGCAAAAAACCTACAATTGTCAAATTTGTGGGATAACTCCCCCTTTTAAAATGTCATGCCTGACAGTAATTTCTCTCTAGTTTCCAGGTTTTCAGTCAGTTGTGTCTTTTTTGAGCAGAAGGAAGCATGCTAAGAGCTCAATCTTGTGGCTAGCTGGGGGTCTTTGTGTCAGCCATGCATGTGATGGTGCCCCTGGGTGCTTGGGGCTGCAGGGGAGGGGTACAGCAGTAGGGGCCTGTTCTGTTCTCTCGTGCTGTGGAGTACATAGTGACATAGTGGGGTGGTCCTTGGTGTAGGTCCCTTGTTCCTACCCCTGGGTCTGAGATTTATTTAGAAGTGGTGTTGGGGCTGTGCGGCAGGCCCCTCTGTAACTGATCAATGTTTGTGAAGTTGCTGTTTGAGAGTTGAAACCATGACATAAGCAGAAATGGAAGGAAGAAAGAACCAGTTATGTGAAAGGGACACATTTACTTTTAAGCTTGTATTTACTGAGATAAAGTATTCTTAATCAATGTTCTTGAGAGGTGTGGGAAAAATGCAACATCCTGGTTGCAGTTAAACCCAGAACATTGTGTGTTGAAGAGTGACGGTTCTCAAACCGTCAAGACGCGGGTACTGAGTGGGACTAACCTGCTGTCCTCTTGCCTTGGACCTTGTGTTCCAGAACTGTGTCATGAGTCTCTGCAGCAGCAGCTACAGTGAGTTAGGACTGCAGCTGATCATCGATGTGCTGACTCTGAGGAACAGTTCCTATTGGCTGGTGAGGACAGAGCTTCTGGAAACCCTTGCAGAGATTGACTTCAGGTAAGTGAGTCACATCCATTAGATTTCATGAACTAAGCTCAATTGAAAGTTCTGGGATCACTTGATGCAAGGAATGATGTTATCAAGTACCCTGTCCATCAGAAATCCGAGTGGTTTAGGTAGATGACAGTGATTTTCTCCTCCCAGTGGCTTTTTGCTGAACTTTGCCCTATGCTTGGAATTTTATTTTATTTTATTATTTATTTAGAGACAAGATCTTGCTCTGTCGCCCAGGCTTGAATGCAGTAGCACAATCATAGCTCACTGAAGCTTTGAACTCTAGGACTCAAGTGGTCCTCCTGCCTCAGCCTCCCGATTAGCTAGGAGAATAGGTGTGTGCCGTCACACTGGCTAATATTTTTTGTAGAAATGGGGTCTTGCTATGTTGCCCAGGCTGGTCTCAAACTCCTGGGCTTGATTGATCCTCCATCTTGGCCTCCCAAAGTGCTGGGATTACAGGCATGAGCCACTGTGCCTGGCCTAGAATTTTAAAATATAAGTAGAAGAGTAGATTTTTTTTTTTGGTAGTCCTCGTCATTTAAGTATTCTGGATAGTGGGAATAAAAGAGCTTAGAATTTTTCATCTTTGTCTTAAACTTTTAAAAAAATGTAGCTTATATTAATTCTGCTTGTTTAAAAAGAATATACTCTTCATTATACTGAACCTAGGTAAGACAGCTGGTTTATATTTTGTTGCAATTAAAAAACGTGAGCTGTGGTTGCAGTGAGCCAAGATTGTGGCCATTGCACTTCAGCCTGGCAACAGAGTGAGACTTGGCCTCAAAAAAAAAAAAATAACATGAGCTGTGTTGGCACTTTCATTTTCTAAGAGTAGTTTTGGCTGGAGAAGTTTTCTTTCAGTACTTTCTTTTAGAAGGGAAATTTTCCTTTATAATTTAGGGTTTGTTTTTTTTTTTTCCAAGCCACCTTTTATAGAGCCCTTGTGGGTTATTTCATTTAATCCTTAGAATGTTTATAAATCTGGGCTTGTTCTCGGCTCCACCCACAGATAGGGACGCTGAGCGTGCATGAGTGGGCAGCAAGATAGCAGGTTATGGAGGGCCCAGCTCACCCCTTCTGTGGCTTGAGCCAATTTTATAGGGCACTTACAGAGTCTTTTGAAATAGTATTTATTTTGAAGAAAAAGAAAAACAGTTTACTGAGTACTGTCTTATTGAGTCTGGAATTGTGAGAGGAATGCCACCTCTATTTATTTAAAGCCATTGGCCTTTTTTGTTGTTTTGAGTAAGTGCTGCCCAAGGTCCTTCCAGGGCACCTGGATGAGCCTGCTCTGGAGCAAGCTGGCGGTAAGTGTTTACTGAGTAACTAAATGATTTCATTGTTAAATGTGCTCTTTTGTTAGGCTGGTGAGCTTTTTGGAGGCAAAAGCAGAAAACTTACACAGAGGGGCTCATCATTATACAGGGGTAAGCGGTTTATTTTTGTGAGATGCTGTTTTACCTTCAAGAAGGTGAAAGTGAGGCTTTCCTTGTGGAATTTCTCTAAATGCATTCGTCATGTTTTAGATGTTTATTTCACAGTTTATATCATGAAAGTTATAATCTTGTCATATGGATTTAAGTCTAGTAATGTTGAGTTCTTTCTCACTAGCTTTCCAAAATATCTTACCTAAAATTTAGTCAAATACAAGATTATGTTTATTTTTATTATCCTTCTCTCTAAAGCTTTTAAAACTGCAAGAACGAGTGCTCAATAATGTTGTCATCCATTTGCTTGGAGATGAAGACCCCAGGGTGCGACATGTTGCCGCAGCATCACTAATTAGGTATTTACCAATATTTTATCTCTTTTCCTTTTTTGGTTGAAGTACTAAAAGATACGAGAATGGAAAGAGAGGGAAGAATTCAAAGGATGTAGAGCAGTATTCCTGAATCTGAGCTCATTTCAGCCATTCTATTCTTAAACTATAATGAAAAAAAAATCCAAAAAAGTCTAAAATTATAATTAAAAAAACAACAAAATACTAACTGTCCATTGTAAAAAGTAATGCACTTTCATTGTAAAAATTTTGGACTATAGAGAATAGTACTAAGAAGAAAAAAAAAATCACCTTCAATTCTGCTGCCACCTGGAGGTAATCACTGTTAATATTTTGCTATATACTCTATGAGTTTCTTGTTCAAAATCAGGTCAAAATTACATGCAATTTTGTAATCTGACAATTTCCACTTAATATTTTATTAGCATTTTCCTGTTATGAAACAGTAATTTTAGTTATGGGTCGTTGTTTTGCTATGCGGTTGGGATAAAATTTTATATACTTTTTTTGGCAATTACTTATTATACATAAATGTTTGTGTATAGTTTTCTTTTTCTGAGAATTCCTGGAAGTTGAGTTACCAGGCCCGGCTTTGAATTTTTTTTTTTATTTTTTTTTTGAGACAGAGTCCTGCTCTATTGTCCAGGTGCTATCTCGGCTCACTGCAACCTCTGTCTCCCTGGTTCAAGCGATTCTCCTGCCTCAGCCTCCCGAGTAGCTGGGATTACAGGGGCACACCACCACGCCCAATTAATTTTTGTATTTTTAGTAGAGACAGGGTTTCACGATATTGGCCAGGCTGGTCTCGAACTTCTGACCCCGTGATCCACCTGCATTGGCCTCCCAAAGTGCTGGGATTACAGGCGTGAGCCATGGCGCCTGGCCAGGCTTTAAATTTAAAACAAATCTTCTAATAGCTTTATGGAGGTTATAATTTACATTTCTTGAAATGTACTCACTTTGAGTGTATAGTAAACTCCAATTTTATCACATTTCTGTCACCCCAAATGTATCCTTGTGCCCATTTGCTGTAACCTCCGGTTCCTGCCCCAACTCCTAGGCAGCCACTCATCTATTTTCTGTCCCTTAAGATTTGTGTTTTCGCCAGGCGCTCATGCCTGTAATCCCAGCACTTTGGGAGGCCGAGGTTGGTGGATCACTTGAGGTCAGGAGTTCGAGACCAGCCTGGCCAACATGGTGAAACCTTGTCTCTACTAAAAATACAAAAATTAGTCGGATGTGGTGGCACACGCCTGTAATCCCAGCTACTCGGGAGGCTGAGGCAGGAGAATCACTTGAACCTGGGAGGCGGAGGTTGCAGTGAGCAGAGATCGCGCCACTGCCTTCCAACCTGGGCAACAGAGAGAGACTGTCTCAAAACAAACAAAGATTTGTATTTTCTGGACATTTTATAGTACTGGGGTCATAGTATAGATGGACTTTTGCATTTGGCTTCTTTTACTTAATTGTGAGATTGGTTCTTGTTGTAGCATGTATCAGTAGTTTGTTCATTTTTATTGGCGAAAGTATTCTATTATATGAATAATACCATATTTTATCTATCCATCAGATGGATATTATAGAGTTCATGTTTTGGCTAATTTATGAATTATGGTACTGTGAACATTTGCCTGCAAGATTTTGTGTAGACATGTCTTCATTTCTCTTGAGTAGATCACCTAGAAGTGGATTTTTAAATAATTTTGGTACTTACTGTGAAACTGCTCTTCAAAAACATACCATTGTTCCTTCCTTCCTTCCTTCCTTCCTTCCTTCCTTCTTTCCTTCCTCCCTTCCTCCCTCCCTTCCCTACTTCCCTCTCCCTTTCCCTTTCCCTTCCCCTTTTCCCTTCCCCTTCCCGCCTGCCTGCCTGCCTGCCTTCCTTCCTTCCTTCCTTCGTTTCTTTCTACATATACACATTTTTTTAAATTTCAATGGTTTTTGGGGTACAAGTGGTTTTTGGTTACATGGCTGAATTTTGGTTACATGGTGAAGTCTGAGATTTTAGTACACCTGTCACCCGAGTAGTGTACCTTGTACCCAATATGTAGTTTTTTGTCCCTCACCTTCCAGCCTTCCGCCTTGTGAGTCTCCAATGTCCATTATACCACACTGTATGCCCTTGCGTACCCACAGCTCAGCTCCCACTTCTGAGAACATATAGCAGAAACATGCCAAAGTATACTCCCACTACCAGAATGTGATTGTGCCTGATTCTTCTCACCAGTACAAATATTTCAAAAAAAGTTAAATATGTATCAGTTTTTTGGGCAGAAGTTGATACTTCTCTTTATTTATTTATTTTTTTTGAGATAGGGTCTCATTCTATGATGCCCAGGCTGGAGTGTGGTGGTGCGATCTCGGCTCACTGCAGTCTCTGCCTCCCAGGTTCAAGTGATTCCCACGTCAGCCTCCCAGGAAGCTGGAATTACAGGCGAGGGCCACCACTGCCAGCTAATTTTTGTATTTTTTGGTAGAGATGGGGTTTCACCATGTTGGCCAGACTGGTCTCAAGCTCCTGACCTCAAGTGATCCACCTGCCTTGGCCTTCCAAAGTGCTGGGATTACAGGCGTGAGCTACCACACCCGGCTGATATTTCTTTTTAAAATAACTTACCTTCTTTTGAAAGTAATACATGTTTAATGAACAGAATTTAAGGAAAATATAAAAAAACGAAATAATCTTTGTAATCAAACTACTGAAAAGAAAACCAAAGTTACATTTTGGTGCATATTCTTTTTCATTTTCATCATTGTAATTTGCATTTCTTTGATTACTTGTGAGACACTCCTTTCATTTACTTAATAGGTTTATATGACTTGCCTATTCAGAGATTTTGCAGCTTTACCATTTTCTGCAAATGATAGCAACTTCTTTTTGTTTGTTTGTTTGTGGAGACAGAGTCTCGCTCTGTCACTCAGGCAGGAATGCAGTGGTGGAATCTTGGCTCATTGCAACTATTGCCTCCTGGGTTCAAGCGATTTTCCTGCCTCAGCCTCCCAAGTAGCTGGGATTACAGGAGTGTGCCACCATGCCCGGCTAATTTTTGTATCTTTAGTAGAGATGGGGTTTTGCCATGTTGGCCGGGCTGATCTTGAACTCCTGGCCTCAAGCGGTCCCCCTGTCTCGGCCTCCCAAAGTGCTGGGATTACAGGCGTGAGCCACCGTACCCAGCCAGTAGTTACTTCTTATATTCTAGAAAAAATTCTACTCATGATCAAGTCTCCATGAGGAAAGAGACTTTAATTGAAGATCATGGGGCTTGCAGACCAATATGATAAAATAGTTCATTGTTTCTAAAAGTATTACTGAGTGTTGATGGCAGATATGAACCCTTTTGTTTTTGTAGGAAAATGTTACCCGTATTCTCCATTTGAATTCAGTTTAGATTTGTTAGGAATCGCAGCTTAAGCTTTGCCATCTGGGAGTGTTTGGGACAGTTTTGCAGACAAAATTGCAAAAGTGCCTAAGGAATGCAGCTGGCATTCAGACCTGCTCTGTGCTCAGTACTCTGTGGACAGACACTGTTCAGCACTTGTTGATCAGAAGGTTTAGAAAGAGAACTTTCAAAGTTGGTTTTTAATTAAAGCATTTAATAGTGTAAATAGAAAGGGATTAAATTTTATGACAGACAAAAGAAAGTACAGCACCCAGCTGGGCGTGGGGGCTCACGCCTGTAATCCAGCACTATGGGGGGCTGAGGTGGGTGGATCACGAGGTCAGGAGTTCAAGAGTTCAAGAACAGCCTGGCCAAGGTGATGAAACCCTGTCTCTACTAAAACTACAAAAATTAGCCGGGCGCGGTGGCAGGCGCCTGTAATCCCAGCTACTCAGGAGGCTGAGGCAGGAGAATCACTTGAACCTGGACGGCAGAGGTTGCAGTGAGCCAAGATTGCACCATTGTACTCCGGCCTGGGCCACAGAGTGACATTCTGTCTCAAAAAAAAAAAAAAAAGAAAAAAAGAAAGTACAGCACCCAGTTATGTCCGAGTGGGTGCATGAGAGTGACCCTGAGATTGGAGACAACGCTGTCACGTGCTTGAAGAACGCCACCTGAGAAAGGGGGCGAGAAGTGGTGTCCGCTGGTAACCAGAGGTGTTGGCTTAGCCATCTGCAGGGAGGAGGGTGGTCTATCACAGGTGAGTTTCATCTACTTTCTTAAGCAAATTAACCTTACTTTTGTGTTAGGCTTGTCCCAAAGCTGTTTTATAAATGTGACCAAGGACAAGCTGATCCAGTAGTGGCCGTGGCAAGAGATCAAAGCAGTGTTTACCTGAAACTTCTCATGCATGAGACGCAGCCTCCATCTCATTTCTCCGTCAGCACAATAACCAGGTATGCTGACCCAGTGGCATCTTCACATTGTCGGGAAAATGCCCTTTCCTGATGCCTTTCTTTAGGCTTTAATTGAAAACATTTTATTTTCTAGAAAAAAGCTTCAGCTCAGGATGTTTGAGTGTAGGTCAGTCCTTTGATAGGATATTATCATTTTGAGGATTGACCACACCACCTCTGTATTTAAGCTCTGCCACAATCACTCAGCTGTGACACTGTAAATCTCTTAATAGTTTATTACATTCCATGTGCTGACAGTTGTATTTTTGTTTGTGACACTTACGTATTATCTGTTAAAACATTTTCACTTTAGTTGTGTTACCTTTAAAGAGGATTGTATTCTATCATGCCTGTTGATTTTTTGGTGAGCGGGCTATTAAAGTCAGTGTTATTTAGGGTTATCCACTAGTTCAGTGATTTGCGAGATTATCATTCACATTTATTGTGGAGCTTTTGAATATCGTGTCAAATGGCCACATATATCCCATTCTTATCTGCTTCTTAGGTGAGTGGGACACAGTGCTTTAATGAAGCTATAATCTTCAGAATTCTAGCTTGCAGAGAAGATTGCAGAAGTGATAAGACTTGTGCTTTTTAATTTTGTCTTTTAAATGTTATTTTAAAAATTGGCTTTATATGATACTCTTTTTTTCTGCTGAGTAACAGTGTTTTACAAAACTTGGACTAAATGACTTCTAAGCTTAAATGATCACTTGATGCTTTTTTTCTGAATTAGGAACTCAGCTTATCAAATATCAAAGTCATAATTCCTGAATAAATAACGTCTTTTTTCATGTAAAGACTGCTTTAAAAAACACATGGAAGGCTGGGTGCGGTGGCTCACGCCTGTAATCCTAACACTTTGGGAGGCCCAGGTGGGCAGGTCGCTTGAGCTCAGGGGTTCAAGACCACCCAGGGCAACATGGCAAAACCCACCTCTACTCAAATACAAAAAATTAGCCAGGCGTGGTGGCGGGCCCCTGTAATCCCAGCTACTCGGGAGGCTGAGGGATGAGAATCACTTGAGCCCCGGAGGCAGAGGTTGCAGTGAGCCAAGATTGTGCCATTGCACTCCCAGCTTGGGCTACAGAGTGAGACTCTGTCTCAAAAAAAGACACACACACAAACAAAAAAAACATGGAGACATTTTTTTGGCCACCTTAATATTTCCCCTCAGATAATTTCCTTTGTTTAAACTCAGAACTGGCATTTTCTCTCTTGGAGAAGATTCAGGACAAATACTCCTTTAAGATAAGTAGAAGCAGTGAAAGAGGATTTGATTATCAGGAATTTGATAAGCTTAGAATAAATTGTTGCTTCTTAATGTCATTTCAGAAGATGAATATTTATTAATAGATGCCAACTGAGATATCATTAAAATTGATTACTAACTACTACTTGGAAAAGTCTCCCAGTTCCAAACTTCAGCAGGCCTCTTGACAATTCAGCTGTGGTCAATTGGGTCTTGCGTGATAGATACAATGACCAATTGTGCAGCAGAGTGTGCTGCTTAGCTGCCTATTCTGTTAGCATTCATGTGTTAACTTAAAATCATAATCTCCTTAGTTTTGTTGAGTGTCTCCGTGGACAAGACACTGTGAGGGATACAAAATCAGATTGGCTTTATTCAAACCACTGGGGTATTATAATTCATTTATAATTTATTTTATTTTTTGCCTTTTTTCCATGTGTTCTAAAGGAATTAGAGTTTGTATATAACTATAATGGGGGATAGAAATTGACATGTGCCATGAAGGGAATGCAAAAAAGTGCCGTGGGAGATGAGAAGTGGAGAAAGGAATTTCTTTTTTCTTGGAAGCAGGAATAACTTCATGAAGCATGTATTTCAACTTAAACAGATAGTAGGCAACGCTGTAAGGGGAGTATGGCTGCAGCAAAAGTGTTCGGGGCAGACTGGGAGGAAGGGAGGGAATAAATTCAGCCATTGTTATGGAATAATGATCAAAATTTATTTTCAGCCCGTTTCACTTAAAAGTTGAGACTGCTTAACTTTTTTTAATCTTTAATCTTAAACTTTTAAATGCCATTTGATCTTTAAAAATATATGTTTTAATAGTGTATTTTAAGTCTCTATATTTTTGTTATTAGAATATATAGAGGCTATAACCTACTACCAAGCATAACAGACGTCACTATGGAAAATAACCTTTCAAGAGTTATTGCAGCAGTTTCTCATGAACTAATCACATCAACCACCAGAGCACTCACAGTAAGTCTCTTTCTTGATCGGTCTTACTGACATTGTAATAGTTTTTGGTAGCTTGTATGGCCAGTTAGTTGTATGGTCATCTTACGGTGAGGTGCTTGTCTTACAGCTCTTACTTATCCATGAGGCTTGCTAAGAAATTGTGCTTCTGTGAAAAGAATCTCAGCTTACTCCAGGAATGTAAATGACTATGTTTTTTCTGATTATTAAAGTAATACACGCCCAAAATAAAAAAATTCAGCCAATTTAGGAAGACACAACAATTAAAATAAGCCAGGCATGGTGGCTCATGCCTGTAATCCCAGCACTTTGGGAGGCCAAGGTTGGGGGCTCACTTGAGGTCAGGAGTCGGATACCAGCCTGGCCAACGTGGTGAAACCCCATCTCTACTAAAAATACAAAAATTAGCTGGGCGTGGTGGCGGGCGCCTGTAATCCCAGCTACTCAGGAGGCTGAGGCAGGAGAATCGCTTGAACCTGGGAGGTAGAGGTTGCAGTGAGCTGAGGTCAAGCCACTGCACTCCAGCCTGTGCAATAGAGCGAGACTCTGTCTCAAAAAAAAAAAAAAAAAAAGAAAAGAAAAAAGTAAACTACTGTCACCTGCATTGGTAATGTATCAGAAGTTTAAAATGTCTAGATTATAATTAACTCAGTGACCTGGTAATATATACTAAGGGAAAAATATTTATAATTTACATTTTTACATTTTTATTTTTTTAATTTTATTATTTTTTTTTTGAGACAGAGTTTTGCTCTTGTTGCCCAGGCTGGAGTGCAATGGCATGATCTCAGCTCACCACAACCTCCACCTCCCGGGTTCAAGCAATTCTCCTGCCTCAGCCTCCTGAGTAGCTGGGATTACAGGCATGCACCACCATGCCCGGCTAATTTTGTATTTTTAGTAGAGACAGGGTTTCTCCATGTTGGTCAGGCTGGTCTCAAACTCCCAACCTCAGGTGATCCGCCCTCCTCGACCCCCCAAAGTGCTGGGATTACAGGTGTGAGCCACCATGCCTGGCCTTACATTTTTATAATAAGAATTTATGTTGCTGACATTAGAAAAGAACCATAATATCCAAGAATCCAAGAATAATTAAATTATGTACATATGCTAGTATATAGTGTGATGCTTTGGAGAATTTTTAACAATATGGAGATGTATAATCTGGATTGTAATATTGAGTGAAAAAAGGCAGAATACAAACCTGGTGGGGGTATAGTCGGATTTCAGTTAAGAAAAATAATATTTACATATATACATTTCTCACACTGGCAGATAATCACCAAGATAAATTTTGGGATTGTGGATGATTTTTTTCTTCTTTATATTTTTCAGATATTCTCAAATTTTCTAAAATGAGCAAGTATAACTTTTGTTATCAGAAAAAAATAATATACAAAAGTAATGTTAATTTGCTGGTGACCAGGTTAAACCTTTTTATTTTTATTTTTTGAGATGGAATCTCACTCTGTTGCCCAGGCTAGAGCACAGTGGCATGATCTTGGCTCACTGCAGCCTCCGCTTCCTGGGTTCAAATGATTCTCTGGCCCCAGCCTCCTGAGTGGCTGGAATTACAGGCGTGTGGCACCACACCTGGCTAATTTTTGTATTTTTAGTAGAGGTAGGGTTTCACCAGGTTGGTCAGGCTGGTCTCGAACTCCTGACCTCGTGATCCACCCACCTCGGCCTCCCAAAGTGCTGGGATTACAGGCGTGAGCTACTGCGCCCAGCCAGACCTTTTTATTTTATTTGACAAAAGAAATACTTCCATGTTATAGAAGACTAAATATTGTTTGGGCTGTCTGCAGTATGGTCTTCCCTTGATTTGTTCAAAATATCGTAAACTTTGCTTATTTATTTTTATTGTGGCCGACTGTGTCGGGCACTGTTGTAGGCTTGGGATGGAAAAACAGGATTCCTGCCCTTAGGGTTTCTGCAGGCTGGTCAGGGAGACGATGTGGTAAGCTGGAGCTCAGCTCCTAAGGATGTGCAGGGGCAGTTGAGAGGCGGAAGGGTGGGAGATCATTCCAGGGTGTGGGCAGCACAGGAACCTCTCTTCATTGGGATATAATTGCCATTCTGATAACACGTGTTTGAGGTGTCTAAAGTAGGAAGTTGTACCATGGTGGGACAGATATCCTGTGGTTATCATACACAGATCTCAGTTTTCTTCTCATTGTTTGTACTTTTTATAAAGGGTAACAGGAGATATAATTCAATAAACCTTTGTGGTGTTTGGGTGTGATTTTATTGTTTCTTTCTTCTCAGTTTGGATGCTGTGAAGCTTTGTGTCTTCTTTCCACTGCCTTCCCAGTTTGCATTTGGAGTTTAGGTTGGCACTGTGGGTATGTATTTTCCTCAGTATATATTAATAGTTGTCTACAACAGTATGACATAAACATAGTTATTAGGATGCCCTTTTTCTTTCTTTTTAAGTCTTTTATCAATTTGGCTTTTTGGAAAAATATCTGATGGAATACTTGTTTCTGCTATATTAGCTGTGTGAGACTAGTGACAGGAGCTGTGGGAAATGAATGCCAAATGTTCTTAGGCATTGATGGGAATTTCAGGGTGTGGTCTTCAAGTTCATTTAAGGGAATTTTCATATGCTGGCAAAAGGCTTTTCTCATTAGCTTGACTCTTTCCAAAATTATTTGCTGTGAATTAGAAGTTTAGGAACCTTTTTTCACTTAATTGTGACCTAGCATACGAAATGGTGATGATTTAGGAACTACTGTTCTTGTATTAACAGCTTTTATTTAAAAATGATTTTCCTCCAGTAGATGGCCCTACTAGCATCTGGGAAATAATTTCAAGTCTTCTCCAGCATTCAGGAATAGGCTTTCATTTTGTGTATCAATTACTGAGAATGATTTTGGTGACTCACATCACATTTGAGAAGTAAACCTGCAGATTTCTTGTGTGTGTCAGCAAATGACCAACTGATATTTGCTTGAAGTGGATTACATTATCTGCTCTAGAATGATTGCTTTCCCACCTTCCTCACATACAGACTGAGCAGCTACGGTTTCTAATCATAGGTCTGGCACTAGACTTCACTTCTGGGCAACTTTGGCATTGGAGTAAAATGTATTAATTTAAAGAAAGTTAAAAATCCGTTCAAGTAAACATACAGTTCTAATACTTTTTACAATTTAAAATATAGATTTAAATGATAAAATAAAAAAGAAAATATGGGTAGACACCATAATCCTCGTTTCTGCATCTGTTCACAAGGGGTTGATATTTATGAGTTCTATTCTCCATATCCATTCTATGTTCTCTTAATGCTCAGTCAGCACCTCAGGTGGTTGGAGTTCAATGCTTGGTAGTTTGACTTACACTGTCTTTTCTAGGGGATTGAGCCCTGGGTAGTCCTGCTTATTTGAGGTTGCAATTTGTCTTTCAATAACTTTTACTACAAGATATGGCGTGTTAAAGGATACCATTGGGGAACCAACATAATAATATCAGGAAAACTAACCACGTCAGACCTGCCCCATTGTGTATCAAGTACACTATTTTTCCATAGTAATAAAGAGTTCACCCCAGCCAATTCTCTTTTATTTTGTGCCTGTTTACTCAATGGCATTAACATGCCCAAATGTCTGGGTAGCTGTCTCATCTCCAGTTCAGCAGAACCATTGTCATATGCCCTAGTAAAAGCATTCCTTCATTGGACACTTAGGCCCCAATACTTTCATTCAGATCTACTACCTGATTTCATTTCTCAAATGATTTTTATGGAGCTCTGATTTATAGGAAAGATGTTAGTTGATTAAAAATAAAACAATTTCTGAGCTGGTATAAAATGTATTGTGACATGCCTTCCTCTTGGAATTGCAAGAGAAAGGAAGACTGTTGTTTGCTTAAAAATTGTCTATAATTTGACTTTGCAAATGTCTGCTTCCAGAGTGCCTCCACTGAGTGCCTCAGATGAGTCTAGGAAGAGCTGTACCGTTGGGATGGCCACAATGATTCTGACCCTGCTCTCGTCAGCTTGGTTCCCATTGGATCTCTCAGCCCATCAAGATGCTTTGATTTTGGCCGGAAACTTGCTTGCAGGTACTGGTACTGAGTTGAAACAGGGACTCCAGGACTTGGATTTTGATTTCCTTAGGGGGAATGGGGGTGGTGAGCATATGAGGGGAAAATACTATAAGGTCATTGCCAGTGATGGCTTGTCCCTTTAGTCAAATTTCAGATGTTACCTATATGCATAAACACATGCAGTTGGCAGCTGTTCTGTGCTGAGTATTTTAAAGTAGCCTCTTCCCAATATAGCCCCTCAGTTAACTACAAGTAAACTCATTTTGAATTTCATTTTAATGGGCACCATATGCCAGTACTCCCTCGGGCACTGGGATGTTAAGAAAGTATAATGTATGGACTTCATTCTCAAGTTAGTTTTAGATTAGAGGGGGATACACGTAAACAAAAGTGCAGTGGTCACACAGAGTGGCCCTAATCACTCTCCTTGGGCAGATTTATGGGCTGGTAGGAAAGAGCACAACACGGAGAGGGTGTAGCACCTTGGCGATGATAATGGAGGATGTGGCCAGCAAGGAAGACGGAGTCCATTGAAATTGATTTTGGGAGAAGTTGCCAATCTCCATGAAAGAATTGGGGCCTGTGCTATTTGCTTCAGGGGGCTATAGGAGAGTTTCGTGAAAGGGACTAAAAGATGAGTATTTTAATAAGATCATTCATCCAACTTGAACATGGGCTGGAGGAGAAGGTAGGGAGACTCAGGAGATTAATGTTGATGCTAAGGCAAGATAATGGCTTTGGGACTGTAGGGAAGACACTGATTGTAAGAGAATGAAGGAGGCAGAATTGCCAGGCCTGGTTCACCAACTGAACTTCGGTTGTGAAGACAAAGAAACCTGGGATGACTTCACATCCTGGGCAGGTGTGTGGTGGTGACAGTCATGGAAATTGGGAACACAGATTTGTGCGGGAAACATCAGTTTCAGTTTGAGTTTGGCTTATCAGTTGAATATCAGGCACAGATGTCTGGCCAACTCTCAACATAGGGTCTTAAATGACTTCAGTTCCCCAAGCAATTTGTCCTTCCCATGCTATTGGGGTGGAGAGGTAATGTCTGTGCCCATATCACAGCCAGTGCTCCCAAATCTCTGAGAAGTTCATGGGCCTCTGAAGAAGAAGCCAACCCAGCAGCCACCAAGCAAGAGGAGGTCTGGCCAGCCCTGGGGGACCGGGCCCTGGTGCCCATGGTGGAGCAGCTCTTCTCTCACCTGCTGAAGGTGATTAACATTTGTGCCCACGTCCTGGATGACGTGGCTCCTGGACCCGCAATAAAGGTAATGTCCCACTTGGGTGCTGGATTCATACAGCCTTAATGACTATGGGTTTCCAGACTACCTTTGTTTAGTAATCTGTCCCTTCTTTATTCTCTTTTTGCTTTAAATGAACAAAATTGCTCAGATTGTGACACTAAATTTAACATCAAAATGTGACCATGTGGATGGGTGCAGTGGCTCGTGCCTGTTATTCCAGCACTTTGGGAGACTGAGGCAAGTGGATCACTTGAGGCCAAGAGTTCGAGACCAGCCTGGGCAACATCACGAAACCCCCTCTCTACTAAAAATACAAAAAATTAGATGGGTTGGGCCGGGCGTGGTGGCTCAAGCCTGTAATCCCAGCACTTTGGGAGGCCGAGGTGGGCGGATCACGAGGTCAAGAGATCAAGACCATCCTGGCTAACACAGTGAAACCCCGTCTCTACTAAAAATACAAAAAAATTATCTGAGCATGGTGGCGGGCGCCTGTAGTCCCAGCTGCTCGGGAGGCTGAGGCAGGAGAATGGCGTGAATCCGGGAGGCGGAGCTTGCAGTGAGCCGAGATCGTGCCACTGCACTCCAGCCTGGGTGACAGAGCGAGACTCCGTCTCAAAAAAAAAATTAGATGGGCATGGTGGTGCGTGCCTGTAATCCCAGCTACTTGGGAGGCTGAGGCAAGAGAGTTGCTTGAACCTGGGAGGCGGAGTTTGCAGTAAGCCTTGATTGTGCCGCTGCACTCCAGCCTGGGTGACAGAGTCAGACTCTTTCCAAAAGAAGAAAAAAATGTGACCATGTGTTTTATAGCTCTTTTAGTATCATCAGTCACTGTTATCCCTAAGAGGGAAATACCTAGCTTTAGTTTTAGGTTTCCAGCATTAGCCAAGAAAGCTCAGAATTGATGTTCCTGGCCAAGTACCTCATTGCTGTCTCCTTAAATCTTGGTTAATGGCTACTGTCCTGGCTAGCATAGTTATGGAGCATTTCCATGGTTGTAGAATGTTCTGCCAATCTCAGGGACAGTTTTGCTTTTCTGTGAAGCAATAAAATCAACTTCAAAACAAATGTTAACTATTTGTACAATGGATTTAAGATAGACCAGTTCACATACTTTTTTTTTTTTTTTTTTTTGAGATGGAGTTTCATTCTTGTTGCCTGGGCTGGAGTGCAATGGTGTGATCTCAGCTCACTGCAACTTCTGCCTCCTGGGTTCAAACGATTCTTCTGCCTCAGCCTCTCGAGGCAGATTACAGCTGGGATTACAGGCATGCACCACCACACCCAGCTAATTTTTTTGTAGTTTTAGTAGAGACGGGGTTTCACCATGTTGGTCAGGTTGGTCTCAAACTCCTGACCTGAAGTGATCTATCCGCTTCGGCCTCCCAAAGTGTTGGGATTACGGGCATGAGCCACCACGCCCAGCCTAAGATAGACCAGTTCACTTACTGTTTATATCTGATTACTCTCTCTTTGCCTTGTCTTCTACCTTTAAAAATCTCCCTACTAACTTCCCATTCTCCTTTAGCTGCCATCAGTCTTCTCCCTTCTCTGCAAACATCTCTGGAGAGTCCCAGCCTCAGCCCACAGAGCTTCCCACTGCTCTGAGGTGGACCTTGTTTGCAAGGCTTCTTTGGCTCTCTTGGCCTGGACCCTGTCTACTACTTCAGCCATCCTTCCTTAACCCCTGCTGGTGGTTTCTGTTGCCACACTCCATAGCAGCGTTTCCCGCCCAGATCATGTCTTTACATCTCTGGGCACTGCTCTGGTCCTGCCTGCCTTTCCCTCTTTGTATCCTGCAGGCTGCTACCCCCATCTTGAGTGTCCTCTTCAGTTGGCTTTCAGAGGGCCTCCTGGGTGTTCCCTTACCCACTTGCCACTCCCCAGTCACTGGGTTCAGTCCTTCCTGCCCACCAGCACATGCTTTCTAGGCTCTGTCCTAGGCCGTCTTCTCTCTTTGTAGTCTCTGGGCCAGTGCTGTTCTAGAGAGTGGCAGAATTTTCTATAACCATGGCAGTGCTCCATAGCTATGCCAGGCAAGACAGTAGCCACTAAACACATATAGCTGTTGAGCCCTTGAAATGCAGCTAGTGTGACTGAAGAACTGAACCCCGATTCGGTTTAATTTTCATTAAATTTAAATTTAAATAACCTTATGTGGGTAGTGGCTCCAGTATTGGGCAGGGCAGCCTGAGAGTCGGGGCTGTTCTCCTGTCTTCAGTGTCTAGATGAGGGACCTCAGAGGACCTGTCTCTGGAGCTGCAGTTCAATGTAGCCAGCTGCCCCGTGACACTTACATATAGCTGATTTGTGGATATGTCAGACACGGTGTGATGAGCTCAGCTTTCTGTCCTCCTCCCCACATCTGCCCCTGCCCCATTTACCCCACTTTGTGTCTTATCAAGCTAGAAACAGGTCACCACAAGTCTTCATTTCCACTCACCAAGTCTTTTGTTTCCCCTACTAAATATTTTGCGAGAAGAAAGTGTGTACCTTTGTATTCACATACATGTACATGCACATATACATGCACATATGCAGGGGTCCCCAACCTCTGTTAAAAACCGGACTGCAGGCCGTGCGTGGTGGCTCACGCCTGTAATTCCAGAACTTTGGGAGGCCGAGACCAGTGCATCACAAGGTCAGGAGATCGAGACCATTCCGGCTCACACGGTGAAACCCCGTCTCTACTAAAAATACAAAAAAAAATTAGCCGGGTGTGGTGGCGGGCGCCCATAGTCCCAGCTACCTGGGAGGCTGATGCAGGAGAACGGCGTGAACCTGGGAGGCGGAGCTTGCAGTGAGCCGAGATTGTGCCATTGCACTCCAGCCTGGGCGACAGAGCGAGACTCTGTCTCAAAAACAAAACAAAACAAAAAAAAAAAAAACCAGGCTGCACAGGAAGAAGTGAGCAAGCATTACCATCTGAGCTCTATCTCCTCTCAGGCCAGTGGTGGCATTAGATTCTCATAGGAGCGTGTATGAGTTCGTTCTCACACTTCTGTAAAGACATACCTGAGACATATAAAGAAAAGAGGTTTAATTGGCTCACAGTTCTGCAGGCTGTACAGGCTTCTGTTTCTGGGAAGGCCTCAGGAAACTTGCAGTCATGGCAGAAGGTGAAGGGGAAGTAGGCACATCTTCACATGGCCCACAGGAAAAAGAGAGAAGGAGAGAGAGAGAGAGACAGAGAGAGAGAGAGAAAAAGAAAGATTGAGAGGGAGAGAGGAGGGAGAAAGGAGAGTGCCTGTAGGGGGAGTTGCTACACAAAGGAGCACCAGGGGGATGGTGCTCAACCATTAGAAACTACCCCCATGATCCAATCACCTCCCACCAGGCCCCACCTCCGACACTGGAGATTACAATTCAGCATGAGATTTGGGTGGGGACACAGAGCCAAACCATATCAGAGCATGAACCCTATTGTGAACTGCACATTTGAGGGATCTAGGTTGCATGCTCCTTATGAGAATCTAATGCCTGATGATGATTTGAGGTGGAACAGTTTCATCCCGAAACCATCCCCCGCCAACCCTGGTTTGTGGAAAAATTGTCTTCCACAGAACCGGTCCCTGGTGCCAAAAAGTTTGGGGACCTCTGCACATATGCATGCACCTGTACATGGACACATAATACATGTACATATGCATACTTTATATTCTCTGCCACTTCTGGTCCAGACTGATATACTATCTCATTTGGATTACTGCACTAGCCTTTTGTTTTGGAAACAGCATTTTTTAAAAAATTTAATTTAATTTTTTTGAGATAGGGTGTCATTCTGTTGCCCAGCTTGGAGTGCAGTGTCATGATCATAGCTCACTGCGGCCTCGATCTCCCAGGCTCAAGTGATCCTTCTGCCTCAGCCTTCTCAGTAGTTGGGACTACAGGCATACCCACCATGCCCAGCTAATTTTTTGATTTTTTTTTTTTTTTGAGACAGAGTCTCAGCCTGTCGCCCAGGCTGGAGTGGGTTGGCGCGATCTCAGCTCACTGCAACTTCTGCCTCCCAGGTTCAAGTGATTCTCCTGCCTCAGCCTCCCGAGTAGTTGGGATTACAGGCGCCTGCCACCACACCCAGCTAACTTTTTGTATTTTTAGTAGAGACGGGGTTTCACCATGTTGGCCAGGCTGGTCTCGAACTTGTGACCTCGTGATTAGCCCGCCTCGGCCTCCCAAAGTGCTGGGATTACAGGCGTGAGCTACCGCTCCCAGCCAGGAAACAGCATTCTTGAGATAATTCATATAATTCACCCATTTAAAGTATATAATTCATTCTCTTTAGTATGCCCACAGAGTTGTACAGCCATCACCAGAATCAGTTTTAGAACCCATAAAGGAACTCTGTACTCTTTACCCAAAACCTCCATGCCTCCAGCTGCAGGCAGCCACTAACCTGCCTTCTGTCTCTGTGACTCTACGTCTTCTGGACATTACTGTGGATGGGCTCATACAGTCAGTGAGCTTGTGACTGGTGCCTTCTACCAAGCAGGGTTTTCAGTGTAGCAGCCTCTCTGTTTTTCTTTTTTTTTTAAATTGTGACGGAACTTCTGCCTCCCGGGTTCAAGCGATTCTCCTGCCTCAGCCTCCCGAGTGGCTGGGACTACAGGCCCATGTCACCATGCCTGGCTAATTTTTTTTTTTTTTTTTTTTAGTAGAGATGGGTTTCAACATGTTAGCCAGGGTGGTCTCGATCTCCTGACTTCATGATCCGCCTGCCTCGGCCTCCCAAAGTGCTGGGATTACAGGCGTGAGCCACCATGCCCGGCTAACCTTTCATTTACTGTCTGCATTTCTTCCCTGATGCCTTCCAGTCCATGCACCCGATTGTAGCCATTCATCCTATTATGGTTTAAGGTGACTGTCTTAGTCAGCATGGGTTGCCATAACAAAATACCATAGCCTGGGTGGCTTCAACAACAGAATTTACTTCTCACACTTCTGGAGGTTGGGAAGTCCAAGATCCAGGACTTTCGCCTTGCCCTCATGTGGTGAGGGGGTGAGGAAGCTCTGTGGGGCCTCTTATATATGGATGCTAATCTCATTCATGAGGGGTCTGCCCTCATGACCCAGTCACCTCCCAAAGGCCCCACCTCCTAATACCATCACCCTGGTAATTAAGTTTCAGTGTATAAATTTGGGGGACTATAGACATTGAAACCATAACAAGCACTTTTCTAAGATCAGGGAGTGAGTAAGTAGCAGAGCTAGGACCTCAATTCCACATGTCAGTCATCTTGCCTTCACTCTGCTCCATGATGGCTGCCTCCTAGAGCATTGGGAGTCTCGATGTTCTATATGCTCTCATGTGTTGTGTATTGGAGATAGTTGAGGCTTTATGAATACATCTGGATTTGTTGACTTCTAGCTTTGCTGGTAACCAGCTGTGACCTTGAATAAGTTACTTCATCTCTGAGCCTGTTTCCTCTTTTAGAAACAGGAGTTTAAAATGCTGCTTTGGGTTGGGCACGGTGGCTCATGCCTGTAATTCCAGCACTTTGGGAGGCTGAGATGGGAGGATCACTGGAGCTTGGAGTTCGAGACCAGCCTGGGCATCATAGTGTGAGATCCTGTCTCCTCAAGAAATTAAAAAATTAGCTGGGTGATGTGGCGTGTGCCTGTGGTCCCATCTACTCTGGAGGCTGAGGTGGGAGGATTGCTTGAGCCCAGGAGGTTGAGGCTACAATGAAATATGATTGCACCCCATCCTGGGTGACGAGTGAGACCCTGTCTCAAAAAAGAAAAAAAAAATGCTGCTTTGTACCCCTTTCATGTCATGGCGTCATGGCCAACATAGAATGCCCTGGTTGTTTGCTGTTGGAGGGCATGGGCCTGGGGGCTCCCTGAGGGCTCCTTCCATCTTCAACTCATTCTCTGTGCACCTGTTAGGAAGTTGTGGGCCAGTCCCTACCATGTATCATTGTGTGGGTAAAAGTAAATAAAATGTGTACAGTGTCTGAACTGTACATATCAGGGTCCAAGAACAAAATGAGTGACATGGGTTAGCTCTTTTTAATAAATGGTAAAACCAAATATTCTAATTTTCAGTTTTGTTATACTTCCATCACATGTTTTTGTTTTTTTGTTTTTTGTTTTTGTTTTTCTATTTTAGGCAGCCTTGCCTTCTCTAACAAACCCCCCTTCTCTAAGTCCCATCCGACGAAAGGGGAAGGAGAAAGAACCAGGAGAACAAGCATCTGTACCGTTGAGTCCCAAGAAAGGCAGTGAGGCCAGTGCAGGTAGGAAACAGCGTGGGGAAGGGAGGGACATGAGTGCAGCATCTGTCATGTAGAAACATAGGATTTAAGTAACTTGGTGTTTTAGAGAAATAAATATAATACACATCAGTAAAGTGAGAGAAAGTTTCTCCAGGTGCGGTTCAAGATATTAGAAACTAATGACTGATGTACACAGACCACCTTTTGGTCTGAAGCATTTCTAAGTGCCACTGGCTGACATGCAGCCCCTACAGCCTCCAGGCTTCCAGCCCTAGCATGGAGCATCACTCTCCTATGCTTCCCTGGTTGCAGGTGATGGCTGGAGAGGCCTCCTGATTTTCAGTAAGGGAAGTGGTGTAGATGCTTAGGAATAGATGTAGTGAGTGAAAAAACTGATTCTGATATGTCAAAAATTCTGATTGGAAATGGAATATTTACATTTGGAAGAGCTAAAGGCGAGAGAAAGTGGGGATAAAGTCATCTGAGTTGGAGGAGCTTAAACCATTCACAAGTTTGGAGGACCTTTTTTTACCCATGAAAAGGTCAGAACAGAAGGGGCTAGGATTTAGGTGTGACTGCAGTTTATTGAATTCCCATCCATACTGCTCTCGGTGGGCAGTGGCAGGGGCAGGAGAGGAGCCTGGCAAAGCATGAAGTGACTGCTGCTGCCTCTGCTATCTGGGACGCCTGGCCACCTGTCTGTACAGTCTCCCTCCAGACCCATTCTCACGCTGTCTCTTGGCACCCAGGGGCCAGTGATGGTTCTCCCATTTGTTTTGTGTATATAGCATTTATATCAAGGCTATTTATTTATTTATTTATTTTATTTATTTATTTTTTTGAGACAGAGTCTCACTCTGTCACCCAGGCTGGAGTGCAGTGGTGCAATCTCGGCTCAGTGCAAGCTCTGCCTCCTGGGTTCAAGCAATTCTCCTGCCTCAGCCTCCTGAGTAGCTGGGACTACAGGTGTGCACCACCACACCTGGCTAATTTTTTGTATTTTTTATTAGTGGAGACGGGGTTTCACCTTGTTGGCCAGGATGGTCTTGATCTCCTGACCTCGTGATCCGTCCACCTCAGCCTCTCAAAGTGCTGGGATTACAGGCATGAGTCACTGTACCCGGCCTATTTATTTATTTTTAATTGACAAAATTGTATATATCTGTAATATACAACATGATGTTTGAAATATGTGTACATTGGCCAGGCGTGGTGGCTCACACCTGTAATCCCAGCACTTTGGGAGGCTGAGGTGGGCGGATCACGAGGTCGGGAGTTCAAGACCAAACTGGCCAGCATGGTGAAATCCTGTCTCTACTAAAAATACCACAAAAAAAAAAAAAAAAAAAAAAAGCCGGGCATGGTGGCTCGCGCCAGTCGTCCCAGCTACTTGGGAGGCTGAGGCAGGAGAATTGCTTGAATCTGGCAGGTGGAGGTTGCAGTGAGCTGAGTTCATGCCACTGCACTCTAGCCTGGGCGATAGAGCGAGACTCCGTCTCAAAAAAAAAAAAAAAAGAAGAAATACATATGCATTGTGGAATGGCTAATTAACCTGTGCATCACCTCACGTATCATTGTTTTGTGGTGAGAACACTTAAAATCTACTCTTTCAGTGATTTTCTTGCATATGGTACATTGCTATTAACTGCAGTCACCATGCTATACAGTAGATCTCTTGAACTCATTCCTCCTGTCTATAAATGAAATTTTGTATCCTTGACCAACACATTCAAGGTTTTTTTTGAGATGGAGTCTTCTTCACCCAGGCTGGAGTACCATGGCACGATCTCATCTCACTGCAACCTCCGCCTCCCAGGTTCAAGCAATTCTCCTGCCTCAGCCTCCTGAGTAGCTGGGATTACAGGCACATGCTACTGCACCTGGCTAATTTTTGTATTTTTAGTAGAAGTGGAGTTTCACCATGTTGGCCAGGCTGGTCTCGAACTCCTGACCTCAAGTGATCCGCCTGCCTTGGCCTGCCAAAGTGCTGGGATTACAGGTGTGAGCCACTGCACCCGGCCTCAAGCGTTTTAAAAGATGCTCTTTTCTAAGGATTGACTGTAGTACAGGAGGAAGATTGACCTGTTGAAAAGCCTCAGCCTTTACAAGTGTAAAATTATCAGTATATTACTATCATCTTTCTGATGAATTAAATAAACTAAGGACTCCAAGTCAAAAGTCTTCAAACTGAAGTAGAATAGTTGTATATAGTGCTTGGCACTTTAATATTTAGTATCGGTTTAATGATAATGTTTGTGCCTTTGCCGTCTTTAAAACATTTTTACATCATCCCTGTTTGATTACTTGGTGTGCTCATGAAGTTGTTGGCCACTAAGGAATCTTAGGCTCAGAGAGGTTCTGGAATTGGCCAGTGGTCCTTGAATCAGCTGCTCCTATGATTCTCTAACTGATTTCTCACAAAGCAAACAAGCAATCATAACAAAACAACTGTGCACACTGCTCTTCTTATTTTGTTATTTAAAAAGTACTTAGGCTCTACTTATGTTTGTTAGTCAATTTCTCATTACTTCTAGTTAATCAAAAGGTCAGAGGAAATACTTGAATATTTTCATACTAGAATACTTTAAAAAATCATGATTTCCAGTAATCTCTTTAAAACTTGGCAAGTTATTTTGATCTAAAAGTTTATCTTTTGTGTGCATATTTTTAAAGCTTCTAGACAATCTGATACCTCAGGTCCTGTTACAACAAGTAAATCCTCATCACTGGGGAGTTTCTATCATCTTCCTTCATACCTCAAACTGCATGATGTCCTGAAAGCTACACACGCTAACTACAAGGTATGGGCCTCTGCATCTTTTAAAAATATATATGCACACATACTTACGTCTAATGGATAGTTGATGTTTTTCTTATGATTTGTAGGATGTATAAGCCCTTTGAGATATGAGTTACATTTAGTTTTTTCAAGTTTGTTTGTCTTTCAGCTTTGTTTATGATAGCTTCTATCATACAGGTGTTTTGGATTTTCATATTGTTTGTACTCACAGCTAAGATTGATTACAGTGACAGAGCTAGGATGTGCAGCCAGGTTATAGGGGGAAGTGGCCCTGGTGGAGTCTGGAGGGATCCGTGTACAGGCTTCCTTCCCTCCCGTGAGGCTCACACAAAAATACAGCAACATGCTGGTCCTGCAGGTACCCTCTGCCTAACATGAGCCACAATTCCAGACTCACAGAAGAAAAGCAGGTGTTCGGCATAAACCATGTGTTTCAAATAGTCTGGGCATGGTGAGCCACTTGTTATCAGCTAGGGAAAGTTTATGTCAGCGTAAGAAACTGTTCACCAGATACCCCCAAGAGCCAGCCTTTCTGTCTAGGGATGTTTTAGTTTTTTAGTTCATTTTTTTTTTTAACTTTAAAATTTTCTGTTCATCTGCAATTTGTTAGATATGAAGTATGTGTCTAATTTAATTTTTGTTTTTGGTTGTCCCCAATAATGTTTACAGAAGAATTTTTCTGCACTAATTGGCTTGAGTTACTTACATTCTCATAGTTCTCTAGTTTCAGTAGTTTCATTTATTATTTTGTTATATCAATCTATCTGTCTGCTCATCTATTAGAAGCATCCTTGTTTTTTTTTTTTCTTTTTTAGACAGAGTCTTGCTCTGTCCCCAGGTTGGAGTGCAGTGGTGCAACCATGCCTCCCTGCAGTCTCAGGGCTCAAGTGATCCTCCCACCTCAGCTCCTGAGTACCTGGGACTACCGGCATGTGCCACCACACCCAGCTAATTTTTACATTTTTTGTAGAGACAGGGTCTCCCTAAGTTGCCTGGGCTGGTCTCAAGCTCCTGGCTTAAGTAATCCTCCCTCCTTGGCCTCCCAAAGTGCTGGGATTACAGGTGTGAGCAACTGCACCCGGCTACAAGTATACTTCTTAATTATTGTAGCTTAATGGTATTTATGAGGGGATCAGTTCCCCTGTTGTTCTTTAGAATTTTCTGGATATTCTTCTTTATTGATTTTGGGATGTGAACAATAGAATCAACTTCTACTTGTAGATTGATTTAGGGAGAACTTATACCTCAGATGTTAAGTCACCCTGTCCAGAATGTGGGATGCTTTCCTATTTGTTCAGAACTTTTTAAATTACCTCAGAAGCACATGAAATTTAAAGGATTTTAAAAAAAACTTAAAGATTATTTCACATAGCTCTTGCACATTTCTTGATAAATGAATCCTCAGGTATTCCTCTGTTTTTGTTACTAATAGTTACTTCTTATGGGTTTTTTTTCCCCTGAAAATCATTTATCAAACGTATGTGGCTTATTTTCTGAAGGATGTTTGATAATTTTGGAAGATATGAAAGTCTTCATATTTTACAAGGTTTGAGGTCTCTTTAAGCTGCATGGTTCTCATGTCAGCTCCCAAAGCAGAAGACGGCATGTTGAAAAATGCCGTAGAGAAGATACTTCTTTTCCACCTGTTTTCAACTCATATCATCTTGAATTTCAGGGCACCTTTCCATGCTCCTAGTGCTTGCTATCTGTTTATTATTTTCCTTCCTGAATACCCTGAACTCCAGCATGTTCTGCTGTAATTCTGGCCTCCCTGGCATCTTGGACTCCTGTTTCCTTTGCTCTGTCATCCCCGCGGTCAGCTCCTGCTGCGCAGCTTCTCAGCTGAAGTGCGTTTGGAGTGCCTGGCGTGTCTTGCTGGATCTTTGAGTATTGCCTCTGGTTTCCTTGGTTCCTTCTGCTGAGTTGCTCAGCGTCTCCACTCCCCATTTCTTGTGTGGCCCTTCCTGCACTCCTCTGATTCCTTTTGTCTTCCCTGGTTTCTTGCTTTGGTTTCGAGTCTCCACAGAACTTTTGCAGCTCTTCTGAAGACCTGGAAGCTTTTTCATCTTAATTCTCATCTCATGACCTCTTTTCCCTTCTTTGAGAGCTAGAACTTCCCATGGTGAACTTCTCTTTCCAGAATTCCATGCCTTCTTTTCCCTCCCACTTACCTGTTGTCCAGGAGAGGTCAGATTGCTGTGCATATTGGAGGAGAACCCTTTCTTCCCTGGGCTCTTCATCTCACATGACATCACCACATCACCTCGTTCCTTGGACCCTCAGTGGTGTCACTGCTGGATTTTTCTTTCCTTTGGCTGGCCTTAGGGCACACCCAGGTTGACTAGCGTAGTCATGGTATTTAGATCCACTCACATTTTCAGTTTCTGTGTCTGTCTCTTGCCTGCTTCTGACTTCGCCCAGAGAAAGCTTCTCTTTCACAAGGGTTCTTAGATTTATGTTCACTGAGCACCTTCTTTTCTGAGGCAGTGTTTTACCAATATTTATTTTCCTAGTCAGTCTCGCCTTACCTTTCTTGTTATGCATGTCTTTGGTCCTGACCCATTCTCTGAGTCTGTAAAATAGAATTGCTGTATAATTTAATTACATGAAATCCTTTAGAATCTTAACACATCTTACACCTGATTTAATATTTTATTGTATCCAAATTGAACCAACCCTATGTGAATTTGACAGTGATTTCTCCCAGGGATCCTAGTGTATAAGGAATAGGACTTAGTATTTTCTATTTTTTGATATACCACATACCAGATACTGATTATGATGGACATTTAACCCTTTTTTCTCATTATGAAAGAAAGTTAGGAATTATTTCTTCCAGTAGCGCCAGTGTAACCTGAAAGCCTTTGAAAGAGTAGTTTTTGTATAGCTATCTGAAAGGAATTTCTTTCCAAAATATTTTTCCAGTGCTGACAACAAACACGCAGACACACCCTGCAAGGTGAGTGTACGGCGCCGCACAGTGGAGGCATCTGCTGCAGCCGTCGATGTTTGTGTCTTTGGTTGTACATTATGAGATCGTGACAGGGCCAGTAACCGTGTGTTCTCTCCTTCACCTTCCCAAGGTCACGCTGGATCTTCAGAACAGCACGGAAAAGTTTGGAGGGTTTCTCCGCTCAGCCTTGGATGTTCTTTCTCAGATACTAGAGCTGGCCACACTGCAGGACATTGGGAAGGTTTGTGTCTTGTTTTTTCTCCTTGGGTTGTGGCTGGCACACTTGATGTGCGTCTTCTGGGCTGAGTTCATCTAGGATGGAGCCTGGTTCTCCAGGGTGCCTCCGGGAGACTCCTCCCTGCCCCACGTGCTTGCGTCACAGGACCCAAGTCTGACTCTGCCTTAGCCATGAAGTTTAGGGGGAAGTTTCTATTTGTATTCTATTTTTGTCTGTTATCATGTATTAGCTTAGACCCAGTTTAGTTTGGAAAATCAGTGGGTTTCAAAATGTGTTTGTAGAGTCCTTTATTTCTTAACTTGACCTTTTCAAGTGGAAAGGGGCAAAACAGACGGGTAAGGGGGCGGGGCGGGAGGTGTGACTTGCTCTTTTGTGCCTGAGGAAGTAACAGAGCTGGGGTTGACAGTCATATTCTCTGACACAGATAGTCTCTGACTTATCTCACAGAAAGTCAGCGGCAGAGCCTGAGTTAAAAGTCTCGTAGATTTTCTTTTTCTTTTTTTTGGTGGCTAATTTCAGTTTTATTTATATTTGTTTATTTATTTATTATACTTTAAGTTCTGGGTTACATGTGCAGAATGTGCAGTTTTGTTACATAGGTATACACGTGCCATGATGGTTTGCTGCACCCATCAACCCATCACCTACATTAGGTATTTCTCCTAATGTTATCCCTCCCCCAGTCCCCTCACTCCCCATGGGCCCCGGTGTGTGATGTTCTCCTCCCTGTGCCCATGTGTTCTCATTGTTCAATTTCCACTTGTGAGTGAGAACATGCGGTGTTTGGTTTTCTGATCTTGTGATAGTTTGCTGAGAATGATGGTTTCCAGCATCATCCATGTGCCTGCAAAGGACATGAACTCATCCTTTTTTATGGCTGTATAGTATTCCATGGTGTATATGTGCCACATTTTCTTAATCCAGTCTATCATTGATGGACATTCGGGTTGGTTCCAAGTCTTTGCTATTGTGACTAGTGCCACAATAAACATACATGTGCATGTGTCTTTATCGTAGAATGATTTATAATCCTTTGGGTATATGCCCAGTAATGGGATTGCTGGGTCAAATGGTATTTCTAGTTCTAGACCTTTGAGGAATCGCCAGACTGTCTTCCACAATAGTTGAACTAATTTACACTCCCACCAACAGTGTAAAAGTGTTCCTATTTTTCCACAACCTCTCCAGCATCTGTTGTTTCGTGACTTTTTAACGATCGCCATCCTAACTGGCGTGAGATGGTATCTCATTGTGATTTTGATCTGCATTTCTCTAATGACCAGTGGTGATGAGCATTTTTTCGTATGTCTGTTGGCTGCATAAATGTCTTCTTTTGCGAAGTGTCTGTTCATATCCTTTGTCCATTTTTTGATGGGGTTGTTTGCTTTTTTTTCGTAAATTTGTTTAAGTTCTTTGTAGATTCTGGATGTTAATCTTTTGTCAGATGGGTAGATTGCAAAAATTTTATCCCATTCTGTAGGTTGCCTGTTCACTCTGATGATAGTTTCTTTTGCTATGCAGAAGCTCTTTAGTTTAATTAGATCCCGTTTGTCAATTTTGGCTTTTGTTGCCATTGCTTTTGGTGTTTTAGACATGAAGTCTTTGCCTATGCCTATGTCCTGAATGTTATGGCCCAGGTTTTCTTCTAGGATTTTTATGGTCCTAGGTCTTATGTTTAAGTCTTTGATCCATCTTGAGTTGATTTTTGTGTAAGGTATAAGGAAGGGGTCCAGTTTCAGTTTTCTGCATGTGGCTAGCCAGTTTTCCCAACACCATTTATTAAATAGGGAATCTTTTCCCCATTGCTTATGTGTGTCAGGTTTGTCAAAGATCAGATGATTGTAGATGTGTGGTGGTATTTCTGAGGCCTCTGTTCTGTTCCATTGGTCTATATATCTGTTTTGGTACCAGTACCATGCAGTTTTGGTTACTGTAGTGTTGTAGTATAGTTTGAAGTCAGGTAGTGTGATGCCTCCAGCTTTGTTCTTCTAGCCCAGGATTGTCTTGGCTATGCAGGCTCTTTTTTGGTTCCATATGAAGTTTAAAATAGTTTTTTCCAATTCTGTGAAGAAAGTCAGTGATAGCTTGATGGGGGGATAGCATTGAATCTATAAATTACTTTGGGCAGCAAGGCCATTTTCACGATATTGATTCGTCCTATCCATGAACATGGAATGTTTTTCTATTTGTTTGTGTCCTCTCTTATTTCCTTGAGCAGTGGTTTGTAGTTCTCCTTGAAGAGGTCCTTCACATCCCTTGTAAGTTGTCTTCCTAGGTGTTTCATTCCCTTAGTAGCATTTGTGAATGGGAGTTCACTCATGATTTGGCTCTCTGTTTGTCTGTTATTGGTGTATAGGAATGCTTGTGATTTTTGCACATTGATTTTGTATCCTGAGACTTTGCTGAAGTTGCTAATCAGCTTAAGGAGATTTTGAGCTGAACCAATAGGGTTTTCTAAATATACAATCATGTCATCTGCAAACAGGGACAGTTTTACTTCCTCTCTTCCTATTTGAATACCCTTTATTGCTTTCTCTTGCCTGATTGCGCTGGCCAGAACTTCCAATACTATGTTGAATAGGAGTGGTGAGAGAGGGCATCCTTGTCTTGTGCCGGTTTTCGAAGGGAATGCTTCCAGTTTTTGCCCATTCAGTATGATATTAGCTGTGGGTTTGTCATAAATAGCTCTTACTATGTTGAGATACGTTCCATCGATACCTAGTTTATTGAGAGTTTTTAGCATGAAAGGCTGTTGAATTTTGTCAAAGGCCTTTTCTGCATCTGTTGAGATAATCATATGGTTTTTGTTGTTGGTTCTGTTTATGTGATGGATTACGTTTATTGATTTGCGTATGTTGAACCAGCCTTGCATTCCAGGGATGAAGCTGACTTGATTGTGGTGGATAAGCTTTTTGATGTGCTGCTGGATTCAGTTTGCCAGTATTTTATTGAGGATTTTCACATCGATGTTCATCAGGGATATTGGCCTAAAATTCTCTTTTTTTGTTGTGTCTCTGCCAGGCTTTGGTATCAGGATGATGCTGGCCTCATAAAATGAGTTAGGGAGGATTCTCTCTTTTTCTATTGATTGGAATAGTTTCAGAAGGAATGGTACCATCTCCTCTTTGTACCTCTGGTAGAATTCGGCTGTGAATCCATCCTGGACTTTTTTTGGTTAGTAGGCTATTAACTATTGCCTCAAGTTTAGAACCTGTTATCAGTCTATTCAGAGATTCAGCTTTTTTCTGGTTTAGTCTTGGGAGGGTGTATGTGTCCAGGAATTTATCCATTTCTTCTAGATTTTCTAGTTTATTTGGGTAGAGATGTTTATAGTATTCTCTGATGGTAGTTTGTATTTCTGTGGGATCGGTGGTGATATCCCCTTTATCGTTTTTATTGAGTCTATTTGATTCTTCTCTCTTTTCTTCTTTATTAGTCTTGCTAGCGGTCTACCTATTTTATTGATCTTTTCAAAAAACCAGCACCTGGATTCATTGATTTTTTTTGGAGGGTTTTTTTTCGTGTCTCTATCTCCTTCAGTTCTGCTCTGATCTTAGTTATTTTTTGTCTTCTGCTAGCTTTTGAATTTGTTTGCTCTTGCTTTTCTAGTTCTTTTAATTGTGATGTTAGGGTGTTAATTTTAGATCTTTTCTGCTTTCTCTTGTGGGCATTTAGTGCTATAAATTTCCCTCTACACACTGCTTTAAATGTGTCCCAGAGATTCTGGTATGTTGTGTCTTCGTTCTCATTGGTTTCCAAGAAAATTTTTATTTCTGCCTTCATTTCGTTATTTACCCAGTAGTCATTCAAGAGCAGGTTGTTCAGTTTCCATGTAGTTGTGTGGTTTTGAGTGAGATTCTCAATCCTGAGTTCTAATTTGATTGCACTGTGGTCTGACAGACAGTTTGTTGTGATTTCTGTTCTTTTACATTTGCTGAGGAGTGTTTTACTTCCAACTATGTGGTCAGTTTTAGAATAAGTGCAATGTGGTGCTGAGAAGAATGTATGTTCTGTTGATTTGGGGTGCAGAGTTCTGTAGATGTCTATTAGGTCCGCTTGGTCCAGTGCTGAGTTCAAGTCCTGGATATCCTTGTTAATTTTCTGGCTCATTGATCTGCCTAATATTGACAGTGGGGTGTTAAAGTCTCCCACTATTACCGGGTGGGAGTCTCTTTGTAGGTCTCTAAGAACTTGCTTCATGAATCTGGGTGCTCCTGTATTGGGGGCGTGTATATTTAGGATAGTTAGCTCTTCTTGTTGAATTGATCCCTTTACCATTATGTAATGGCCTTCTTTGTCTCCTTTGAACTTTGTTGATTTAAAGTCTGTTTTATCAGAGACTAGGATTGCAATCCCTGCTTTTTTTTTGCTTTCCATTTGCTTGTTAGATCTTCCTCCATCCCTTTATTTTGAGCCAATGAGTGTCTTTGCATGTGAGATGGGTCTCCTGAATACAGCACACCAATGGGTCTTGACTCTTTATCCAATTTGCCAGTCTGTGTCTTTTAATTGGGGCATTTAGCCCATTTACATTTAAGGTTAATATTGCTATGTGTGAATTTGATCCTGTCATTATGATCCTAGTTGGTTATTTTGCCCGTTAACTGATGCAGTTTCTTCATAGCGTCAGTAGTCTTTACAATTTGGCATGTTTTTGCAGTGGCTGGTACTGGTTGTTCCTTTCCATGTTTAGTGCTTCCTTCAGGAGCTCTTGTAAGGCAGGCCTGGTGGTGACAAAATCTCTGCATTTGCTTGTCTGTAAAGGATTTTATTTCTCGTTCACTTATGAAGCTTAGTTTGGCTGGATATGAAATTCTGGGTTGAAAATACTTTTTTTAAAGAATGTTGAATATTGGCTCCCACTCTTTTCTGGCTTGTAGGATTTCTGCAGAGAGATCTGCTGTTAGTCTGATGGGCTTCCCTTTGTGGGTAACCCGACCTTTCTCTCTGGCTGCCCTTTCCTTCATTTCAATCTTGGTGGATCTGATGATTATGTGTCTTGGGGTTGCTCTTCTCGAGGAGTATCTTTGTGGTGTTCTCTGTATTTCCTGAATTTGAATGTTGGTCTGCCTTGCTAGGTTGGGGAAGTTCTCCTGGATAATATCCTGAAGAGTGTTTTCTAACTTGGTTCTATTCTCCCCATCACTTTCAGGTACACCAATCAAACGTAGATTTGGTCTTTTCACATAGTCCCATATTTCTTGGAGGCTTGGTTCATTTCTTTTCACTCTTTTTTCTCTAATCTTGTCTTCTCGCTTTATTTCATTAATTTGATCTTCAATCACTGATATCCTTTCTTCTGCTTGATTGAATCGGCTGTCGAAGCTTGTGTATACTTCACAAAATTCTCGTTCTGTGGTTTTTAGCTCCATCAGGTCATTTAAGCTCTTCTCTACACTGGTTATTCTAGCCATTAGTCTAACATTTTTTTCAAGGTTTTTAGCTTCCTTGTGATGGGTTAGAACATGCTCCTTTAGCTCGGAGAAGTTTGTTATTACCGACCTTCTGAAGCCTACTTCTGTCAATTCATCAAACTCATTCTCCATCCAGTTTTGTTCCCTTGCTGGTGAGGAGTTGTGATCCTTTGGAGGAGAAGAGGTGTTCTGGTTTTTGGAATTTTCAGCCTTTCTGCTATGGTTTCTCCCCATCATTGTGGTTTTATCTACCTTTGGTCTTTGATGTTGGTGACCTACGGATGGGGTTTTGGTGTGGGTGTCCTTTTTGTTGATGTTGATGCTATTCCTTTCTGTTTGTTAGTTTTCCTTCTAACAGACAGGCCCCTCAGCTGCAGGTCTGTTGGAGTTTGCTGGAGGTCCACTCCAGGCCCTGTTTGCCTGGGCATCACCAGCAGAGGCTGCAGAACAGCAAATATTGCTGCCTGATCCTTCCTCTGGAAACATCGTCCCAGAGCACGAAGGTGTCTGCCTGTATGAGGTGTTTGTTGGCCCCTACTGGGAGGTGTCTCCCAGTCAGGCTACATGGGGGTCAGGGACCCACTTGAGGCAGTCTGTTCATTATCGGAGCTTGAATGCCGTACCGGGAGAACCACTGCTCTCTTCAGAGCTGTCAGGCACGTATGTTTAAATCTGGAGAAGCTGTCTGCTGCCTTTTGTTCAGATGTGCCCTTCCCCCAGAGGTGGAATCTAGAGAGGCAGTAGGCCTTGCTGAGCTGCAGTGGGCTCTGCCCAGTTCGAGCTTCCCTGCTGCTTTGTTTACACTGTGAGCATAGAACCACCTACTCTAGCCTCAGCAGTGGTGGACACCCCTCCCCCAGCCAAGCTCCTGCATCCCAGGTCGATTTCAGAGTGCTGCGCTAGCAGTGAGCAAGGCCCCATGGGCGTGGGACCCGCTGAGCCAGGCACAGGAGAGAATCTCCTGGTCTGCTGGTTGTGAAGACTGTGGGAAAAGTGCAGTATTTGGGCAGGAGTGTACTGCTCCTTCAGGTACAGTCACTCATGGCTTCCTTTGGCTTGGAAAGGGAAGTCCCCCGACCCCTTGTGCTTCCCAGGTGAGGCAACACCCCGCCCTGCTTCGGCTTGCCCTCCGTGGGCTGCACCCACTGTCCAGCAAGTCCCAGTGAGATGAACTAGGTACCTCAGTTGGAAATGCAGAAATCACCTGTCTTCTGTGTCGATCTCACTGGGAGCTGTAGACTGGAGCTGTTCCTATTCGGCCATTTTGGAAGCATCCCTTGTTTTTTGAGGTGGAGTCTTGCTCTGTCGCCCAGGCTGACGTGCATCGGCACAATCTCGGCCCACTGCAACCTTTGCCTCCTGGTTTCAAGCGATTCTCCTACCTCAGCCTCCGGAGTAGCTGGGATTACAGGCACCTGCCACCATGCCTGGCTAATTTTTTGTATTTTTAGTGGAGATGGGGTTTCACCACATTGGCCAGGCTAGTCTCGAACTCCTGACCTTGTGATCCACCCACCTCAGCCTCCTAGAGTGCTGGGATCACAGGTGTCAGC
Source organism: Homo sapiens (assembly GCF_000001405.40). Lineage (NCBI taxonomy): Eukaryota > Metazoa > Chordata > Mammalia > Primates > Hominidae > Homo > Homo sapiens. The sequence goes on from NC_000004.12 coordinate 3,167,357, forward strand.
CACCACGCCCAGCCATATTTTCAGATCTCCCTCTCTTTGCCCTAAACCACTGTGCTTAATAAGTAGTTTTTAGTGGCCAGCAGTCTCCATGTATAACACATTTTAGCAAAATGGAAAATACTATATGTTTTAAATTTGAACGTGAGATTATACTGAAATAAAAATCATCTAACTGGGATTCTTTAAATAGTAAGATTTTCTTTTTTGTATGTGGGTTTTTTTTTAACCTTATTATTATGACTGTCATATATAGAAATGGCTGTTTTTCAGTTACAGTCAGTGAATGTATCAAATGCTGCCTTATCCAAATAATAAAAGTAAATTATTAATAAGTCACAATTTAATGAAGATTGATGTTAGTTGATCTTTATATTCTTGAAATCAGCCATATGGTTGTGTGTGTATGTATATATTTTTAAAGGTACATAAAGATAATAAGCTCATCTCTGAAAATTTTTACATTTGGCATAAGAATAACTGGATAATTAAGCATCTTATTCTCTGGCCTGTGTCTTTACAGTTAAAGGTAGATTTACTCACCTCTCCTTTTTTGTTTTTCTAAGTTCATCTTTTTTGCTGTTTCAAGACAGAGGCCCATTTTAGCTTTCTCGCATATCCTTTTGTTTGTACTTTGGAAGCCTCACCTGCTTAATTGTTGAGTTTTTATCCGTGGTCTTTTAGAGGGGGATATGTAGGGTAGAAGCTTTCACAGGTTCTTGTTTGCACTTGGCCCCTGACTGTTTTGAGGAATCTCCCTCACTGACTCACAGCATGGCAAGGTTTCAGATCTCTTTCTGCCACACAGCAGTTCTGAGGCAGCTGGAAAGATATCCAGATGCTTAGATTGTCAGGCCAGGCTTGAGATATACAAACTATTGAGCCTTATCTGTGACCTTGCTTAGGTGAAGGCATCAGAGCCCCTGCACCAACATGCATAGGCCTCTGCATGTGTGCGGGGCTGGGTGTTGAGGTCTGAGCACAAGTGTAGCTGGAGAGGTGAGCTTGATGTGGCGACGGGTATGAGCAGGTTTTCTTCAGACTTCTGTGAGTTTACCTAGTTCCAGGATTTAAAGGCACAGAGACTTTAGAATTAAAATAGAATCATTTTCTTTTTCTAAATAGCAACACTAGGAATAAAAAATAATAATTCCACATTCTTGACAGGTAATGTTTTTTCTTGTCTTCTAATCCTTATTTATTCCATACTCATTTTTATACATAATTGAAATGTATTATGCATTGGATTTTTCTTTTGCATTATATTATAGACGATTTTTCATGTAACTCCTTACTGTTCCATTTTATATGTTTTGTCTGGTTTAAGACTTTATCTGCAAACCGGGAAACTGTCTCTACAAAAAGAAAAACAAAAATAGTTGGCCGCAGTGGCATGCGTCTGTGGTCCCAGCTACTCGGGGCTGAGGTGGGAGGATTGCTTGAGCCTTGGGAGGTTGAGGCTGCAAAGAGCCATGATCATGCCATTGCACTCCAGCATGGGTGACAGACTTTATACTGTCTGTTTTGGGTGATTTGATAATGATATGCCCTGATGTAGTTTTTTTATATCTTGTGTTTCTTGTGCCTGGGTTTATTGAGGTTGGGTCTGTGGCTTCATAGTATTTTTAAAGTTTGGAAAATTTTAGGCCATTCTTTCTTTCTTTCTTTCTTTTTTTTTTTTTTGAGACAGTGTCTCGCTCTGTCGCCTGCGTTGGAGTGCAGTGACACTATCTTGGCTCACTGCAAGCTCTGCCTCCTGGGTTCACGCCATTCTCCTGCCTCAGCCTCCTGAGTAGCTGGGACTACAGGCGCCTGCCACCACGCCTGGCTAATTTTTTGTATTTTTAGTAGAGACGAGGTTTCACTGTGTTAGCCAGGATGGTCTCAATCTCCTGACCTCGTGATCTGCCCGCCTGGGCCTCCCAAAGTGCTGGGATTACAGGCGTGAGCCACTGCACCCAGCTAGGCCATTATTTCTTCAAAGATTTTTTTTCTGCCCTGCCTCCCTCCTTTTTTCCCTCTCTTAAAGGGGCTGTGATTTCCTGAATGATTGCTTAGTGTTGTCCCATAGCTTACTGATGCTCTTTTCAGTGTTTGATTGTTTTATGTGTTTTCTGTTTTGTATAGTTTCTATTATTGTGTTTTCAAGTTCTCTGATCTTTTCTTCTACAGTGTCTACTCTGTTGTTAATCTGTTAATCTGTTGTTAATCCTGTCCAGCGTATTTTTTTTTTTGTTTTTGAAACAGTCTCACTCTGTTGCCCAGGCTGGAGTTTAGTGGTGCGATATCAGCTCACTGCAACCTCCACCTCCCAGGCTCAAGCAATTCTTCTGCCTCAGCCTCCCGAGTAGCTGGGACTATAGGCACGTGCCACCACACCTGGCTAATTTGTGTATTTTTATTAGAGATGGGGTTTCACCATGTTGGCCAAACTGGCCTTGAACTCCTGACCTCAGGTGATTCATCCGCCTCGGTCTCCCAAAGTGTTGGGATTATAGGCATGAGCCACCGTGTCTGGCCCCTGTTCAGTGTATATCACTAATTTTGTTTTTATCTCTAGAAGTTTGATTTAGGTCTTTTAAAAATGTCTCCCTGTGTTTCTGTTTAGCTTTGTGAACACAATTGTAATAACTGTTTTAATATCCTTCTCTGCTAGTTCTAAGATCTTCTAATAACTTCCCAGTTCTTGGTGTTTCTCATTGGTTGATTGATACTCCTCGTTTTGGGTTGTATTTTCCTGCCTCTTTGTATGGCTGCCAATTTTTTATTGGATGCCCAACCTTGTGAATTTTACTTTGTTGGATGCTATATATTTTTGTGTTCCCATAGATCTTCTTGAGCTTTGTTCTGAGGTTAGTTGAGTTACATATAGATGGTTTACTCTTTTGGGTCTTGCTTTATAATTTGTCAGATGGGTTGGAGCAGTGCTTAGTTTAGGACTAATTTTTTTTTTGGACTAATTATTCCTCTTTAGGAATAATTAGGTACCATGCTTAGGAGGCAAGACCATCCTGAGTACTCTACCTAATGAACCAGAAAGTTTGGGTTTTCCAGTCCGCCTGCTGAGAACAGTGACTTTCTAGCCCTGTGTGAGCGCTGAGCTCTGCTCCTTCTAATCCTTTCCAATGCTTCTTTCCCTGGCCTCAGGGAGTTTTCTCACACACATATCTCTGCTGAGTACTCGAGAGGGACCTTCCCCAGATCTCCAGAGCTCTCTCTGTCTTGTTTTCTCTTCTCTGGTGCTCTGTCTTATGAACTGTGGCTGTCTTGGTCTCCTTAGATTCTCAGCACCTCTTCAATTCAGAGGGTTGCCTGTCCCTCCTCCTTGTGCCACAGCCTAGGAACTCTCTCAAAGCAGCGAGTTGGGGCAGCCATAGGGCTGACTTAGTCTCTCGTCTCCCAGGGATCACTGTCCTTCATTGCTCATGTCCAGTGTCTTGAGGACTCTGGGTTTTGTCTGTTTTGTTTTTTGGTTTGCTTTGGTTGTCTCAGGCAGGAGGGTAAACCCAGTCCCTCACCCTCATTGTGCTCAGTAGTGGAAGTCTCACTCTATTACATTAGATATTAGTATTTGTAGCAGAGCCCTGGTTCCCTGGTACTTGGGGAGCTCTTGAAAGGCCAGAAACAGCATGCTTTCTCACCTTTTCCAGGGCTTCAGTTTCTGGTGCACATCAAGCATTCCATACACATTTGTTAAAGTCCTTTGTTAGACAAGTAGTGATTCACAGGTTCTATTTGTAATTTTTTCAGTTAACATGTATTGGGTATCTGCTGGGAGCTAGTAAAAACAAAAAGTGGTGTGTGACAAATTCAATTCTGACAAGAACAACCTTAAACACTTAGAATATACTTTGAGCATATCAGAATTTTAAAAATGTGTGGCCCTTGAGTATTTGAAACCAACAAGAATCTATTGCTTATTAGTAGAGGATATTTTGTTAAACAAGTGGAGAGAGAGGCATTTTCAGTCTAATTGGTGTTGGCTTTTAGCAGCTGATGGAAACCAGTTCGTGATTAGCCAGGCAGTGGTGAAACAGGCTGTGCATTCTGAATGCCTAGGTATCTAGGCATTCAGAATGGTGGCGCTCTTTGAGTTAGCATCTTCTTCTTTCTTGATTCTTTTTTTTTTTTTTTTGAGATGGACTTTCGCTCTTGTTGCCCAGGTAACAACTCCAGTGCAATGGCGCCATCTCGGCTCACTGTAACCTCTGCCTCCCTGGTTCAAGCGATTCTCCTGCCTCAGCCTCTCAAGTAGCTGGGATTACAGGTGTGCGCCACCACGCCTGGCTAATTTTGTATTTTTGGTAGAGATGGGGTTTCACTATATTGGTCAGGCTGGTCTTGAACTCCTGACCTCAAGTGATGCACCTGCCTCGATCTCCCAAAATGCTGGGATTACAGGCGTGAGCCACCACTCCCAGCCCCTTCTTGATTCTTGAAAAGGACATTGGGTGCTGTACATCTCGTTATAGATGTTGATAAAAATGCTTGTGAGAAGAGTAACATTAAGGTAGTTATTTGGTCATTTTTGCAGATTATTTTAAGACAATTCTAGGACTGATTTGTGGTAAATCACACATTGCTGTATCATAGTTGTGTTCACTGAACATATTCAGGGGCTCTACAGATGCAGGGCTCTTAGCTGCTTTGCACACTTCTGAATTCCTGCCCTGCGAACAGGACTGGATACCTAATAGACAACAGGTACTTGATAACAGTTTATTGAATTAATGAGTGAATGAACAGATACATAAATGCATGAAAGAATGGTTGTAATGTATATAACTTGGATTTCAAGACTTTTTACTGACTGTTCAAAATAAGAAATTGAAAACTTTCCTCTGATTTTCCTCTACTATTTACACAATTTAAATGGAAGTTATCTTGTACCTTCAATTTCTGTCTAGGATTCGTACAATAACGGGTCATCTCTGAGTCGCTTAATGTCTCACTTGTCTTTCTACAGTGTGTTGAAGAGATCCTAGGATACCTGAAATCCTGCTTTAGTCGAGAACCAATGATGGCAACTGTTTGTGTTCAACAAGTAAGAGCTTCATTCTTTTCCTCTTCTGTTAAGACGTTCGGGTATGACAGCAAAACGCTGCTACTCCTTAAGAGGCAGGCGCTGTTGGCATAATCAGCTGGGAGGATTGTGGGGTCCAGCGCAGCACTTTTTGGCTCAGTCCATGATTGAGCCAAGAGGCCATCCTTCCCTTCACTCCCCAGGAGGACGAGGTCTGTCACTGTGGAGGGCAGAGGACACCAGAAGCTCCTCTGCAACCTCGCTAGTTAACTTCCAGTCCCTCGGAGTTTCTGTTTAGAATGCTCAATCTCATTTAGAATTGCAAGGAAACCCAAAACGCCTATTTAAGGTACAAACAGCACTTCATACAATATCTCATGAGGTATTAATAGTGATTCACAGGAAGAATTTCACGCTGTGAGTCTTTGCTAACATATCCAGTTATTTACAGATGGATTTGATATTTGTGTGGGAGATTCTTAAAAGTGTTGTTCACGCCACATTGTTGATGCCTCATTTTTTTCACTGTAGTTGTTGAAGACTCTCTTTGGCACAAACTTGGCCTCCCAGTTTGATGGCTTATCTTCCAACCCCAGCAAGTCACAAGGCCGAGCACAGCGCCTTGGCTCCTCCAGTGTGAGGCCAGGCTTGTACCACTACTGCTTCATGGCCCCGTACACCCACTTCACCCAGGCCCTCGCTGACGCCAGCCTGAGGAACATGGTGCAGGCGGAGCAGGAGAACGACACCTCGGGGTAACAGTTGTGGCAAGAATGCTGTCGTTGGTGGAAGCACGAAAGAGCAAGCAGGAAATACTTTGTAAAAGAATAAAAACGAAAAATGTTAGCGAACATCTTCTAATAGTCTGCTGTATTCAGAGAACTCTAGGAGATATATATGGTTGATGCAAAGATGATTTAAGGCATAGCCCGGCCTTCCAAGAAGTGTGTGGCCAGTGAGTGAGATGGGCTTGGGACTTACACATCTCAGAGGTGGGGGTAGAGGAGGAGGAACACTGAGTGGGCTGAGAAGCAGCCAGCTCTCATTGCCAAAGTGTGTCAGCAAACCAGAATGCAGTTCATAATGTCCCCACCCATTCAAAGCACAGGACCTGTAGAGTGGTGTGGCATGTGTTGGTGGCACTTTTCAGGCCTGTAACAAGGATGAAAGAACAGCTTCATAGCAGCACAGTAGTGCTGGTGTTCAGAGGTGTGTGAAGGCCATAGAAGCATCTTGGATATATTACCTTGTGTTTTGTCAGCTTTATGACTAGAAGTCTCTTTTCACTTAAATTTGTTTTTTTTTTTTTTGAGACGGAGTCTTGCTCTGTCGCCCAGGCTGGAGTGCAGTGGTGCAATCTCAGCTCACTGCAAGCTCTGCATCCTGGGTTCATGCCATTCTCCTGCCTCAGCCTCCCGAGTAGCTGGGACTACAGGCGCCTGCCATCACGCCTGGCTAACTTTTTTTTGTATTTTTAGTAGAGACGGGGTTTCACCATGTTAGCCAGGATGGTCTCGATCTCCTGACCTCGTGATCTGCCCGTCCCGGCCTCCCAAAGTGCTGGGATTACAGGCGTGAGCCACCGCGCCCGGCCTCTTTTCACTTAAATTTATGTTTGTGTTTTTAATGCCTAGTATACAGGACTTCTTAAATTGCCTTAAGTATGAACAGGTATTTGAGTTGCTAATCTGTATAGTAGCAATAATAGAATCCCTTGTTTTTCCTTTTATAAATTTAGCGATTAAATAGCTACAATTAAAACACTAGAGTCAGGAGTCAAGGAAAATACCCATGTTCCAGGCTGTATGTTAGTGATGTACTTACTATATATTGGAGTTTCAGGAGTAAGTCTGTTTCAATGCTTTCTGTAACCATTTGGGGTATTAATAAGCATGTGAGTGTGTGCATGTTTGGGTTAATTTCATATATGTTTCTTAGAAGGGATATCATTGATGTAAATATTTTAAAGGCTTGTCCTCCAAAAAAATCATGTAATTTCTTCTAAATTACTGATCTTTTAAATGACCTTCACCTTTCTCTCAAATCTCACTTAAGACTGGGCTGAGTAGTCAGTTTCCTGTAGCAGAAAAAAGCTCAGACTTGAGTAGCCTTCTGCGAGTGAGGAGACTTGATGGCTGTCAGGCAGCTGTAAACTCTAAATAGAGTGTCATTATCTGAAGAGGGCGATGCTGCCACACTGAGTGGCCTTTCAAGTTGTTTCTCAATCTGACACGTTCTGATCGTGTGAATGTGAAATTGGTTTGAGCAGGAGTATATCTGAGTGCAGAGGAGATTATTTAAAGATATTCTCATTCTCTGCTTCCCTTTTATTCCCATTTGGCAGATGGTTTGATGTCCTCCAGAAAGTGTCTACCCAGTTGAAGACAAACCTCACGAGTGTCACAAAGAACCGTGCAGATAAGGTAAATGGTGCCGTTTGTGGCATGTGAACTCAGGCGTGTCAGTGCTAGAGAGGAAACTGGAGCTGAGACTTTCCAGGTATTTTGCTTGAAGCTTTTAGTTGAAGGCTTACTTATGGATTCTTTCTTTCTTTTTTTCTTTTTTATAGAATGCTATTCATAATCACATTCGTTTGTTTGAACCTCTTGTTATAAAAGCTTTAAAACAGTACACGACTACAACATGTGTGCAGTTACAGAAGCAGGTTTTAGATTTGCTGGCGCAGCTGGTTCAGTTACGGGTTAATTACTGTCTTCTGGATTCAGATCAGGTTTGTCACTTTTATCTTTCATCCATCATACCTGTTCCTAATTTAGTACAAATTACCCTAAAAGACACTGAAATCTACTTTAAAGAAATGTGGTCTGCATGTTTCCCTCATCAGTTGCTGCTGCTTATCTTTTTCATGCACCTAGCTGGTGCAGAAGGCCTGGGGCATAGCCAGCCTCAGCAAGTCAGCATCCTTGCCCCAGCTCCCTGGACTCAAGGCTAACCTGGGGTTGGCTGTTAGGGATTTCCAAAGGTTTGTCCCATCCACTTGCCTCCCCTCCAAAATAAGTTTGAATTTAAATTGTGAGATACAATTAAGATTTATTGTTTGGGGAACATTTTTGCAAAATCTAGAGTTAGTTTAAACAGATTATCAATTATTACCATAATTGATCATCTGCAGTTTCAAGCTATCTAACAGGTTCACTTACCTCTTTAAAAAGGAATGGAATTTAGCAGGACAGTAACTGAGACCCGTGCTCCTGGAGTCCATGTGGGAGCTGTGTGGCTCTGCACAAGCATTTGCACGCTTCCCCTCTTGACTGCATTACCTTCCTCCTATAGTTGCTGTGGGCACCAGATTCTGGCTAGTCCTGTCCCTTCATGATGCACATTTTCCTCAAGATTCGTCCCAGTTAAATCACTGCAGATGAAACTGCCTTTTCATCGTCAAAATTTAACTGTCATTTTTGAGCCGTGATCTTGGGCTACTTTCTTATGTGGGGTAGGAATATTTGTGAGTTAGAAATATTACACTTCTCTATTTCCTTCTAGACGTAAATCTGTTAATCCTGTCAGCACTGTTACTCACCTGAAAGGGTCTGTTTCCCTAGGAGAACTGAGGGCACTCGGTCAACACTGATTTTCCACAGTGGGTATTGGGGTGGTATCTGCTTGTTTTTTTTGTTGTTGTTGTTTGTTTTTTTTTGTTTTTTTTTTGAGATGGAGTCTCGCTCTGTCACCCAGGCTGGAGTGCAGGGGTGCGATCTCGGCTCACTGCCAGCTCCGCCTCAGAGGTTCACGCCATTCTCCTGCCTCAGCCTCCCGAGTAGCTGGGACTACAGGCACCCACCACTACGCCAGGCTAATTTTTTGTATTTTTAGTAGAGACGAGGTTTCACTGTGTTAGCCAGGATGGTCTCCATCTCCTGACCTCGTGATCTGCCCGCCTCGGCCTCCCAAAGTGCTGGGATGACAGGCGTGAGCCACCGCGCCCGGCCTGGGGTCTGCTTTTAATGAAGGAGGCATCAAGGGGTGGGCTTTGCGTTGGCCTGATGCTTTCATCTTTCTTTCACAAAACCTGTCCGAAGAAAATCCGTCTAAATGGGCCATTGCTCTCCTCAGGAAATAGTCATTGGGAACTTCTTTTCCTTTCCTTTGACACTAGGAGGCTGACTGGGGAGAAGCCCTGGTCTATGGCTGTGGGCAGCAGGGGCTGAGAGGAGCAGGCTCTCAGGGGGGCACGGGTACCCCAAGGGAAGCCAGAGCCCTGATTTGTTCCATTCTAGTAAGAACAAAGACTGCTCTGGTTTCATGTTTGTTCTGATTGCCTTTCATCAACCGGTCCCCTTTCTCCCAGTTCTTAAGATTCAGTACAGTGACAGTTTTATGAACAAGAATAGAACACTAGAACAGACAAACCATTGAACTCTATGCTGATAAAGATTTATTGAGCTCCTGCTGTATGTTTGCATTCTGCCCAGAGGCTCTGAGAAAACCAGGCCATATGCTCCATGCTTTATCCATGGAAGCTCCCCGTCAGGTTGGGAAAGCTGACAGCTGCAGGGAATACAGTGTGACACAAAACTGGCTCCCATGCAGCCCTTACGTGTCGCCTCTCAGATGGTTGGGGGACGAAGGTCGACTCCTTTGGGTATCTTATTACTAAACCAGTTTCAGGGAATCTGTGCCACCCTATCTGCCATTAACGTGAACAGATGAGTCCCCAAGGTGTAATTTTGGGTATTGTCTGATGTCTCTTGGAATTTATTATTTGTTTTTCCAATGAGATTTCACCTCAGGGTATAGTAAAGTTGTTGAGGGGATTCCTGGATGTGTTCTGCAATTATCTAGGCTGATTTCAGAATAGAGTTATGCTTATAGTCAAATTTATCAGCTGTCAAGAATTTTATTTAAAATTTATGCAGATAAGCAGGAGGAAAAGAAGCCTGGTTTTTACATTTTAATCCTATTATTGATGTGAAATTTTATTTTCCTTCCTGTAGGTGTTTATTGGCTTTGTATTGAAACAGTTTGAATACATTGAAGTGGGCCAGTTCAGGTAATAGCATTTTATTATTTTAGATTTTTTTCTTCTTCTTGTGTACTTACATGTAATTTAGGTTATTAAGTGAATGTTTAAACTACTGTTAGGCATTTTTGCTGTTTTCTTTAAATGGAAATCTGACTAACATACTGTGCATTTTTGCTTCTCTTAAAAATTAATGTATATCTCAAGACTTGTTTGGAAGTAGTTATGTATCTGAAAATTCCATATGTTGTCAGTATTCATTGCACATTTCAAAGCATTTAATTGTGTTGACAGATGGTGGAATGAAATCTTGTGGTGGAGCACTAGTTTTTAAATCTTCTTAGAGAAAGCAGTTTTATATAATGTTGTCTTTAGTAATTATTATGCATTTGTATTCTCTGCAGCTTTTTCTTGCTAGATGTTGAGGTTTTAATACTTCTTGCTAGTCCATTACAGGTTTATAATTATTAAAAGTTAAAATTCTTTTAGTACCTAAAATGCTTAATAAACATTGTAATTAGGAAAATTTAGTGCAGAAGGAAAGTGTTCCCAGATTCCCTGGGGTCTGGAAACATAGTGTTTATTCTAATTACATGACACCTCCACTGTGTTTTGGGGCAAGTTACTGTTTCTCTTTTGAGTTTCAATTTCTTCAAGAGCAAAGAGGCAGAGGAGAGCTAGGAAGATCGTAGCTGCTGTGCCCCTGTGCCGTCGGGTGCCTTCTACCTGCTGCCTCCGAACCTTTACACATGTCCCTGCTCTGCGCGAGGGCACAGATGGGATGCACTGTGGCAGGGGTGGGGTTAGAGTAGATCACGGACACCTGTTAGCTTGATGTGTGCTTGCTGTCAAGGTTGAATCATGAATTATTTTATGTTGCTTATATTGATATGTATCTTAATTTTAAAAGAAAGGTCTAAATGGATGTTTTTGTTTTTAGGGAATCAGAGGCAATCATTCCAAACATCTTTTTCTTCTTGGTATTACTATCTTATGAACGCTATCATTCAAAACAGATCATTGGAATTCCTAAAATCATTCAGCTCTGTGATGGCATCATGGCCAGTGGAAGGAAGGCTGTGACACATGGTAACGGGACACACCTTTCACTGTCGTCTTCGGTGTCGTGATGTGCTTGGCAGTGTTCGTTTTCATATACCCACTTTGAACGTTGTCAGTGGCAGCCATGTGCTTCTCAGGCTCTGCATGTGTGTCTGTGTATGTGAAGGTACTGGTTAGAGACGTTTCAAAAGAGAAGAGAGCATATTCTTTACTCTCAGCAATTTGTAATCTTCTCAGGGAAAAAAATTCAAGAAACAGTAAGATAACCTAAGGTACAGATAGATTCTGAATATAAAGTTCCTGTTCATTCACATGAAACGCTAAAAGTTCTTCACTTGATCTTAGCCAAAAGGCCAAGAAGCGATGCAACACTAAAAATTCTTAAATCGAACTTGCCGTGAATTAAATTTTGATCTCTCATCCAGTGGTATTGGAGATATAGTTTGACTTGGGTTCAGGGCTTTCTGTTTTGCCTGATGATTTTGCTGGAGCTTAAATAAGGAACCCAGGAGATGGCCAGCTGTGCAAGCCCCCAGCCTGTGGAAGGAGCTAGTGTGGTTTTATGAATGAGTTGCAAATCTTTCTTTGAGCTTTTTGAACTGATCTTCCAGCATTGCCCTATTGACCCCTCCCTGACTCCTTTGCTGGAATCTGTAGGCTTTTGAACTTTGACAGGGACACATCCTAAGACCCTTGCAAACTCCCAGATGTGAGAATGGCACTACTACTTAGAGTCTTTTCGACTCAGCGTGTGTGCAGAAGAGCATCAACCGGGCTGTGTTGCGAGGCAGGGCCTTGGCTGACCTCTCAGTGTTTACATAGCTAAGCCAGTTAGTGTTTGCCACGGCCTCACAAGGGCTTCAGATTCACACAGCCAAAGTATAGATTATTAAAGGCATAGGTGTTTGGTTTCCTGGACTTGGAGGGTCTTTGGACAGAAAATCAGTAGGCAACCACACCCAGTACTTTGTGCTGGGAAGCTTGGTCATCTGTGAGAGGGTCAGAGAGTATACCCATGCGTGCATGCCACCGAAGGGTCAGTGAGTATTCCTGTGTGTGCATGTCTCAGGGCCGGAGAGAGTATGTGTCACTGAGAGGTCAGAGTGTTTGTGTGTGTGTCAAAGAGGGTTGCATTGTGCCCTTCACTGAGGGGTCAGAGGGTGCCTCGCGTGTGTGTGTGTGTACGTGTGTGTGTGTCACTGAGGGGTCAGAGTGTGCCTGTGTGTGTGCTTGTGTGTGCGTACATGTCACTGAGGGGTCAGAGTGTGCCTCTGTGTGTGTGCTCATGTGTGTGCATACGTGTCACTGAGGGGTCAGAGTGTGCCTCTGTGTGTGCTCATTTGTGAGCGTATGTGTCACTGAGGGGGTCAGAGTGTGCCTCTGTGTGTGTGCTCATGTGTGAGCGTATGTGTCACTGAGGGGGTCAGAGTGTGCCTCTGTGTGTGTGCTCATGTGTGAGCGTATGTGTCACTGAGGGGTCAGTGTTCCTATGTGCTCATGACATTGAGGGTCAGAGTGTGCCTGTGTGCCAATGAAAGGCATTTCTTATATTTTTTTATATGTGGTCATAGTAGACCAGTTAATTTATTTTGACTCCTGTGTTAGACCAAAATAAGACTTGGGGGAAAGTCCCTTATCTATCTAATGACAGAGTGAGTTTACTTAAAAAAGCATAATAATCCAGTGGCTTTGACTAAATGTATTATGTGGAAGTCTTTATTGTCTTTTCAGATGAATCAAGTAGATTATTCTTGAGACCAGGAATGTTGCTGTTTTGGTTATTTGGAAAGTTTTATCATTTTCAAATTGACTTTTGAATTTGAGTCACCTTTTTTCAGAAGTGGTGTTAAATTATAGGAGCCCTAGGTTTTTTTTCTTTTTTTAGAAGTCATCACAAAATGATCAGTGTTCAGAGGAAGAGCTTTGACCTTCCACATGGTATAATGATTGATAACCTTAATTCATCTCTTACCATAAACCAAGTATGTGTAAGGGTTTTCTTTATTTCTTGAAAGCATTTTGTAGATGTTGAGAGCAGTTTTCCAAATGTAATTTCCATGAAATGCCTGATAAGGGTACCCTTTTGTCCCCACAGCCATACCGGCTCTGCAGCCCATAGTCCACGACCTCTTTGTATTAAGAGGAACAAATAAAGCTGATGCAGGAAAAGAGCTTGAAACCCAAAAAGAGGTGGTGGTGTCAATGTTACTGAGACTCATCCAGTACCATCAGGTAAGAGGAATGTATGTTGGAACTGTCGTGGATACTTTATTGACCCGTGCAGATGGAAGGAAGTGCCATGTGGTAACGCTCACTGTTAACTGTGTTACTTTGAACCAGGTTTGGGCTTTCTGGGGCCTGGGTAGATGCCGGTGCAGGGGGATGGGGAGGGAGGCGGGGGGTGGGGGGGTGTGGTGGAGTTGGGGAGGTGCAGTGGCAGGAGGTGTTGTTGGTGTGTATCCTTTTTTTTTTTTTGAGATGGAGTCTCTCTCCGTCGCCCAGGCTGGAGTGTGGTGGCACGATCTTGGCTCATTGCAAGCTCCACCTCCCGGGTTTAAGCAATTCTCCTGCCTCCACCTCCCGAGTAGCTGGGATTACAGGCATGCACCACCATGCCCAGCAAATTTTTTTTTTTGTATTTTTAGTAGAGATGGGGTTTCACCATGATGGCCAAGCTGTTTCGAACTCCTGACCTCAAGTGATCCTCCTGCCTTGGCCTCCCAAAGTGCTAGGATTACAGGCGTGAGCCACCATGCCCAGCCTGGTGTTTATCTTTAAAGTGGGCACAGCCACAGGAGTTCACCTGACTCCTGGTCTGAGAGTCACGAGATCGTTCAAGATAGTGAGGCCCTCTTTTCCAAAACGAGGACCAAAAATCAATTGACAGTGTTGGTCAAGATGGTAGAAACCTTAAAATGATAGAAATCTCAACTCTGAAATAAAAACTTTATTTGTATATTTATTTACCACTATTTTGACATAGGGCTAAGGTCTTTTTCTTTGAGCTGATTTCTGGTTTTGTTTTCTTAAAGTGGCATAAGAATTCAAAGACATTTTGAGGAAGGCTGAGTGCAGAAATCTCTCTTTTTAAATGACTTCTCCTTTCTTTTAACTTGCACTGTTGTCTAGCCCTCACTTATTTTGTCAATTCTTTTTAGCTGTTTGTCTTTGAATCTTCATAAAGCCATAGCTTTTCTCATAAGAAGCAGCACTTTCTTTGTTCATTCATATTTTAATGAACCCCTGTAGTATTTAATTAAATACTTAATGCCTAATTAAATCACATAATTGCAATGCAAAAGTACATGTATCATAAAGAGGTCTGAAAATGAGCAACTGGCAAGCAGGTGGTGGCAGGCAGAGCTGCTTGGGTGGGTGGGTGTCATGGAGAGGAGTTCATCAGCCACATGTTCAGTGAGCTCTGGATATGTCTGTTTAGAAATGATCACTAATAAACTTGTGCTCAACCATGTATACCTCTGGGAAGCAGGTGCTCTTCAGTAGATTGCCTCTGCAGAGAACACAGAATTGAAGTGAATGTCCACAAAGGCAATGAGCCACCTGCAGAATAGTTTAGTCAAGGCTGTGTTTGAAGTTTGCCAAAGATTAATATACATTTGATTTTCATGTTGTGCCTTTTCTCTGATTGTGAAATATTACAAATTCTATACAAATAACAATGATGGCAAATCCTCCTGAGCAAAGTGTGCACCTTGTATGTGCCCTAGAGGAACTTGTGTTTCGTTCTGATTCCCCTACATTTCTCATGTCATAGAGTGGGGGTTGCATTAGTGTCCCCCTGTCCTCGCTGGGATCACATCTGTTTGGATCCTAGAGTCTTCCAGCTGAACTGGGACAAGTATAACAGACGGACACGTAGGGGTGGAAAGGCGTCTCTTGGCAGCAGACTTTCTAATTGTGCACGCTCTTATAGGTGTTGGAGATGTTCATTCTTGTCCTGCAGCAGTGCCACAAGGAGAATGAAGACAAGTGGAAGCGACTGTCTCGACAGATAGCTGACATCATCCTCCCAATGTTAGCCAAACAGCAGGTTTGTCCCCGCAGCCTTGGCTTGTTGTTGCATAGTGATGGTAGCTTAAGGTCCTTGTGAAAGGTGGGTGGCTGGAATCAGCTCTTCCTTCAGTCCTAATCTGTGCCTTGATAGCAGTTCTCCGTGCTAGTCATGGGACAGCTGACTTCATTTCTTCTCACAATGCCATCTCAGGTTGGTATTGCCCACCTACTTTACAGGGGGGATCCCACAGCTCCGAGAGGTTATGGAGGTGATCAGGCAGCACACAGCTTTAGAGTGCTGGGGTGAGGGCGGGCCAAGGCTAACTCTAAAGCCCGAACCCTTACCTCCTACACTGCCTCCTGCATTCTGGTCAACCCAGTGTTTTATTTGGTGGTTAGATTTTTGTTTTTGTTACCTTACTGCTTGTAATTTAGCAGTTTTCCTTTCCTTTCCCTTCCTTTCCTTTCCGACAGGGTCTCACTCTGTCACCCAGGCTAGAGTGCAGTCGTGTAATCTCACTGCAACAACCTCTGCCTCCCAGGTTCAACCAATTCTCCCACCTCAGCCTCCTGAGTAGCAAGGACCACAGGTGTGCACCACTACGCCTGGCTAGTTTTTTGTATTTTTAGTAGAGATGAGGTCTCGCTGTGTTGCCCAGGCTGGTTTTAAACTCCTGGGCGCAAGTGATCCACCAACCTTGGCCTGCCAAAGTGCTGGCATTACAGGTGTGAGCCACCTCGCCTGGCCTATTCATCACTAATCAGAATTTCTATGATCAAATGACATGAATCATTGTTTCCACAACTGCAGTGGAAGGAAATGGCCTGGCAGTGCCAGTTTCAGAAGCAGCCTGCCCCCAGTCAGGCACAGGCCACTGTGCCCCCAGTGTAGCAGCACCTCTGTAGCTCACAGAGAAGGGTGGTGGGGACCTCCTTGAGGCAGCTCTGCCAGAAAATCTCATGAGCTGCCTGGCACAGCTTGAGGTTGCCTTTTAAGTGGACTCAGCAAATACATGTTTGTTCATCTTGATTATACACAATAAACAACTACTCTGTATAGTACGAGTAGTCCGTGGTTTTTGGCATTTGATTTAAACTTAGAGGCATGTGATATTGATGTTACTGCCTTCATGACTGCACCCCCATTCTGATTTCATAATGGAATGTTATCTTGAGACCAGTTAGACAACAGGACAGGGATCTTGGCTTCTGGTGAGATTGACAGCAGTTTTAGTGTGGTCAGGGTCTCCCTGCCTACAGATGGTTTTAGAATGGTGCCCTGGAAGCTTTATCCCATTCTTTTCTGTGCGTAATCTGAGTAGAGTGGAGATCGAAGGCCTGAATACATAGTAAATACCTGACTTAATATCTGCCGCAATGGAAATTGTGTGATACAACATTTATGAAACGCTTAGTGCAGCACCTGCCAGGTAGCTCACCACAGGTGCATGTTGCATTCAGAAGTAGTGCTAGATACTATCCTGTTACTGGCAGTGCATACATCAGTGATCAAAGCAGATTAAAGAAAGACCCCCTGCCTTCTTGGAGTGAAGATTTTGTTGGGATGCGGGTAAGGGGACAGACAATAGAAAAGCAAGTGAGTGAAGTCTATACCATGGCGGCTGATCAGGAACACCGTACAGAAGAATCCAGGAGGGAAGAGAGTTAGGTGGTGTCTGCGGTGGGAGTGGCATTGTTCAGCTGGTGATGAGAAGAAGCTTTGGTGATCTGGTGACATTTGAGTGAATTTGCAGAAAGGAAAGATACAAGCCTAGGAGATACCTGGGGAAGGAACATTCCAGGCAGAGCAAATAGCAGTGCAAAGGCCCTGGCGGGGGGCGGACATGCTGTTAGGGTACAAGCAATGAGGGTGGAGGAGTGGGGCAGCCATGGGGAGGGAAGGGAGTGAGGCCTGGTGGGGTGAGGCCAGTGTGGAGGAGCCTTGAGAGGGTTTGCGCTGATGTGGTGTAGGTTTTAGCAGGATCATTCTTATTCCTGAGTTGAGAATAGCCTTGAGGGGGAGGTGAGGGCAGAGCAGGGCCACCCATGTGAGACCCGGCACTGGAGTGGAATGGCCCAAGTCAGCATCCCTTGGCAGCATGAAAGCAAAACCAGCAAGGTTTGCTGGTGGCTTAGATGTGGCATGTGAGAGAGAGCAGGGCTTTGGGGGTGATTTCAGGGTGAGGACAGGGTGGCTGTGGACAAGGTAGGGCAGACATTGGGGGCAGCAGGAGGTCAGAGCCTGTCTGGATGTAGCAGTTGAGACCCCATAGGTGCCTAATGAGGTGAGGCCAGCATCAGGTGTATGAGCCTGGAGTTGTCGAGAGACTGTGGGGCAGGGGGTCAGCATCTGAGATGTCCACTCACAGTGGACCCAGACTGGCTGGAGAGGAGGAGGAGCTTGAATACCGAGCCTGCTGAGTCCCAGCTCCAAGGTCAGGTAGGTGAGGGGAGCCAGTGCTGGGGCAGGGGGAGTAGGCAGGTGTGGGGTTCCTAAAGCCAAGATTTTTTTTAAGGCATTTTGTGCAGGAGGGCGACATCTGCTGTCAGCACCTTGGGAACTTGGCCCAGGTTTGGCAGCACCGAGGGCACTGATGAGTGCTTTTGGAGGAGCAAAGGGAGCCAAACCCTAATGGGAATGTGTTCCTGAAAGGACAGGAGAGAGACTTGGGAAAAGGTTTTACTTGAAGAGGGAACGGAGAAATAGGGCAGTAGCCAGAGGAGGAGAGGAGTCGGCAATGGGTTAAGTTGGCAGAAATGAAGGCCTGTTTACGCACTGAGGGCAGAAGCAACAGGGAGGATCAGTTCATGACACAGGAGACACAAATCGCCGTTGTGGTGTTCACAGACATGGGTTAGGATTGGCTGCATGGATGACAGAGCACTGTGGGTTCTCCCAGAGTTGCTGGGGAGGAGGCAGAGTTGGTGAGCACAGGCGAGGGTCCAGGATGCAGGAATCCTGGAGCTCAAGTCAGTTGTTCCCTTGTTGTAAGATGTGGCCAGTGTTGTGAGCTTCACATCTGTGCCTTGAAAAACACCACATCTGTTTGCAGAGTTGTTTACTATGTATACACACTCAGTAGAAACAAAAATTGGAAACAGTCAGTGCCCACCATCAATAAGTAATGGTTGAACACACTGTGGTATAAGCTTAGACTATTTTAGCTTGGGCTATTTTGCATGATTAAAAATGTTCTGGCCAGGTGTGGTGGCTCATGCCTGTAATCCCAGCACTTTGGGAGGCCAAGGCAGGCAGATTGCTTGAGCTCAGGAGTTTGAGACCAGCCTGGGCAACATGGTGAAACCCTGTCTCTACTAGAAATACAAAAAGTAGCTGGGTGTGGTGGTGTGCGCCTGTAGTCCTGGCTAACTCAGGAGGCTGAGGTGGGAGGATCACTTGAGCCCATTCGTGCGCCACTGCACTCCTGGGGCACAGAGTGAGACTCTGTTAGAAAGAGAGAGAGAGAAAGAAGAGAGAGGGAGGGAGGAAGGAAGGAAGGAAATAAATGGAAGAAATGGAAGGGAGGAAGGGGAGGGAGGAAGGAAGAAAGGAAGTTCAGCCAGTTGCCTTGGGAGTTCTCCATTGCACTGGGTTAAGTGAGAAGAGCAGAGACGTTTATGATTTTTCAAAACAACTAAAACAAAACCTCTGTGGGTGAGGGGGCAAGGATATGGCTATAGGAACATGGGGCAGATTAAGAAAGGGATATACACACACCACTTAGCATTTGTTACAACTGTTGTGGGAGGGATGGAGTGCAGAAAAAGAAAAAAAAAAGTGCACACCATCCCATGTATGTGTATACAAAGGGACGCTTGGAAGACTGGTCCCCAAAATGTTGGTAATGATTGTGTCAGGGTGCTGCAGTGCTAGTTGATTTTTTTTCACACTTTTGTATATTTGAGTCTTTTACAGAAAGCATTTATTATTTATGTAATAAAAATCTAAATGACAAGATTTCTGTTATGGGAAAAATGTAGCTATACAGTGTTGTTGTAAAAATGTTTGCTTGGTTCACCACTGAACTTAAAATGCTTTTAAATGAGGGAAGGTGACGATGAGATGATTATGATGATTTGCCCTTGAGTTACATAGCTGGTGTACAGGAAGCTGTCGTTTCTTTTGGCTTACGTAGAAATGTTTGTGGTGTCTAATTCCACAGATGCACATTGACTCTCATGAAGCCCTTGGAGTGTTAAATACATTATTTGAGATTTTGGCCCCTTCCTCCCTCCGTCCGGTAGACATGCTTTTACGGAGTATGTTCGTCACTCCAAACACAATGGTGAGTCTCTCGCCTGGCTCAGCAGATGAATCTGGACGGCTTGTTCAGGCTCTGATTACTGGGACCACCCCCAGAATGTCTGAGTCAGTCAGTTTGGGTAGGGCTTCTTGAGAGTTTGCTTTTTTTTTTTTTTTTTTTTTTGGTGTGGGGGTGGTGCGGAACAGAGTCTCACTCTGTCGCCCAGGCTGGAGTACAGTGTCATGATCTCGGCTCACTGCAAGCTCTGCCTTCCAGCTTCACACCATTCTCCTGCCTCAGCCTCCCGAGTTGCTGGGACTACAAGCGCCCACCACCACGCCCGGCTAATTTTTTTGTATTTTTAGTAGAGATGGGGTTTCACCGTGTTAGCCAGGATGGTCTTGATCTCCTGACCTCGTGACCCGCCCATCTCAGCCTCCCAAAGTGCTGGGATTACAGGCGTGAGCCACCGCACCCGGCCTTTTTATTTTTTTTGGAGATGGAGCCTTGCTCTGTCACCCAGGCTGGAGTACAGTGGCGCTACCTCGACTCACTGCAACCTCCGCCTCCCGGGTTCAAGCAATTTTCCTGCCTCAGCCTCCCGAGTAGCTGGGACTACAGGTGCGTGCCACTGTGCCCGGCTAATTTTTTGTATTTTTAGTAGAGACGGGGTTTCACTGTGTTAGCCAGGATGGTCGCGATCTCCTGACCTTGTGATCCGCCCGCCTCGGCCTCCCAAAGTGTTGGGATTACAGGTGGCTCTCGCACCAAGCCAAGAGTTTGCATTTTTAGCAAATTCCCAGGTGAAACTAATGCCTGCTTTTCTGGGAGCACACTTTGGGACTCAGTGATAGAGAGGTTTATTGGTAGGATAGTAAAATAGGAGTTATTTTCTTTCACAAAATTGGCAATTGGGGGAAATTTAATCTTCCTTTTTTCTTCAGCTGTGACTTATGTATTATGTTTATTTTAGGCGTCCGTGAGCACTGTTCAACTGTGGATATCGGGAATTCTGGCCATTTTGAGGGTTCTGATTTCCCAGTCAACTGAAGATATTGTTCTTTCTCGTATTCAGGAGCTCTCCTTCTCTCCGTATTTAATCTCCTGTACAGTAATTAATAGGTTAAGAGATGGGGACAGTACTTCAACGCTAGAAGAACACAGTGAAGGGAAACAAATAAAGAATTTGCCAGAAGAAACATTTTCAAGGTATGCTTTCTATCTGAGCCTATAACTAACCCATGCCTTTTGGGAAGTCACGTGATGTTTCACAGTCAGTAAGTCTGGAATAATACCTGGTCTTGCTTCACTTCTGAGTTGGGTAAAGAAGTCTGTATCAGTGTAATTTTCTAATCCGTCCTGCATTATCTATGGCTCTTGGTTCATACCTGTCTTGAAGTTCTGTCATGTTCTGTCTCTTGTCCTCAGTAGAGATGCTACAGCAGTGGCTCGCCTCAGGCAGGGCAGGGCAGTGGGGTGGCTGTCCTGGGGGCAGGCAGTAGGGGCACGCTGACGTCAGGGAAGTTGAAACCCAAGAGAAGCCAGTAAAAGTGAGTCTCAGATTGTCACCATGTGCTGGCAGTTTTACACGCTGTCAGTAATAAAAGTCTTCTCCCTGCAGGGCAGCCTGCCTCCAATAAATACGTGTAGTATCAAATCCTGTCTTCCCTCATAAATTGTTTGGAAGCTCCCCAAGGACAGTGATGAGGCACTCGTAAGTGCTTGCTGCCTAGATGGGTCCCTCTCCACCTTTGCTAGATTCTGAGCATTCACTGAGTTAGAGCTGCTTCTGCAAATGTGCTGCTTCTGCTAAGTGGCTGTGACTTCATGCAGCCTTCACTTGGTTTGTCATCAGTGGAGATGCCCTGTGTTGTCGAAGGAGATAAGCCCAGTAAGCCTGCTGGGCACCTTTTGGTTTGCAGGTTCAGCAGGCAGCCCATGGCTTTCCCTGTGTCGCATTGAAGCAGCTGGCTAAAATTGATGATACATTAAATTCCTGTGACAGATGATCAGCTTGTATTTGTGTAATGGTGTACAGTTCACAAAGCTTAAAAAAATGCTACCTGCCATTTCATCCTCAGTGAGGAAGGTGATACACAGAGAGACCAAGTGACTGTGTCCACGGCGACGGCGCTCTGCATTTCACTTTAGCGGTTAATGTACTCTACCTATATTTTTACTTTATATTTACCATATATCTTTTCATGTATACTTGGCGTAAGTGCTTTATAGTAGTCACCTAATTCACTGTCATCTTTTTTGTTTCTTGGAAGGTTTCTATTACAACTGGTTGGTATTCTTTTAGAAGACATTGTTACAAAACAGCTGAAGGTGGAAATGAGTGAGCAGCAACATACTTTCTATTGCCAGGAACTAGGCACACTGCTAATGTGTCTGATCCACATCTTCAAGTCTGGTAGGTGAATCACATTAGTCTTCCTGGAGTGTCTCGTTCCCCATTCTGCACTATACACTCTCAGAGTGTAGGAGCTGTGCTGCCCGGTAGAAACTCTGCCTTGCCCAGTGTGCCAGTTGAAAATATTTGTTGCTGTAAGAGTACACCTGATACCATGTGACCCAGCAGTTCCACTCTTGGGTATATACCCAAAAGAATGGAAAGCAGGGTGGTGAAAAGATATTTGCATGCCAGCATTCATAGCAGCATTATTCACGATAGCTAAAATGTGGAACCAACTGAAGTGTCCCTCGATGGATGAATGGATAAGCAAAATCTGGTGTATATTTACAGTGGAATATTATTCAGCCTTAAAAAAAGGACATTCTGACACATGCTACAACATGGGTGACCCTTAAGGACATTATGCTAAATGAAATAAGCCAGTCACAAAAGGACAAATACTATGTGATTCCACTTACATGAGGGACCTGGAGTAGTTAATTCATAGATATAGAAAGTAGAATGGTGGTTGCCAGGGGCTGCAGGGGAGGGGAGTTATTTTTACAAGATGAAGAGAGTTATTCTAGAAATGAATGGTGGTGATGGTTGTATAACATTATGAATGTACTTAATGCTACTGAACTGTACAGTTAAAAATAGTTAAGAGGACCAGGTGTCATGGCTCATGCCTGAAATCCAAGCACTTTGAGAGGCCAAGGCAGGAGGATTGCTTGAGCCAAGGAGTTTGAGACCAGCCTCAGCAACATGGTAGGACCCCATCTGTACAAACAAACTAGCCGGGGATAGTGGTGTGCATGTGGTCCCAGCTACTCAGGAGACTGAGGCTGGAGGATCGCTTGAGCCCAGGAGGTTAAGTCTCTAGTGAGATGTGTTCATGCCACTGCACTCCAGCCTCGGCTATAGAGTAAGACCCTGCCTCAAAAAAACAAAACAAAACAAGACAAGAGCCAAAAATGGTTAAGATGGGCCAATCACAGTGGCTTATGCCTGTAATCCCAACACTTTGGGAGGTCAAGGTAAAAGGATCACTTGAAGCCAGGAGCTTGGGACCAGCCTGAGCAACATATCGAGACCCCTATCTCTACAAAGAAAATCAAAAACTAGCTAGATATGGTGGGCACATGCCTGTAGTCCCAGCTACTTGGGAGGCTGAGGTGGGAGGATCTCTTGAGCTCAGGAGTTCGAGGCTGCAGGGAGCTATTATTGCACTCCAGCCTGGGCTACAGAATGATACCCTGCCTCTTATTAAAAAAAAATCCAAAAAAAAAAAAAAGTAAACCTGAGAGCTTCCTCCTCCTGTGTTAAATTTGGAGGCCAAGATGTTTTTGTTACTTTTACAAATGATCAAGGACGGTGAAGGTTGGGCATGGTAGCTCACACCTGAAATCCCAGCACTTTGGGAGGCTGAGGCGGGGTGATCGCTTGAGCTTGAGACCAGCCTGGACAACATAGCAAGAGACCCCATCTCCACAAAAATAAAAAAATAAAAAAAAATAGCCAGGAGTAGTGGCATGAGCCTGAGCCCAGGAGGTCAAGCTGTAGTGAGCCATGATCATGCCACTGCACTCCAGCCTGGGCGAGATCGAGACCATGTCTCTAGAGAAAGAAAATGACAAGGACAGTGAACCCAAGAAAGTCATAAGATGCCAGCTGTGCAGCAAGCATGGAAAGCAGCCAGTCCAAATTAGGACAGTGTGTTTTCCAAGAAGAACGATCGTTTGTAATGAGAATGCTTTGCTTTAAATAAATGACTAAATAGCTAGAAGCCTAGTTCTAGGGGATAGGCACGTCTTTCTTCTCTCAAGAAAATAGAAAGGCAATTCTAATTTCTAGTAAC
The DNA here is from genome assembly GCF_000001405.40 of Homo sapiens. Classification (NCBI taxonomy): domain Eukaryota; kingdom Metazoa; phylum Chordata; class Mammalia; order Primates; family Hominidae; genus Homo; species Homo sapiens. The sequence continues at coordinate 3,190,934 of NC_000004.12, forward strand.
AGCAAACAGCATTAAGTCATGGTCCAAATATGAGGCAAACCAAAATGTGGCTTGATTGTTCAGCAGTTGATCTGTTGGAAGCCCTTGATATTAAAAAGGTTCTCCTTTAAGCGGCTTAGGAGTCACGATCAAAGACCTATAGAAAGAGATGCCATCCTTCTAGGATCCTTGGCTCTCTTGGGAACTAGATTCAGATAGTCATAATGTAAATACTGCTTGAGCTTTCTTTCTTTCTTTCTTTCTTTCTTTTTTTTTTTGAGACAGAGTTTCACTCTTGTTGCCCATCCTGGAGTGCAATGGTGCCATCTCGGCTCACCGCAACCTCTGCCTCCCAGGTTCAAGCAATTCTCCTGCCTCAGCCTCCCGAGTAGCTGGGATTACGGGCATGCACCACCACGCCTGGCTAATTTTTTGTATTTTTAGTAGAGACAGGGTTTCTCCATGTTGAGGCTGGTCTCGAACTCCTGACCTCAGGTGATCCACCCGCCTCGGCCTCCCAAAGTGCTGGGATTACAGGTGTGAGCCACCGCACCCGGCCCGAGCTTTCATTTTTGAAATCAATGTATGACTGAAACACTGAAGACTTACTGACTTAATTATGGTTTCAGAACAGAATGAAAATGTCTTCGGTTCTGATGAATATAAAAGGAAAACTAACCAAGTTAATTTGGCAAGTAGATGGTAGAGATAGAGGTGGGGAGTGGAAGGGGAACTAAAATCTTCACCTAGCATTGTTGGGATTATATGGTTACATCATCTGAAGTTGACAGACCAAAATATAGAGGCTTCAGAGGTCTCCAAATAGAACTAAACATGTAATTCAGATTGTTAGGAGGTAGTATAAATGAGCTAAATCTCATCTTTATTACGGTAGAGTTAATGGGTGATGTCTAAAGTTGTCTGAAGTCTATAAATCATGACAAATTATGATGTGGTGATTGTATTCAACAGTCTTTCAGTTGCAGGGATAAAACCCCAGTTTAAACTAGAGTAAGAGAAAGAATGTGTTGGTTTAAGCTCCTGGAAAGTGCAGGCAAGGGTAGTTGGTAGGACTGCATCTAGTGTTGTAATTCTGTGGTCTGCATTGTATATTTATGCATCTCAGCTCTGCTTTCTTCTTTTCATTTATATAATTTTTAAATTTTATTTTAAAGATAGGGTCTCACTTTGTCGCCTAGGCTGAAGTGCAGTGGCATGAAGTGCAGTGCGAGGCTCACTCTAGCCTCGAACTCCTGGGCTCTAGAGTTCTTCCTGCCTCAGCCTTCTAAGTAGCTGAGACAATAGGCATGTACCAACATGCCTGGATAGGTTTTAAAATTTTTTTGTAGAAATGGAAGTCTTGCTGTGTTGCCCAGGCGGGTCTTTAACTCTTAGCTTCAGGCGATCCTCCTGCCTCTGCCTCCCAAAATGCTGAGGTTATAGGTGTCACCCACCACGCCCAGTCTCATCTCTGCTTCCTGTGTTAGTTTTGTTCTCTGGTGGGCTGTTTTCACATGACCGAAGATGACCTCTAGCAGGCTGTGTTCTCAGCCCCTCAAGTAGGCCTATGTGATTGGCCTTGCATGAGTAATATGGGTGACCATAAACCCCTGAATGCTCTGGTCCACATGGGCCAAATGGGAGACTGGACAGCATTCCATTGATGAGGAGGTGGGGCTGGTCTCCGGGAGTAAGGGAGAGGAGCACATGCAGTAACTGATGGTCTGCTGCAAGGGATAGCAGCACAGCAGTTAGAATTTTGGAGGTAACTACCAGAACTGAAAACAGAAATGATAACAAGTAGTTGCCTTAAAAAGGGATGGGAGCAGGGTGCTTTTGTGATCAAAGCTCCTTTCTCTTACTGGATTTTTGTACACATTTTGCATACATATCTTAGAGTAAAAGATAGCATTTTCAGCCTTGGTCCATTTGAGGATACTCTTGGCGTGGCCCGCCTCCATGCTAGCAGGCTCTGGTTGTGCCAAGTTCAGTTGAGCATCCTGGCTCTTGCCTGCACGGAACTTCCAGTCAGTGCGTCAGTATCACAAGTCTTGATATTTCCTATGAAGAAGAACAGTAGTGCAGTGACAGACGAAATGGGTGGGCAGGCAGAGGCAGGATTTCTGAGGGAGAGAAGTAGCTAGCTTTTTGCAGAGAAGAGTTCCGGCACCCAAGAGAGCAGCTGAGAGTACAGGCAGGCAGGCAGGATGCCGGTAGGGCCCGGCCGCACGGCGCCACAGAATCCTGGAGAAAGGGGCCTCTTCATGGCCTCTGCATTCAGCTGCTGTCACCCTCCGCACAGGCCATGGCCAAAATTTAATTTTCATAGTGGACTCTAGTTTTTGAGCCTTACTTGCTATTATTGAAATAATTTTCTTGTTTCTTTTTAAAGATCTTCGGATTATGCTTCACTGACCACTGTAATAAGTTTAAAGTTGAGAAAATATGGCTTGTTAATGAATGATAGGTCAATTTTAGTATGTTGGTCATTTTAATATTTTGCCACCAGTTGGTTTGGATTTGATGCCAGGAGGAGACAGCCTCATTTCTAAGGACTAGTCTTGCCTTTGTGGGATAAGGGTGGTGTGTTCTGTGTCCTTCTACATGTCCGAGCGATCTCTGTGCAGCTCAAATGTGGTCACTGTCTTATTGCGCTGATTTCCTCTCCTTCCATCTCACAATTGAGGCAAAATATTGTTACTGTTGAAGTGTTGTCCAATAGGACTTCCAGCAGAGACAGGATGTCTGCACTGTCTAATTTAGTTGCCTTTAGCCACATGTGGTGTTCTGTACCTGAAATGTGGCTGGTCTGATTGGATAGCTTAATTTATAATTTTATTTAATTTTAATTAACTTAAATTTAAACAGCTCTGTGTGGATAGTGGCTCCTGTATGAGACAGTGCAGGTCTGTTGAGAAGCAGCTTTACTGGTGGGAGTGGAGGGCTTGGAGAGGGCACGTGGGTTTCCTGCTGGTATCTTTTGACCTTATTTAATCTGCCCAACATTTGCAAGTAAGTTGTGTGTGTGTGTATATATAAATGTGTGTTTCTGTCTTCTTGTTTCCTTTGACTGCATTTATTTGAAAGACACTAGGTGGCAGAATTACTGTATTTGATTGGTTTCAAGATAAGAGTTGAAATAATTCATCTCGTGTTTTTATATAAGTAAGGTGTGTTTAGCATGTAAAATTGGTAATATGTATTCACGTACTGCTTAAACAAAGGCTATGAATTCCACCCATAAACCGAAAATGAAGACCTTTAAATTTGTCCATTTCAGGCGTGGGTACTTCTTAAATAATACCTGGTTCAGGAACTAGTCAGAATGGCACCCTTGACTTTTTGTTTCCTGCTTTTCCTCTTGTTGGGAGAGGAGGGTATTCATCCCAAAGTGGTTTGCCTATTTCACATTCCATCTAGGATAAGCAGAATAGCCAAGAAAGATAGCTGTCCTCCTGTTTACAACATTTGGGGTAACCAGCATCCCTCTCTTTTGGTCCAAGATAGACTGGTTTAGAAACAGATGATGGCACCAGAGGCCCAGGAGGTGGAAACATCAGCTTTGTTTGTTGTCCATGTGGCTGAATTAGAGCTGTCTGGCCTTGTAGCCTCAACACGGCCTTCCAGCTTTGCTCACCGTGATTTTCAAGGACACATCTTGTGCTCTTCCCTGCCTGCCATCCAGACTATACCCAGTCAGGGTGGCAGGAGCTGCTGCCCCTTCCTCCCTGAGTCCTGGTCGTGGGTGGTGGAGATGTGCCATGACGCTCACGGAGGCATGCTCACCCCTTCCTCTGTGGCAGAGGGGATGGCTGCACGACAGCTCTTCCCTGTCCTTTCCAAAGCGTCTGTGGTTCCACTTTTTGGGGCAAAGCAGGAATACTGGAAGAGAGAGAAAGTGGTCCTTTCTATAGTAATAAAGTTGACATTGATTCAAGTTCATGCTTGGGGAAAGGACAGGGCTACTAACAATTATAATGCTGGGAGCAATGGAATTTTCTCATGGGTATGTGGTAGGTTTAATTTTAATTATCCCAGTTAATTCTTAGAACTGCTCTGTGAAGTATTTCCCGCTTTGTGCTTAAGTTCTAAAAGATCCTGTGCCAAAACCAAGAATGAAAACCCAAGCATTCTTTCTTGCCCATCGATCTTTCTCTCATCAGGCCACTTCTTGGGTTGATAGTGGTGAGTGTAGCCGCTGCCACTTTCAGAATACCCACCATGGGCCCCAGTCACTGTGTGGCGTGGAGAAGAGATGGTTCTCTCTGTGTCATAGCTGAACAAGCCCAGCCCAGAGAGGTTTCTGCCCTAGGAGCTCTCGATGGTGGAATTGGGATGCGATCCCACATCCTGCCTGTTTTGAAAACAGCATTCTTTATTTCCAATTCCTGCTTCCATTGTTCCTTTTAATATTTCTTTGTTTAGCTCACAAAAACACGGCTTGCGGAGCTGCTGCGTGCAGCTGTAGCTGTTTCTCTGGGTGCAGCCTGCATCCGCCTTCCTGCCCGCCTCCTTTCCTGCACTGCCATCGTGGTCTCCGGGCACTTGGTCCCTTTCTCTTCCCCTGAGTCCCTTTGGCTCCCCTGTGCCACCCTTGTGATCCACAGGCTCTGCCTTCTTTCTGTCTCAGACTGCTGCTCATCACTACTCGGGACCCTAGGAAGGGAGGTTCCACCGAGAAGCATCTTCTCATCTCAGCCACGTTCTCAGTGCCACTGTTGTCTTTGTTAGGTAATGGTAGCTACTGTAACAAATAAACCAACATTTCCATGGCTTCACACCAGAGAAGGTTGTTTCTTGGTTTTATGACAATGTATTGAGGGTGTTCTTGGTTCACGGATGGTTTTCCTCCATGTGGGAATTCGGGGACCCAGGCTCCTTTCCTTCTTTTGGTTCTGTTCTCCAGGCCTTCACATCCTCTGTGTCTGGTTGGGGACAAGGAGAGGGAAGGTAAAGAAGGCTTTGTGGCCTTGGATAAGTGACAGGCATGCCTTTGCTGGTGTTCTCTCGTGGTGACAGGTCACAGCCCCACCCTGTAAAAGGGGACTGAGAGACGTCGTCCTGCTGCTTCCCAGCAGCAGCACTGTGGTCTCTGATGTGTTTTCTGTGAGGATAAAAACAGGTGATTCCAGGATGAGGAAAGTCAGGGAAACCCTTGGAAGGAGGGGACCAGGCGGGTGTCACCATGGGATTAGTGGTGGCTTCAGAATGAGCTGCAGCGAGTGCCATGCCTTCTAAAGCTTTTGCTATTCTGATATGCCCACACCATGCCCAGCAGGTGTCTGCCTTGCTCTCCGCAGAGAGAGTGATGAATCCTTCTCATGAGCCTCTGTCCAGTTGTTCCTCCCTCCACCTGGAAGGGACCCTGGGTTCCTCATAACATCCCAGCGGAACAGGGGACCTTCTATCCTGTCCCCAAGTTCATCCTCATCCTCCTGCCGGCTTCCTGGCCCCTCTTATGTCTGCTTCCTGACGCCACATCCTTCTGGATTCTCTGGAATTGAATTTTGCCTTTGATGCTTATTTAAAAATATCCATTGCAGGCCAGGTGTGGTGGCTCACACCTGTAATCCTGTGCACTTTGGGAAGCCAAGGTGGGCAGATTGCTTGAGCCCAGGAGTTTGAGATTAGCCTGAGCAACATGTTGAAATCCTGTTTCTATAGAAAATACAAAAATTAGCTGGGCATGGTGGCGCACACCTATACTCCCAGCTACTCAGGAACCTGAGACAGGAGGATCAATTGAGCCCCGGAGGCCAAAGCTACAGTGGGCTGTGATCGTGCCACTGTACTCCAGTCTGGTCAAACAGAGTGAGACCCTGTCTGAAAAAAAAAAAAAAATCCATTGCATACTTCACCGTAGCGAAACATGTATGTCTTACCTTTCCTTTCCTGCCTGTAGCTGCTCTTTTACACTTAACAGCCACACTAAGCCAGCCTTAAATGAAAAACAAACCAGCACTTCCTGTGCCCTCCTGCTTCCTTCATGAGGGGTCCCTCCCTCTGTGTACACTCCATTCTCATTGCCCATGGTGGTTTGTTTCCCTCTTGTTTCTCAAGCCATGGCAGCCTGCCTCTTGCCCTCTTTACTAAAAAGGCCTTTGCAGAGGCTGCCTGTGTTCTTTCTTTCTAGGTCTCTCTCATCCTAGGCCCTCCAGCTTGATTCTGTGGAGCTGCCCTCTTGTCACTCAGTAGCTTGTGGGGTCTTCTCTGTCTAGCCACTTAATTGATTGTGTTCCTCGAGTTGCTGTCCATGGTCTCTCGTTACTGTTTTCTCTGTGTTTCTGCCTCTCTCCTTGGCCTTGGTAGGTCCATCCCCTTTGTGACCTTGGCTGTTGCTCTCATGGACAACTTTCTCTTGCTGGTCCTTGTAGTCCTGGCATCCAGCTTCTCGACACGGGACTTGTCCTGCCAGTACCTCAGACTTGCACTTAAAATTGAACTAGCACCACTGTCACTCTCCAGGGCCTCTTCTTGTTAATTAGATCATTAGGGATGTTCAGAATCCCAGCATCATAGTATGTTCCTCCTCCCGCTACCCCAGGAACCCTAACCTTACCTCCTCCTCTCTATCTACTAGGAGGTGGCCCTCAGAGTCCGTCTCATCTTCCACCTGAACTTCCCTAATAGGCTCCAGCAGCTGCCACCCCGGGGGCTGAGTACTTCCTCCATGCCTTGTGCAGTGCTGAGCCCTTTACCTGGGTTCTCCTGTTTGCTCCTTATTACAGCCCTGCGAACAGATACTGCTCTTAATTCCATCTTACACCTAAGGAAGCTGAGGCCCCAGGTAAGGTGCATCCAAGGTCACCCAGGTAGTAGACAGTAGAGCCACGATCTGAACCAGGCAGTCTGATTCAGAGCCTGTGTTGACACTCAGCCACCTAGAACACAGCTTGGATTGTGGGTTTCTATTACCTGTTCAAAACCCCTACATCCCGGGTCTGTCCCTGCACGTGCTCTGTGGCCTGGCTGCATCTTCCTTGAAGGCAGTGCATGCCTCTTCACTCAGGGGGCCCATGCAGGAACAGAGGGCCCCACAGAAGGATGAGGCCAGTGCAGAATGGGCTGGAGGGGACAATGCTGACCAGGAAGCAAGTGTAGAGAAATCCCAGGAAACCTGGAGGAGCCAGAGACAAGGCATTAGAACTCCTCGTCGTGACCTGGTCTGCATTCTCTGAGTGTGCTGCTTCTGTTAGCTCGCTTCCTTGGTCTCAGGTTATAGTTTAAGGCATTGTGGAGCCCTAAAAAGCCTGTACTCTGTTTTTACCTGTTTTAGGACCCTTTCACTTTGGGGATGTGTTGATTTTTTTTTTTTTTTTTTTTTTTTTTTTGAGATAGAGTCTCGCTCCATTGCCCAGGCTAGAGTGCAGTGGCACGATCTTGGCCACTGCTGCCCCTGCCTCCTGGGTTCAAGCAATTCTTGTGCTCCCGCCTCCCAAATACCTGGGATTACAGGCACCCGCCACCACACTCGGCCAATTTTTGTATTTTTAGTGGAGACAGGGTTTTACCATGTTGGTCAGGCTGGTCTCGAACTCCTGACCTCAAGTGATCTGCCCACCTTGGCCTCCCAAAGTGCTGTGATTATAGGCGTGAGCCACCACACCCGGCCTGAAATTTAAATCAGAAATAAAATTTTGATCCCAACAGTGATGCCAGGCAGCCCAGATCTGGGGGAGAGGGTGGCCTTGGCCAGCTGGGCCTTTCTCTGTTTCCCAAGTCTTGCTGCCTCTCCCTGCTGGGCTTTGCAGCCTGTGCATGTCTCTGTGCCTTTGACCTTGTTTATCCAAAGGAGAGGATAGAATGAAGTCATGATTCCTGGAGCCCTGAGAAGGATGCTGTGGAGAAATTTGCCGGTAGAATCTAGCTGAGTGTGTTGCTGAGGTGCCAGCATTGTGTGTGGGGAGGCTGACCGCTTGGCCTGCCTAGGCCCAGGATGCTCCATGGCCGGGCACAGAGGCCACTTGGCTGTCAGGTGTCAGGAGCCTGCAGAGGGCACACAGAGCCTGGACCGCAGGGGGGTCCTGCTTTCTCACCTGGCCTCCTTCAGCATTTCTGTCCCTCAGTCCTTAGCAAGCCCAGGAGCTGTTGAGTTTGGCAGGTGCCGAGTGCTGTTCCTGCCTGTGTAGCTGTGGCTCAGTCCTGTGGGGGCCCCGCTGTGGCCCGAGTGCAGTGATTCGAGGCGCTGAGTGTTCCCTGACTCCTTCTCCAGGAGCTGTGTTCAGACTTTCGCAGCTCTTGGCTTGGAGCTCCTGGAGGGCTTGGCATTGCCGACCAATGTGGAGGTCGACAGTGAGAGAGGAGGAATGCTAGCTTTCTTGACCAGTCCATTAAATAAGTGGGATATTGGCCAGGCACGGCGGCTCACGCCTTAATCCCAGCACTTTGGGAGGCTGAGGCGGGTGGATCACGAGCTCAGGAGTTCAAGACCAGCCTGGCCAACATGGTGAAACCCCCTCTATACTAAAAATACAAATATTAGCTGGGCGTGGTGGCAGGCGCCTGTAATCCTAGCTACTTGGGAGGCTGAGGCAGGAGAACAGCTTGAAACCGGAAGGTGGAGTTTGCAGTGAGCCAAGATTGCGCCACTGCACTCCAACCTGGGCAACAAGAGCAAAACTCTATCTCAAAAAAAAAAAAAAAAGTAGGATATCTGTTTCTGCTTAGAAAAATCAGAATTTTCTAAATGCCAGGTGTTCTGAATACGTAAGTATGGGAGACGACTCAGCCTGTTTCATTTTTATGTAAAATCTTCGCGTAGCCATGTGGCACTGGACCGAGATGAAAGCAAAGACATTTCTCCTTAACTTTGTTTCTAGGAATGTTCCGGAGAATCACAGCAGCTGCCACTAGGCTGTTCCGCAGTGATGGCTGTGGCGGCAGTTTCTACACCCTGGACAGCTTGAACTTGCGGGCTCGTTCCATGATCACCACCCACCCGGCCCTGGTGCTGCTCTGGTGTCAGATACTGCTGCTTGTCAACCACACCGACTACCGCTGGTGGGCAGAAGTGCAGCAGACCCCGAAGTAGGTTCATAATGCCCCACAGCCCAGGGCGCCAGCCCAGCACCCTGTCCTGAGACTCCCAGTAACCTGAGCTTTGGCCACCGTTAAAGCATTTTCATTTTCCATTTTTTGTGAGGGCTTGTGAAATTTCTGCTGCATATTAATATTCCTTTCATGGACAGCATATTATTGGGACAAACATGCGGTCCAGCTAAAGGCATTCAAAATAGCAGTTGCTTTCTAAATGCGATTTTCTTTGGCAGGTTCTTTGACACCATTGCATCTTGTGGGATATGCTTGTCATGCTCTGTGGCTCCTACTAAGTTCTAGTCCTTAAATTGGTTCCATAGCCAGACATGTTGCAATGTCTTAACCTCATTATAAAGTAAATGTGGTTCTGGTTATCCTTAGATAATGAAGTAACAGTGTAGCAAATTTCAAAACCTCTTGGAAATGTTATTTTACCATTCAAAAAGGCTTACTAAGGTTCTCGTTATGGGTGGCCCTCTTTTTGCAAAAGGTTTTCAGGCTTAAGCTCCATTTCTAGGTGCTCCAACACTCCATTATTTGTATATGTATGGAAATAAAAGCTGTGACCACCCCCAACCCTGGCCCCCGCCCAGCTGAATCCTCAGCACAGTATTTCTGGAAGGCTCAAGATCCCACGCTGGGGAAAAGAAGTTCTGGAGACAAAAGAGGGCAGGTGCTGCCGTGCCTCTCTGCTCAGTATGGATACTGGACCTTGTGCTGCCAGGGCTCCCAGTAGGGCCAGTTCATGGCACTCAGCTGGAAAGTCCACTGTTGGGAGGCATTCTTAACCATCCACTCTGTGCCGTATGTAGTGGGGTCTGGTCATTCTGTTGGAGGAGACAGACCAGTGACGACATTTGAAATGCTTGGTGGATGTCTTAGGCCTGTTACGATGACTGAGCACTGTGGGGGCAGGAGACAGAAAGTCAGTGTCTCCTAGTTCTGTGCTGCTTTAACGTGCATAGAAATCAGCTGCGGATTCAGCAGATCACTCCTTTTCTGACAGATGGGCCTGCTTACTCTGATGTTATATCAGAAAGCTCTGAATCTGGGAATTGTGTCCCCTGAATTGGAGTAACAGAAATGCTTAGATGATGAGTGTTTAAAAGAAATAAACCAAAGGTAAATTTAGTTTGGAATTCAGCAAGCGTCTTCATTCAGCCCTCTGAGGGCAAACTACAGCTTTTTGTAAATGTAGGTAAATTCTGTGACTGTTTCGTGACCCCCTCTGATCCAGTTTTCCTTTATAACCTTCTGTATTGTTCCTTCTATTATCCTGAAATAACATTAATAGATTAGGCTGGGCGTGGTGGCTCATGCCTATAATCCCAGCACCTTGGGAAGCCAAGGCGGGCAGATCACCTGAGGCCAGGACTTCGAGACCAGCCTGGCCAACATGATGAAATGCTGTCTCTACTGAAAATAACAAAAATTAGCCGAGCATGGTGACAGGTGCCTGTAGTCCCTGCTACTCAGAAGGCTGAGGCGGGAGAATCGCTTGAACCTAGGAGGAAAAGGTTGCAGTGAGCTGAGATCGCGCCACTGCACTCTAGCCTGGGTGACAGAGTGAGACTCCATCTCAAAAAAAAAAAAAAAAAAAAAAAATTAATGGATCAATGGATTTTTAACCTAATAATTAAATTTCAAAAAATATCGTTCTTTAATGGTAATGTAAAGGTAAAATTAAGATAATATGTAACAAGCATGTGAGTGTCTAAGGTGTCCCCGTGGTGGAAGGAAAAAATAAATCCCCATAAGTGTCCAAGATGCCCATAGAGAGCAGAGCTGTTCTGGTTTAAACCCCTGCTCTTAGCACTGTGTTTTTCCAGCTGTGGGTGGTGGGGGATGAGTATCTTTTTATTTCCATGAGATGAGAAAAATGAATTACTAGAAGTGTGAAATACAAAACACAGCTGCTCTTTTTTTAGCCATAGACTCAGCAGCCATAAAATTGCTGTATCCAGTTGCAGAAATTCCTGCTGCTTACTCTTGACCCTCTCTCGGTTTGTGTGCATCTCCTCTCAGGCTGGCTCCCAGATGGGAGCTGGCTCCAGGCGACACTGGGTGCTCTGCTCCAGGAGGTCCTTATGTGGGTCCTGCCCTAGCCTAGCCCCTCTCTTATGGACTCTGTCACTGTGGGTTTATGATTCACTCTCAATCTGTCTTACCTCTTGGTGAACTGTTAGAGTCCTGCCTATACTTTGGCGCTTGTGGGTGTGTTGTGGTACACATGATGTGTTGGTCACTTCCCAGCTCATCTTGTTCTGAGTCACCCTAGATTTGGGACATTCATTCGCCACCAGTACCGGGCGGTGTATGGCCTGAGATTTGGGGGGGCTTGTGCTGCTACAAATTGGGGCTGAATTTGAGTTGACAGTGGACCTTCTTTATGTCTACTGCTCATATTTGAATTGCAAATACTGCCTCTTCTCTTTCAGAGGCTCATTACCCTATAGCTGTATTATTGCAAAGTGCACAATTACAGCTTGAGTGTAAGTCACACTGCGCTGGCAGGACGGCCCACTGAGAAAGGGCACGTTTCCTGTTCGTTAGTTTTCACATTGACACATAATTTACAATACAGTAAAATGTACTTTTCTATCAACTGTAGTCAGTAACAGCCCCCCTCCCCCAACCACATCAAGATATAGAGGAGTGCTGTCACTTCAAACAGTTCCCTCTTCCTCTGCCACATCCTGCCCCTCCCCAGGTCTAACCACCAATCCGTGCTCTGTCCCTCTGTTCAGCCCATTGCAGAAGGCCATAGAAATAGAATCTATAGGCTAGGTGTGGTGGCTCATGCCTGTAATCCCAGTATTTTGAGAGGCTGAAGTGGGAGGATGACTTGAGGCTGGGAGTTCAAGACTAGCCTGGGCTGCCTAGCAAGACCCCATCTCCAGAAAAAAAAAATTTAAAAATTACAATCACGTCCCTGTAGTTCAGCTGCTTGGGAGGCTGAGGCAGGAGGATCACTTGAGCTCAGGAGTTAGAGGTTACAGTGAGCTATGATCGTGCCACTGTGCTCCAGCCTAGGTGACACAGCAAGACGTTGTCTCTGGGGAAAAAAGAAAGAAACGGAACCACGCGGTGTGCAGCCTTCTGAGTCTGGCCCCTTTCGGTGAGCAGTGTCTAAAGTTCTGTCGCGTGTTGCCCACGCGTCGGTGGCTCGCTCCTTGCAACTGCTGAGCATTGTATGGCTAGGCTGTAGTTTGTTTTCACTTCACCAGTTGGGAAACAGAGAAAAGGCACTTTTTAAAAAGTTTAAATCTGTAGAATTTTGGTTTTTACCAGTTCTCTTCTAAATCCTGAGGGATTACAGGAAAAGTTGTTGTATTTCAGAATATTCTTAGCTTGATGTGACCTCTGTCCCCGTTAAGGCCCTTTGCCGCAATGGGAAGGACGTCGCTCGGTCAGACCCTGAAGGTCAGAGGGGCAGTTTGGGAGTGTGTCAACATTTTAACTGTATGGACTAGAGCCAAGAGTCTCAAGGTTTATAATTCCCACGTATTCAAAAAGAAAAAAACAATAAAGTGAGAAGTCAGTGTAGAGTGAAATAACCTGTGTTAGTGGGGAAGAAGTGTTTTTAAACAGGATTTCCATAACGTATAACATCAACATGTTTAGAGTGGTGATGTTTCATTGGGAAACGAACAGTAAAACATGAAAGCAGGGAGGTTTTCATTCTGGCAGTTGGCAACTTTCACGGCAGATGGAGAATTTCAAAAGCAATTGCTCAATTATCAAACATAGCCAGTGTGAGTTCTGAAATAAAGGTGCTGATTGAATGTGCAGCTTTATGGTGGATTTTGCTATTCAGGCAAGCATTTTAATTTTCTGCCTGTTAAATTCTGTTTTCTTTAGTTTTTCATATGTGGTTTATTGTAGCTTAGGAATAGATAACTGAGAGTATATATTACACATACAACATTCTGATATGGCAATATTTAAAACAACTTGTCTGTTTTAGAACTAGAATTAAACATAATCATCTTCAGTATTTTGCAAATAAGCTCACTGCCATCCAGAAACATTGTCAATGCATCTGTTGCTCCTTCTAGAAGACACAGTCTGTCCAGCACAAAGTTACTTAGTCCCCAGATGTCTGGAGAAGAGGAGGATTCTGACTTGGCAGCCAAACTTGGAATGTGCAATAGAGAAATAGTACGAAGAGGGGCTCTCATTCTCTTCTGTGATTATGTCGTAAGTTTGAAATGCCTGTAAACGGGGTTGAGGGAGGTGGGGACCAGGAGAACATCCTGTGTAGATGACACTTGCATGGACCCTCTGGAACCCAGACCGCCCGGTGTCCTGCCAAGCTCCATCGAAACTAAATCTAGAATGAATGTTTACTTCTGCTGTGACATATAATTGGAGACCAGGCCTGGCCTTCCAGTCACTGGATTCTAAGTTGGACTGTGAGAGTTTTTGCAGCTGACTCATTTATCAAATGCCCGGCTATTGGCTCACGCCTACATGATGCTGGGTATGTTTGTTAATTTGAGGGAAGCAATGGAATAATAATAACTAATGATTTAAAAAACAAAGTAAGTGCATTGACTGTAGTGGGGTTCTGATTTTAAATTTTTTTAAAAATTAATACCAGGAGCAGTGGCTTATGCCTAAATTCCAGCAACTCGAGAGGCTGAGGTAGGAAGATCACTTGAGCCCAGGAGTTTGAGACAAGCCTGGGCTATGGTGTGAGACACCCATCTCTAAAAAAATAAAAAATAAAAAATTATCCAAGTGTGGTGGCTCGTGCCTGTAATCACAGCTCTTTGAGAAGCTGAGGGCGGAGGATGGCTTGAGCCTGGGAGTTCGAGACCAGCCTGGCAACACAGAGAAACCCTGCCTCTACCAAAAAAAGAAAGAGAGGAAGAAAGAAAAATTAGCCTGGCGTGGTGGTGCATGCCTGTGGTCCCAGCCACCTGAGAGACTGAGAAGGGAGGATTGCTTGAGCCCAGAAGTTTGAGGCTGCAGTGAGCTGTGACTGTGTCACTGCACTCCGGCCTGGGTGACAAGGCGAGACCCCTGCTCTAAAATAATTTTTTTAAGTTAATTTGTAGAAAAGGTGTTAGATGTTCTTTGTCACATTTTATGATGGATTCCTGTTTAAATGCCGTTCTCTTTAAAGAAAAAAAAATAACTTGTGGGAGTTTTTAACCATAAAACTAGCATCACATATTTACCATGGAGAATTTACAAAAAAACAAATAAACGGAGGAAAATAAAACCTCCTGTAATCATACTACTCAGAGATAACTTGCTGTTAGATTTTGGTCTAGATTTAATACTTTTTCTATATTTATATTAAAAATATTTAAAACATATGCATTTCTTTGTCACAAACATGGTATCTTATAGATACTACTGTCACATAGCAAAACAGTGTTAAATATTCTGAATCAGAAAAGGAAGCCGACTCTCCAACTGAAAGAGGTGTTATCCTAGAGACTTTTTCTGGTGATGACAATTTATTAATAGTCACTTTTTGCTTTACTTTCTCTATTGAAGTAGTTTTTCTATTTTGTTCTACTTTTAAGGATAATATAATTTATAATGCTGTTTTTCACAGAAATATAAGAAAAAAGATACTAATTTTATAAGTTAATAAAGTTTGATCATCCCAAATCCAAAAATCTGAAATCCAAAATGCTCCAAATTCTGAAGCTTTTTGAGTGCTGACATTATGTTCAAAGGAAATGTTCATTGGAAGGTTTCAGATTTTCGGATTTAGGGAGCTCAACAAATAAGTATAATGCACATATTTCAAAACCTGAAAAAAATCCTAAATTCAGAATACTTCTGATCCCAAACATTTCAGATAAGGGTTATTCAACCTGTACTGTCAGATGATCCCAAATGAAAAATATTAATCGTTAACCAAATATCAAGGAATTGATCACATTTTACAGTTTCTGCCTAGGATTATGAATCAAGATGAAAAGGCTCTGCATGTTTAAAAATATATATTTTTATTTTCTTATAAATCTTAAATATCTACACTTAAGATTTATTTGATATGTGGGATCCATTCATATTTTGGATTCAACAGTTCTGTCAAAACTGTGGCAGTGATAGGGGATTCTTTTTTTCCCACTGAACTATCACAAAATTGGAAAAAGAGTAATTGGAGAACCCCACTGGCTTAGCCGGCCCGAAGCCCGGGAGAGGGCAGGCAGTGCTGTGGATGGGGTCATCCCAGCGCAACGCTGCCCCTGCTACCTGCGGATCTCGCTGAGGCCTGCCTTTGTCCTTTGACCCTTGGCCATTTGTTAGTGTCTCTGAGAGCTGGACTGCTGTACCCTACTTCCCCAGGGGGCCTAACTTCACACAGCCTCTGCCGCAGTGCGTGGTTGGAGGTGACGGCCTTGGTAAATCGAGTTTCCTACCTCCTCAATTATTTGTGCTCATACACTGTATATTTTTAGTGAGGTTTATATTTGGGATGTGTTTTCTCCTTCTTACCCTTTCTGGCCTTTCTATGGCATTAATACCTGGTCTCTTCTTGTGTACTTGAAAATGAATCTCTCATCATATTTTTCCTTAGTGTCAGAACCTCCATGACTCCGAGCACTTAACGTGGCTCATTGTAAATCACATTCAAGATCTGATCAGCCTTTCCCACGAGCCTCCAGTACAGGACTTCATCAGTGCCGTTCATCGGAACTCTGCTGCCAGCGGCCTGTTCATCCAGGCAATTCAGTCTCGTTGTGAAAACCTTTCAACTGTACGTCTTCATCCTGCCGACTATTGCCAGTTGCAGTTTTCCCTGCCTTAAAAATGGAGTATTGAAATTTTTAACTTTAATTTCTGATTTGCAAAATAGTCATCTTTTGTTCTTTTCCTTCTTGCTGTTAGCCAACCATGCTGAAGAAAACTCTTCAGTGCTTGGAGGGGATCCATCTCAGCCAGTCGGGAGCTGTGCTCACGCTGTATGTGGACAGGCTTCTGTGCACCCCTTTCCGTGTGCTGGCTCGCATGGTCGACATCCTTGCTTGTCGCCGGGTAGAAATGCTTCTGGCTGCAAATTTACAGGTATTGGGAAGAGAAACCCTGATATTGATTTATATTGAAAATTTAGCAGGCCAAGCAAAACAGGTGGCTGGCTTTTTCCTCCGTAAGTATGGTCTTGACATGGTCACCGATAGAAACATGGAAACATCTGCAAACTTGCCGTTACTCGTGTGTCCGATCTGACTGTTTCTTGTATTTTTTTCTAGTCTGCCCTTACTAGGATGAACTGTACACATCAGTTCATCCTTTTTAAATGAGCATGAGGTTATTTTGGGTTGTTAGGTGTTACAAACACACTAATGTGTTTTTGTCTATTAGAGCAGCATGGCCCAGTTGCCAATGGAAGAACTCAACAGAATCCAGGAATACCTTCAGAGCAGCGGGCTCGCTCAGAGGTAATGCTGGAAACACAGGTCGTCCTTGTGTTAGGACAACCCAGGATATAAAGGATATAGATTTGTACGGGAATAAATTCACAGGACAAGAAATCGATGTGCCTTATAGGTGGGTTTACTGCAGAAGTGCCATAATAGAACCTTCCTACTTTTAAAACAACCAGATCTCACTTTCTAAAGAGTAAAGGATGACCGGCAGGATCACGTCTGTGACGTGAGTGGAGGCAGTTTGCACTCCTGGTGGCTGTTTGAGAGGTAGCATTTAGAATGCCTGTATTCACTGTCCTGTGATGAGTGGGAAAATAGGTTATCAGGTTTATCTTAGCAAAATCAAAGCATGTCATCTAATTGCTAAACAAGAGTTGGCAAATCTGAGAGACATTACTCAATCCTTGGCATGCAGGACTTACATCTGCATCCTGTTGCCATTTTATGTCTTCAAAGCATTTAATCATTTAGTTGTGTTTGCAAAGTCTTTGAGAAGCCTTTGTCAGAAATCCCTACATCTCCTATGTGAGTGTATTTCCATGACTGCAGAATAAGTTAAACTTTTACCTTTTTCCTTCCCTTGCGGGGCGGGGTGGGGGGCAGGGATTGTGTGTGTGAGAGGGAGAGAGAGACAGCAGAGAAGGAGAATATAATTATCATGCTGTGTACTTTGAGCTGAAACTGCAAAAAAGGAAAAACACACAAAAATTATTATGCTTTTCAGTCTTTAGAGTACCTTGTCTATTATGCTTTTCAGTCTTTAGAGTACCTTGTTGATGGTGTTTTTAAATGGGATTGGGCACAATTAGGTGGACAGTTTGGGATGATTTTTCAGTCTGTAGGGCCAAGCTCTTTTGTAATTTGCATTATGAAGTTGTCACTCTCATAGCAGATGGCGGGAGATAAACTATTATTACTTTTTGACCCTAGACTTAGTCTTCAGTCCAGATGAGGGAGATTAAAAGATTATAAATATCTTGTGCCAGATGAGGTGATTTTATTTTGAAATGACCATGAATTCCTATCAGTTGTCTTACTGGGATATTTGATAGTGGAATTTGTGCATTTGAGTCTTAGATGATCTGTTTTACATTTATTAAGAAAGCCTTTATTAGCTTTTATACTGTGTATTGCCTGTTGCAGTGTTTGAGTATAAATGAAATTTCTGGAAAATATTAATGGAGTACAAACTGTGATACTTAAAAGTAAACTAGGGCCTGCA
The DNA here is from genome assembly GCF_000001405.40 of Homo sapiens. Classification (NCBI taxonomy): domain Eukaryota; kingdom Metazoa; phylum Chordata; class Mammalia; order Primates; family Hominidae; genus Homo; species Homo sapiens. The sequence goes on from NC_000004.12 coordinate 3,208,568, forward strand.
TTTGTATCATGACCTGTTTGAGTATTGATGAGAAGATAGCTGTGAAGAAAAAGGTTTAAACAAGTGTATTTTCCTTTAAGAAGCCACTAATAGTGCATCTCCTTAGAGTGTATATTTCTAGAATCCTAGTGTGCAGAGTTTAGACTAAGACTAAAAAAAAAAAAAAACAAATTATACTGTAATTTCATTTTTATTTGTATTTTAGACACCAAAGGCTCTATTCCCTGCTGGACAGGTTTCGTCTCTCCACCATGCAAGACTCACTTAGTCCCTCTCCTCCAGTCTCTTCCCACCCGCTGGACGGGGATGGGCACGTGTCACTGGAAACAGTGAGTCCGGACAAAGTAAGTGTCCAGCGTGTCTGCATGGGAGGCACAGGGCGCTGAGTGCCTCTGTCACCTGTGGCAGATACAGAGAGTGCAGAGGAGGTGCCGTGGACCCAAGGAGTTCTGGCGCTCGGCTCGGCTCAGTGAAGCTGTGGTTAGAGACGTGGGGGGCCATCAAGGTCTGAGGGAGCCAAGCAGTGCTGATGTGGGACCCTTTTGGTAGGAGTGTGGGGTGAGTAGTTAGTGGGTGAATCAAGGAATAGTCGGCCGTGGCCTGCAGGCCCCTGACTGCACAGGCCTTCAAGCACATGTCAATGCCGTTAGCCTCCCTCCATCTCCTCATACCTTCTGGCCACCTGTGAGTTGCACTGCCACTGCCAGCCATTCTGGTATGTTGTCAGCACCTCCACTGCTCATACCTCATGGTTAGGGACCACCTGGAGCCTTGGTAGAGCCTTGGTAGAGCCTTGGTACTCTACTTTCCTGGACAAAGTTCAGCTTATGAATATGAATTTAGATTTCAAAAACCAGCAGCCCAAGTATAAGAAAGCGAAGGTTCAGTCCTGCCTTCTTAGGCTCTATTCGCTAAGCACCTGCCCTGCCCTGGTTGCTGGGGAGAGATGAGTAAAGCAGACAACCCAGGAGAGGATGGCAAAGGGGCCGCTAACCCTTAGTGGTTTAGCTATATTTGGAAGGCCTATTGGAAGTTCACCAGGTGAAGGGGGAGGCTGTGAGGGTGCCCAGGCAGGTAACAGAAGTCCAAAGGGGAAAACCTGTGGTGTGGTGAGCCGTATAGCCACAGCCTGCCGGCCGGCAGCCCTCTCAGCCTAGTGCGGTGTTCCCAAGCACTGGCCTAGGCCTGTAGCTCCAGGGATGTGAAGTCCCCTTGAACGCCGCCCATCATGTTCCCCTTATCCATTTTTTTCTTCCCAGGACTGGTACGTTCATCTTGTCAAATCCCAGTGTTGGACCAGGTCAGATTCTGCACTGCTGGAAGGTGCAGAGCTGGTGAATCGGATTCCTGCTGAAGATATGAATGCCTTCATGATGAACTCGGTACGGGGGGAGCAGTGGAGGCAAGGAATCCTCAGCTTTTCTTGTGACTTCCAAGTGGGATTTGTCTCATCATCATGTGACCCACTTGTTGACAACACATGTTGGGGACTCCAGTCTGGGCAGGGACGGGATGTCGGAGAGACTCCACTCTGAATGGGGCCGGGAAGTGGGGAGGACTCCATTTCAGATGGGGTCGGGACATGGGGGTTATGCTGATCGAGACAGAAAAGCACATTGTTTCAGCCACATTAGAATCCACGGAGGTGTTGTTTTGAAATCCAGCTGGCCCCAAGGCTGGGTGTATGGTTTGGGATGAGAACTATCTGGCCTCCACTGGAGGAACAAACACAGGATGTTATCATCTAAGCTCCATGGCCAAGACAGAATGGAAGTCAAGGTTGCGTATTTGCCGTAGACTTCAACACAGTGTCGTAATGCGTGACGTCAATAACTTGTTTCTAGTGTCTTGGAAGTTGATCTTTAGTCGTAAAAGAGACCCTTGGATGCAGCGAGATTTCCTCTACTCACACCTCTGTTAGATGTAGTGAGGTTCTTCACCCCCCAACCCCAGATGTCAGAGGGCACCCTGCGCAGAGCTAGGAGGCCATGCAAAGCCTTGGTGTCCCTGTCCCTCACCCGTGGGCAGGTCCTGTGAGCAGTGGGGGGGCCACCTCTTGGGTATGGTGCAGCCATGGCCCAAGCAGGGCTTCTTCTCAGACCTACTAGGACGGGAGAAACCTCCTGGTGCTTTAGCCCTGCGTTGATATGCAGCAAATGGGAGGGAAGTGGGCACCTGGGAGGACAAATGCCTGTAGAGGCCGGGAGTGACGGCAGGTGTTCATGAAAAGAGACCTTGTGGGGAGGGCAACACAACAGTGTGTTCTGATGTACTGAAGAGCTCAACTGAAAACAACAGGAGAATTAGCCCAAAATCCATTTACTAAAATTGTTTATCTTTTTTTTTTTTTTTGAGACAAAGTCTCGCTGTTGTCCCCCAGGCTGGAGTGCAATGGCGCTATCTTGGCTCACTGCAACCTCCGCCTCCTGGGTTCATACGATTCTCCTGCCTCAGCCTCCCAAATAGCTGGTATTAACAGGCATGCACCACCACGCCCGGCTAATTTTTGTATTTTTAGTAGAGACGGGATTTCACCATGTTGGCCAGGCTGGTCTCAAACTCCTGACCTCAGGTGATCCGCCCACCTCGGCCTCCCAAAGTGCTGGGATTATAGGCCTGAGCCACCACGCCCGGCCTAAAATTGTTTATCTTAAGATTCATGCAGTGAAAGCTAACTTACTGAGTGATAAATTTGCTTAGTGATCTGTTTATTAGGTTTTCCAAATTTGCTAATTGGGCTTTGAACAGCTGTAAAAGTTCTGACTGTAAAAGAAAGCTTCAACTTTTGGCATTCATGATGCTTTTCTGAGTATTAAACTAAGATAGATGTTTTACCTGAAGGATCGGCCACCAATCTTTAAATGGCTAAACAAAAGGGTTGCTAAAACATAATCCAAATTGACATAAGAAATACCATTTTTCCAACCAAAATTTTGGCATTCATATGGCTACTTTTACGTATTTCAGCTGCATTTGAACATCTTTTTCAAACTTTAGGGTGGTTGGTGTATCACTGAGGTCTTGGATGACACTTTAGCTTTGATTTTGTTTTTATGAATTAAAATTGTCATACCAAAATTTTTATTTCAAGCAAATCCAAGAGCATAAAAAATTAAAATATTACTTAAAATACTAAGAGAGAACAGATATATATTTTACTAAGCATATGTTGAATGAAATTGTTCAAATATTTATAACAGGCATAGAGTAGAATTTTCTTAAAAATATTTTTGATGGTATACCAATTTGTATTTTCTCAGAAACATTTGCCTTATTCTTTTTTCTGTTGTGTTTTTCTTACCTGATTGAAAGCTCATAATCTGTTGTTATTGTTTGTTAACCTTTAATGCTCTGATTTCAGGAGTTCAACCTAAGCCTGCTAGCTCCATGCTTAAGCCTAGGGATGAGTGAAATTTCTGGTGGCCAGAAGAGTGCCCTTTTTGAAGCAGCCCGTGAGGTGACTCTGGCCCGTGTGAGCGGCACCGTGCAGCAGCTCCCTGCTGTCCATCATGTCTTCCAGCCCGAGCTGCCTGCAGAGCCGGCGGCCTACTGGAGCAAGTTGAATGATCTGTTTGGTAATTAAAATTAAAATTTATCTTATTTTTAAAAAGCATTCCAGGGCCAGTATAGTACTTTGCACCAAGTAAATGTACAATAAAGGCAGTGGATCTAATACATTGAAAGCGTTTACAGAGGTAGCTAAAGAGCAGCACGGGTGTCCTCGGCTCAGAATTTCTTCCTGTGTGTTTGCCACTTTGCCATTCATTGACATGGTCATGGACATAGGGCTCTAAGCCCTTGAGGAAGGCTGGGCCAGACCTCAGGGGAGATGCAGCCCCAAACCACGTGCAGTCCTGTGGACGGATGTGTAGATGTGCCACTGAGGAACAATGTCTTGAGCTTTCATCAGATTCTCAGAGAATTGCTTGACTGCCTTTCGAAGTTGATGCATCTGTGCTCACGTTTGCACCCACCCACGAGGTCCTTCTGTTTCAGGGGATGCTGCACTGTATCAGTCCCTGCCCACTCTGGCCCGGGCCCTGGCACAGTACCTGGTGGTGGTCTCCAAACTGCCCAGTCATTTGCACCTTCCTCCTGAGAAAGAGAAGGACATTGTGAAATTCGTGGTGGCAACCCTTGAGGTAAGAGGCAGCTCGGGAGCTCAGTGTTGCTGTGGGGAGGGGGCATGGGGCTGACACTGAAGAGGGTAAAGCAGTTTTATTTGAAAAGCAAGATCTCTGACCAGTCCAGTCACTTTTCCATCTCAGCCTGGCAGTAAGTCTTGTCACCGTCAAGTTATTGTAGCCATCCTTCACCCTCACCTCGCCACTCCTCATGGTGGCCTGTGAGGTCAGCCAGGTCCCCTTCTCATCTGCACCTACCATGTTAGGTGGATCCTAATTTTAGAGACATGAAAAATAATCATCTGGAAGTACTTTATGTCTTAAGTTGGCCTGGACATGTCAGCCAAGGAATACTTACTTGGTTTGTGTTAGTGCTTGTAATTCGCCCCCAGAATGTGTACACGTTCTGGATGCATTAAAGTCTGGCCTGTATCCTTAAAGGGCCATCGCTGTGCTGCCTGCCCTCAGCAAGGACACACTTTGCAGACCCACAGAGGCTCCGCCTCCACCTCACACCAAAGAAAGGGAGGAGTCCAAAGGGCATCAGTGCCATTACTCACAAAATGATAAATACACCCTTATTCTGAACCACGTGGAGTCATATGGTTTGTGATCCCTGTCCTTCAGGTTTCAGCTTAGTGGGGAAGTGGGAAAGTCAGCGTGTGATCACAGCACAGGGTGATTGCTGCTGATTATATTATGTGCCTGCTGTATGCAGGATGAAATACTTTATATGCGTCATCTTATTTGACTCTCACAACCCCCTGTGAGATAGGCTCTGTTACTCCCATTTGACAGGTGAGGAAAGCAAGGCTTAGAGAATTTCAGTGACTTGCCCAGGTCCTCTGAGCTAGGAAGTAGCCATTCTGGCATTTGAACCCAAGGCCTGCTATCCCTAGAACCCACGCTCTCAAATTCAACCTATGACAGAGGCAAGCCCTGGTGCTGTGGGAGCCCCAAGGAAGAGCCTCTGGCCTGGTGGCCACGTAGCCCAGGAGAGATTTCTACAGGAGCCCACAGCGCTGAAGGAGAGAGAGGCAGCAGAGTAAGGGGGCTTTGTGGCAGAGAGGGGACTGGCACTTTGGGGAATAGGTGGGTCAGGACTGAATGTAATGGAGCCATGTCAGAGCTGTCCTTCTGGAAGGGCAAGGGCACCTGGACGCGCTGCCCCTCAGTGCTTTGGACGGTTCCACAACTGTGATTCACACGGCTTCCCCAAACGAAGGTACACGAGTGGGCATTCTGTGACTCGGTACTTCCCTTTAGGCCCTGTCCTGGCATTTGATCCATGAGCAGATCCCGCTGAGTCTGGATCTCCAGGCAGGGCTGGACTGCTGCTGCCTGGCCCTGCAGCTGCCTGGCCTCTGGAGCGTGGTCTCCTCCACAGAGTTTGTGACCCACGCCTGCTCCCTCATCTACTGTGTGCACTTCATCCTGGAGGCCGGTGAGTCCCCGTCCATGAACGGTGGGTTCCTATCATAGTTCCTGTCTGCTTCACCATGTTTTTATTTTGTGCTGCCTGTTTGCCAGGTACTAAGCTAGGAATTGGGGATGGAGAGGTAGATAAAATATGCATCAGGAAGGGCTGGGCCCCATCTCTTACTCTCCAATATATTGGAGTCTACACTGGAATTTAACTGGAATTTGCTTTTTTAGTCATTTTATTTAGATTTTGAAGTTTCAGCTTTCATCAAAAATACCTCTAAACTTTATGTCTCTGTGATCTTTGGTCTTAGCTGTTTTATGTATTTAGTCTTATATGATCATAAGATTAATAACATTACATTCAGAAGATTATTTGTTTTCTGTCAGAGTTAAAATGTTTGTTTTTATACTGCATTGTAATATTAACGTACTGTAAAATAAAAGTGGCTTGTTCTTTTCAAGGAACAGTATCCTCAACAAGGGTCATTAGCCACAATTTTTAAAAAATTGGACGTCATAGTTTACATGTTAGAGGGCGTTTTGAAGCTTTGTATTTTTAAATTAAATGTTATAGAGTGATGTTTTCATGTTTCATAATTGTTTTCATCTGTGCATTTGTAGCCAACTTGAAAACAAAGATCCAGGGATTACTACTTAAAAGCCAGACTTCTTGGAGGTTATAGTGATGATTTTGATAGTATCTTGAGCCGTCTCATAATAACCTCAGGGTGAGAGATGGCCAACAGGAGACAGTCGAGGGACTTAGAAATCTGAATGAAATCTGAAGTTCAAATCTTCAGACATATACCACTAACCAAGAGATTGGTACCTCAGTCTAGTATTGTCTGTTTGTCTAAAATTGGTTCTAAGGAATCTAGGCTAGTCTGTCTATCCCTTTCAACTTTTGTGAGGCTGCACAAATGTAAAATGTTGAATAAAAAGCACTGATGGAAGTGTGTAGAAATTCTTCTCTTTGTTCTGTTGTAATTTTAGTTGCAGTGCAGCCTGGAGAGCAGCTTCTTAGTCCAGAAAGAAGGACAAATACCCCAAAAGCCATCAGCGAGGAGGAGGAGGAAGTAGATCCAAACACACAGAGTAAGTCTCAGGACCCATTTTTTTCTTACATGTTGTTCCTCCAGGACTTAAAAATCATTCACAGAGACGTGCACCGCGGTGAGTGTGGACTCCTGGAAGCGCACCGTAGCTCCGCTGTGTCCTGCTGCTCCTCCCTAGCTGTCAGGGAGGCTGTAGTCCATTGCTTTGCCAGCTCTTTTGTTTCCGAGTGAACACCTTATCCGTACACATGCGGCTGTCTCTGACCCTACAGACCAGCTGGGATGCCACTGGGGGAGCGCTCCCTTCCCCCCGCACTTCCCACACTCTGCAGTTATTCTGAGATCCTTGAGGGCAGGGAACAGGTTTGTCTTCTTTGTGTTCTCAGAAATTAATGCTCGGCCTCTGGTCAGCAAGCAACAACCTTTTGTTGAGTGATAATGAATAAATAAATGTTTCCCACATGAGTATTCAGTAACCTCAGTGTCAGGTTCAGCCATCTGTTTTGGTGGATATTTAAAAGAAAATTCCGCTTTTCCTACAGAAAAAAAAAAAAATCCAAATCCCAGTGATTTAAGCCAGTTATAGACTTAGACATATACTACGGCTTTTCATGCACTTTCCTCCCAATTCTAGAGTAGGTATTTTACTAGGAAAATGGTGGCAGTGCCTGTTGGGAGGAAGATTCTTTGGCCAAGTGTCTTTTGTTCTTGCCAGGGCCCCTAGGCTGCTGGGGTGCTTCAGCTTCTTTAGCCCAGTGTCTGGTGGGGAATGGCCCCTGTTGCCTGTCCCACAGAGGTGGGGGTGCCTCACCTGGAGCCTGTCCACACATTTTACACAGCACGCTTACCTGGAGCATCAGGCATCTTTTCCATGCTCTGTGGCTCAGGAAACACGCCTTTTCAATCATGAGTGCACCAGTGCTTTTGGGCTTTTTCTCCCCGCTTTTGTGCAATCCTGGTTGTGGATGGAGTTTTCCTGTCTTTAGTCTTCTGCATAGTACTTTTCTCTTCTGGTTCCCGGTTCAAGGTTTTGTAATTAGAGAATGACCCAGAAGCAATGGCATTTTAATGCACAGCCAAGGACTTCTCTGAATTTGTATCTCAAACCTCTGTGGGTCCTTCAGGCTTCAGTTTGTGATTTCATGATTTCTTGTTGCTACCTAAGGAATATGAAAACACCCACCTCCCTACTCTGCATCTTCCAGCCGAGTGGCACCTCAGGCTGTGGATCCTGTGCTTCTGTGGTGAGGATAAGAATAGTGCCAACCGTGTGGATTGAAATCAATCAGTTAATCCCTCCATGTAAAGCACCTGGAACGGATGACAGTCTTGTTATGAATACTCAACAAATGCTATCATGATTTTTAGTTAGATTTCCATTGCTTTAAAACAGTTGAGACATCTTGGCGGTTTGAGTTAGAGCAACGGGCCCTGAAGTGGGTTCTGTTTGGGTGAAGATGATTATGCTTATTCCCCATGGCCCTCTTTAGGCAAGAGTGGGAAGCTTTCTTTGTTTTTTTAATCACCTCGATAGGACGTTACTTCTTAAAGGTCATCCAATAAATATTAATAGGCCGGGCGCGGTGGCTCACGCCTGTAATCCCAGCACTTTGGGAGGCCGAGGCGGGCGGATCACGAGGTCAGGAGATCGAGACCATCCCAGCTAAAACGGTGAAACCCCGTCTCTACTAAAAATACAAAAAATTAGCCGGGCGTAGTGGCGGGCGCCTGTAGTCCCAGCTACTTGGGAGGCTGAGGCAGGAGAATGGCGTGAACCCGGGAGGCGGAGCTTGCAGTGAGCCGAGATCCCGCCACTGCACTCCAGCCTGGGCGACAGAGCAAGACTCCGTCTCAAAAAAAAAAAAAAATATTAATAAAGCCAACTCGTTAGCGTGGGGCTTAATTGCTTAAGTCCAATGAGAAGTCCTTCTCTATCCTAGGAAGTTGCCCAAACTGTAGAATCTCGTGGCCTGTGGGTAATAGCCACGTAATACACACTCACTGCCTCAACAAATCATATTTTAGTAGGTATGATATTCTAGACTCAAGACACCATTCTGTGGATCTTCCCAAGGGTGTGAAGTGTCCACAGCGTCTGCCTTGGGAGTTTCCATGCCCACCAGAACCATGCCCCAAGCCCCTCAAGCACTCTGACCTAGGAAAGCCAGTGAAGCAAGGATGACAACATGGCCCTTTGATACTAGCTGAGGGACAGACACAGGTCCTGGGAGACCAGAGAAAGACGAGGGGCAGAGGAGGTGTCCTAAAGGAAGTCTGAGGCTGAGGAGCCACAGGATGGCTTCCAGCTGTCACAGGCTGCTGCTGGCCTTATCACAGAGAGTGGGCCAGAGGGCTGGGAACCAAGGCCAGAGCTCAGGTTCAGGACCATTCCAGCAATCCCAGCAGAAAATGGGGAGAATTGTATGGTATAGGCGGATATGAAGGTAGAATCTGCAGGCCTTCAGTGGCCAACTCAGAGTCTAAGTGGATTCCACAGTTACAGCTTGAGCAGCTGGTTGTAGGTCATGCTTTCTACACTGGGCATATAGGATGTGTTTTTTAAAAAGTCCTCTCTTAACCGTTGCTTGTTTAGATCCTAAGTATATCACTGCAGCCTGTGAGATGGTGGCAGAAATGGTGGAGTCTCTGCAGTCGGTGTTGGCCTTGGGTCATAAAAGGAATAGCGGCGTGCCGGCGTTTCTCACGCCATTGCTAAGGAACATCATCATCAGCCTGGCCCGCCTGCCCCTTGTCAACAGCTACACACGTGTGCCCCCACTGGTGAGTCTGCTCGTTCCTTGCAGAAGACCAAGTACGGTGAAAGGCACCGGTAGGCCCTGGGCTGGGCACACGTGAGAGGGCGGGACAGAATCCCCGCAGCCCAGAGGCTGCCTGCTGTGGTTCTGGTGCCCACTGTGGTTCTGGTGCCAGGCTGCTTTCCTCAGGCACCACGTGTGGAGGTCGCTAGTAGAAATACTGGGTTTTCTAAAATGAACTGAGGCCCTACATCCCTAAGAGATTAGTGTTAGACCTGATTCTAGAGCAACTAGACCACTTTGCTTAATAGCAGACCAGAAACCACACCCCCTCGAGTGAGTGAGATTTTCCTTTGGAGATAATTCATGTTTTTCTACACAGTTTTGCAGTTGTCTTCAGAATTGGTTTAAAGTAGGTGTTATTGCCAGGCGCAGTAGCTCATGCCTGTAATCCCAGCACTTTGGGAAGCCAAGGTGGGCGGATCACTTGAGGTCAGGATTTCGAGACCAGCCTGGCCAACATGGTGAAACCCCATCTCTACTAAAAATATAAAAATTAGCCAGGTGTGGTGGTGTACGCCTGTAATCCCAGCTACTCAGGAGACTGAGACAGGAGAATCGCTTGAACCCAGGAGGCGAAGGTTGCAGTAAGCCGAGATCGCGCCACTGCACTCTAGCCTGGGCAACAGAGCAAGACTCCGTCTCAAAAAAAAAAAAGGTAGGTGTTATTGATCAGAACCCTTGTTTCAGATAACATGAGGAGCTTAGCTTGAGGAGAGTGAGGGTTGATGGAGGGGGACTGACTTCTGCCCAGTGAAATGGCATCATCTCCCACCAGCCCGCTGAAATAAGATGATGGGGCCTGTTCCTTAGGGCCTGCAGCATCCTCAGGCAGGAAAGAAAGGCCGACCTGGCAGGGTGTGAGCCAGCAGGTGTAGGTCAGGGAGAATGGAGCCAGGTCCCAGGGAAGAGGCTTGTGGCTGCCTGAGAAGGGTGCGTGCCTGCCTGTGTGTGTGTGTGCACGTGTGTGTATGTATGCTGGAGAGTCTAGGGAGGCTTGCTCCAAGGACGCAGTATTGTTTGATCCTGAGAGATAAGGATTCTGCCGCAGGGAATGAAGGTATTCCAGATGGCGGGCTTATTCCGAAGAAGAGGCCAGTGCCTGGCGGTGCTGGAAGCAGTTGCAGAACAGGGAGTTGTAGGCTTTCCTGGGAAGAGAGCAGCAGGGGTGCTGGAGAAGCAGGCCACACTTGCTGCATGGGGTTGCTCTCGGCCCCACTCTTGGTGCACAGCGAGTCACTGTGGGTTCATTAGCATCTGGTTATGAGACAGTAACTGCTCCTTTGGAGGGGCTCGTGGAGACCATGCAGGAGGGCACGGTCTTGAGGTCATGCCGTCCAGAGCACACCTGAGGATAGGCCAGGACGGGCTGCACGCTGTAGGTAAAATTCCTCCAGCAAGCTCTTCACTGGCATTGAGGAGTTCCCTGAGTGCGGTCATCTGGAAGGCAGCTGTAACAGGCACTGCAGTCTCTCCCTGGGTGGGTACCAGAGAGGAGCATAGGGGAGCATAACCGATTTAAAGAGAGGGCTTTCCTGTGGTGAGGTAAGAGATTAGCTGGTCATTATCATAGAGCCCCCTCTGCCTTTGTGCAGATGGGCTGTGGGAATCCTGGGGTTCCGTTGGGTCCTTTGTCACCTCACTGAAGGCATGTAAGCTGAGCTGGCCAGACCGTGAGCTGATCCTGCCACTTGAACAGCATCAAGCCTGCCTCTGGATTCTTCTGTGCATGGCACTTGTCTGAGCACCTCACGCACAGAGAACTGGACTTCAGAGTTTACAGAAATAAGCTGTATGGTTCATTTTCATGCCTGCTTGCCAATAAACATATCTGAGCTGAACCTCATTGAACGCCTGCCTTTATTCTAGCACAGCACCTGCTGTTTGTGGGCGAGGGGTGCTGTCTCTAACTCCTGCCTGCTTCTCCCAGCACTCCCTGAGTGGGGTGTGCCAGCAGCCTCAGGATGAGGACAGGAAGTGGGAGGGCAGAGCAGATTTGGGAGGGCCACTTGATGGGGAAGGAAGTCCCAGGAAGCAGTTGGAGCTGTTTTCTGGGGGAGAAGGTGCCAGCTCTGGGACAGTGTTGGGGTAGTGAGGAGGGAGCCCAGTGGAGAGAAGTCGGGCTTCCTGCTTCCTCACAGTATGTCTGTCCTGACTCAACTCGGATGATGTCACTTCCTTTTCATCTTCTCAGGTGTGGAAGCTTGGATGGTCACCCAAACCGGGAGGGGATTTTGGCACAGCATTCCCTGAGATCCCCGTGGAGTTCCTCCAGGAAAAGGAAGTCTTTAAGGAGTTCATCTACCGCATCAACACACTAGGTACTCTTGGGGCCTCTCCTTCAGGTCACCATTGTCGGACATCTACCGGGAGGAAATCCAGAGCCCCCAGTACTGGGATCTTCTCATTTGACTCCAGAAAAGATTTAAGCATGATAATAATACAAACCTATGTGAATACATTTTGCAGTGTTGGCAAAACTCCTTTTATACTGAGAAAATAGATCCCAGTTCCTGTGTTTTGTGGCTTGAATCCCAGCTTTGTGTATTCCGGGCTTGTTTGAAGTCAGGAAAGGTTCATGTGTAGTGGACAACGTGAGACCAAATTCTGCCTTAGATTTTGCATTTAGGCTAAACAGTGGCAGCACTTGTCTCAGAATGTTTTCTTGTGTTCACCAGTCTGATCCTGTTGTGTCTCAGTGGTCCATTTTCTCATATGGGAACAAGCAGACGGGAGCAGATGGAGTCAGGTTTCTTGGCACTCGCCTTCCCCAGAGCCTAGAGGCAGCATGGGGAGAAAGCAGGCTTGGGGCTCAGACAGTCCTGGTCTGCTTCCAGCCCTCCTACCTGAGCAGCGCAGGGCAAGTCCGTCTAACCTCTAGAGACCCTCAGTTTTGTCATATGTAAAATGGGGGTCGTGTCTATTTCATAGAATTGTTGCAGATTTAGAAATTACATTTCTAAACAAATGTTACCCCTTATTTCTAAATAAGTGTCTAAATGAATAAGTCACCACTTTTGCCCCTATTTGATGGCAAGAGGTGTGATCTTGTGGTGGGACTGTAATCAGTCAGTTCTCAGTGACTGTGCCCTGCTGTGGTGTTTCCTGGAATGTTCCTGTCTTGTCCTAGAAAGTCTGGCAGGGGCACCCTGACTCCACTGTCCAGTCCTCTCCCCAGTCCCTCGGGCTTCTGCAGATTTGAGGCTTGTTTGGATCCCAGAAGGTTGTGGCAGGAGACACCTTGCCTCTACTTTCCCCTTTATAATTCAATGTCCAAAGAGAGCCCTGAGCAGGTACCTCACGCCAGCTGCCTCACGGAGCTCCTCCTCTTCCTGGCTGTGAGGATCGGTATCAGTGGCCTCCTGCTCTCTCCCCCTTGCCTAACACGAGCACCTTTGCTTACTTGGGTGCCCTTGCTCTTGAACTGCCCATCGGACGTGCGTGACCCAAGACTGTGCCGCAGTCCTTGCCTTGTCTGTGCTCATTTTCTTTGTTCATTTTTTTCCCTGTAACGTAAATTGTTATATTTGTCTGTATCTGTGTCTGAATCAGTCCTGCACGCTCTCCTTCTCTCTGTCTCTTGTTCTTTCTTTACCCCGTTTATCACGGGGACCCCGATGTCCATTGCTCTAGTTCTCCTGTCCTAAGCACCCCATCCCGTCTCTCTGGCCTTACCACAAGTGGCGTGGCTGCCTCAGACATCATGATGGGGACATGAAGCACAGCTGTCAGAAACAACTGTTCGTTAGATACACTCGAATGCAGCTCATCAATAGGGATGGAGGGTCTGTCGGATGTATTTTCACTGAATCCCCGTTCCTACCTTGATACACTCTTTTTAATCTATTCTTCTAGACAGGTCAGAGGAACCATTACTTTGACTTTTAAATTTTTAGCAGCTTTATTGAGGTAGAATTCACATACTACAGATTTCACCCACTCTAAGCGGACAGCTTGGTGGCCATTAGTTTTATCCACAGAGTTGTGCAGCCAGCTGCACAGTCTCAGGGCTGGACTCCAGGGAAGATTTTAGCCCATTTAGTGAGTGGGGCAGAAGTGGCCCTGGCCCTGCACGAGGTTGCCTGCATGGGCGTCCCTGCCCTGTCCCTGTGTCTGCTCCACTGGGGGTTGACCAGGCTGCCAGGGCCGACTTGGGCCTGTGCCACCTGCCTCTCATGTGTCTCGGACAGTGCAGCCGATGTCTATACTTCGGTTTCCTCAATGATGAAATGGAGGGGATAGTGTTCCCCGCATCATAGAACTGTGTGAGGTTTAAGGGACTCACTGCCCTTGGCGTGGAGCCTTCTCCAGGGGCCGTGCTGTGTCGGCGTAGCTGTCAGCTCTCCGTTACAGGCTTGAGAAGGGTTGACACTCTCTCATGTAACATTTATATTTCTAGGCTGGACCAGTCGTACTCAGTTTGAAGAAACTTGGGCCACCCTCCTTGGTGTCCTGGTGACGCAGCCCCTCGTGATGGAGCAGGAGGAGAGCCCACCAGAAGTAAGGCCACACCCTGTGCTGGTTGGCACATGGGCAGTTATGGCCGCTTGCAGGCCTTTGGTGGGGAATAAAATAAGGCAGCAAGCTGGTGTTCTTTTTTTCTCTTACCTTATTTTTGAAAGAGTAGCTGAATGGTGTCTTGACTGATATTCCAGAGCAGGGACAAAGCCTGCTGAGGTCTGGGGGCTGCGATTACCAATGGCTGGAATGCATTTTATTACGGTGCATTCCATGTTAAGGATCAATACGATTGTGCCCTTTCTGGAAAATATCTTTTAGTTTATCAATATTCAGAGGAGTGTAGGTTGAATTAAAATGAAAAGGCACTTTATAAAGGCCATGAGTAGTACCTGGTTTCATTTTTCTAATGTCTTGCAGAGATTTTATCAGGCTTCTTGAAGTGTTCACGTACATTACGCTAACACGATATTAATAATAACTGTGCTCTGGTACAGCGGAGCCAGCAGAATGGGAAGTTGTGGAATGCAGGCCCTTGATTCTGATAGAAGGTGTGGTTTGAACTCACAGAAATGACAGTTTGGAGGGTAGACATATGTCACAAGTCATCAAGATTGTCTTTAAATTCATGCATAGAAGCTAACAGGGTGTCATAAGCAAGGCCTGTAAAATGTATGAGGGAATTCAAAGATAATTTATTAAAAAGTAATTCATGTTTGGAGTTTTGTGCCCAAAGGAGTCCTTGATTTGAAAAATGGGCTTTTGCCCATCAGATTGTTTCAGGGCCCGTGTGTGCGGAGGCCCTGCCTTGTGCCCCGTGAGCTCAGCCTGACAGAAATCCTTTGGTAGCACTTAAGGCTCCTCTTCCTCCCATTGAGGCAGGGAAGACTCTGGGTTCTGCAGGCAGAGGTGGTTGTGGGTGTCTTGCTGCTCTTGTTGACATGTGGGCTCTCCTTCCAGGAAGACACAGAGAGGACCCAGATCAACGTCCTGGCCGTGCAGGCCATCACCTCACTGGTGCTCAGTGCAATGACTGTGCCTGTGGCCGGCAACCCAGCTGTAAGCTGCTTGGAGCAGCAGCCCCGGAACAAGCCTCTGAAAGCTCTCGACACCAGGTTTGCTTGAGTTCCCACGTGTCTCTGGGACATAGCAGGTGCTGGGGACAGTGGGTTCCCCGCTGAAGCGTCCAGCAGCTTCAACCAGGCCGTTTTCCTTCATTGCTAGAATTGAAAACACCGTCCGTGTGGCCTGTGCAGGAGATGCAGACCCAAAGGTGGCCTCCTGGTCAGTGAGAAGCTGGAAACGTGACAGGAACTGACGTGGGGTTATTGAGCATTTAGGGGAAGACGTTAGCAGAGCAGGAATGAGCAGGCAACTAGTAGAACACCCACTTAAGGGCTCACGGACAGGTGCTCACTTAGGAAGTGAGTTTCATTTGGTATTACACCAGGTTCCTTTAGGCAAAGCGGAGGGAAAGTTCTGGTGTTTTTCACTTGTAAGATTTTGAAGGAAACAAAACACTCTTTACCTTTTTTCTAAAATGTAGGTTTGGGAGGAAGCTGAGCATTATCAGAGGGATTGTGGAGCAAGAGATTCAAGCAATGGTTTCAAAGAGAGAGAATATTGCCACCCATCATTTATATCAGGCATGGGATCCTGTCCCTTCTCTGTCTCCGGCTACTACAGGTACCTGAGGGAAAGGGTGCGGGGGAGCGGTTGTACTTGGGCTAGAATGAGAGAAGACTGGCATGCTCACCACACCAGTGATGCGGGAAGACCTGAGTGTGGTCTGAGTTGGAGGCTGTGGTGCTAAATACGCTGCCCCTTTCATAAGCAGGAGTCTTAGTCAGGCCCAGGGAGGAAGTAAAATCTGGAAATGAATGAGAAGCATTCTCTCCTGCCAGTCAAGAAATGAGAAGCGAAAGAATTCTCACGGGCTGTAAGACCAGCAGGATTTAAAAGTTGAATTAGTTGCTTATGTTAAGAACTCAACCAAGTTCATCTACACAAGCTGAATCTCCAGCTTTTCCTAAGAAACCATGTGTGGCAGTGGCTGCAGGGCAGGGCACAGCTGGGCCTGAGCACCCCGCTCCCTGCACCTCTCCCCTCCCTGGGCCCTGCCTGTCACTGCCCACTCTCCCACCAAGCCTTCCGGTTGTGTGCCTGCCCTATCACAGGCATCGGAGCTTGTCACCTGGTTTAAAAGAAGAGAGTTGTGTGGGGATTTGGGATGCACGTTTTTCACTCAAAAGTATTTTAGCGTAGAGCTCTGTGATTCCGTAGCTATTTAGGAGTTTAAGCACCTTGAAGGCTTTAATTGCAGAAAGTTCTATGTGGACGTGCAATGTGTTATACGCAGTGTCTATGAGACTCAAATGTTTATTAGGGCGTTGAAGTAAACTGAGCACTTGGAGGGCCATGGATCCAGCCTTCAAGGAGCTCATAAGTCAGGAGGACCCAGGAGCAATGACCTGTCATAGAAGGCAGAAAAGAGGGGCACAGAGGTGGGTGGGAGGCATACACAGGCAGCTCCTGGAGCTCCAAGGGGAGCAAGTGCTTCCAGGGAAGGGGGCGTGGAGGCCCCTTTGGAGGAGGCAAGTTGATCTGGGGTCTGGCAGAGGGTTAGCTGGGGACATTTAGCGGGAGGCTGGTGCCCGGGAATTGGGGGGATGCCCAGCAGAAAGACATGAGGAGGCTGGCCTGGGGCGTGGGGGGGTGTGAAAGGTTAAGTGGGGGCATTATCCTGCTCCCGCTCCTGCCGGCTGTATCTGGTCAGCCTGGGCACCGAGGTGGGGTTCTGGAAGGCACTGTTCACCAAAATGCTTATCTGGGTCCCCCAGAGAGCTTGCCTGCCTGGACTGTCGGCTCGCCTGCAACTGCTGACTCCTAAGCTTTTGCAGCTCAGCCCACAACCAGTTCCTATTCACAGAGGTGGGAGCTGAGGGGTGACAAGTGACTGCTGCAGTCTTATTTGTCATAGAGAAAAAGTGACAGAGTCCAGCTTGCCCACTGGCCCTGCCAGCTTAACTGGTTATAAAGTGACAAATCCCCAAGACCCACAGGGCTCTGCACAACCTGGGCCCTCCTGCCAGTGGCGGCGAGGGCAGGTGGCTCACGGCTGGGTGCCTGTCTGGGCAGGAGCTGGGCTGGTATGGGGTGGGCCTGCGGCCCTGCCCCCCTGTGCAGATCAAGACTCAGGGTGCTGGTGTTCACAGGTGCCCTCATCAGCCACGAGAAGCTGCTGCTACAGATCAACCCCGAGCGGGAGCTGGGGAGCATGAGCTACAAACTCGGCCAGGTCAGTCTCGCGCCCCCGCCGCCTGGCCTCTGTCCGTTTCTGTCCTCAGACTTTGGCGCTTGACACACCCAGGAGAAAAGCTCAGTGCACTTTTTAAATGAAAGGAAGTTTTCCTTTTTTTTAAAAAAAAATTTAATGTTCATTGTTTTTATCTGTTTTATTCCTAGGTCCCGCAAGCAGAGGAAGCATTAGTTTTGTTTTTATTTATGTTCTGTATTCCAGAAAGTAGTTAAGAGACCTCACATGTAGCGATAGAGATGTGTGTAAGAGACAGTGAGAGGGCGTGACTTGGACTTAAGCAAGGACCGTGAGACACAAAAAGGGGGGTGAGGACAGAGTGGAGTCAGCTGAAATGCTCAGGAGGAAGTAGACGCCATGAAGGGCCATGGTATGGGGGGCCGCAGGCGTGGCCGTGAGTGTCCCTGGGGCCAGCTCTTGGGGGGCTCCCTGAGTGTCCCTGTCCCTGTGGCCAGTTCTGGGTGGGAGCCCCGTGTGCAGGCAGACAGCTCGGCCACTTCCTAGCAGGTCACATTGGTCTGTGCTTCTGTTTCCTCCTCAGATAAGTGAAGGGATTCAAGGGTCTGGGTGTGGTGGCTAACACCTGTAATCTATAACATTTTAGGAGGCTGAGGCAGGAGGCTTACCTGAGCTCAGGAGGTTGAGGCTGCAGTGAGCCATGATTGCACCACTGCACTCCAGCCTGGGCAACAGACCAGTACTCTGTCCCTTAAAAAAAAATGTAAACAGAAACGTAGGGCCATTTGCATATGATGGCACATGGCGTGGAGCCCTACAGGTGTATGCTGGGCGGGGCCCGGCTGTGCTGGCCGACTTGCACCTTTCCCTCCACCCCGGTGCTGTGTCTTTCGCTCACCGGGTTCCTGATTTAGTGAAAGCAGTTGTGCAGGACAGTTCTCTTTGTAGCTTTTGTTTCTGTGGAAATGGGTCAGAATATGGTGTTTAGAAACACTTATGAGCTCTGAGAGTTTCCTCTTCTGAGTTCCTGGCCTGCAGCCTTCACAGCAGAAACCCTGTGATGTCACAAGCCTGTTTCTGTTCCCTGCTCTCTGCCTGTACTGTCCTGTTTTGTGCCTGCCGGTTTCAGTGACAGGAAGCAGGGAGCTACTGGACCAGCCTGTATTTTTCTAGACATAGTTGGAAAAAGAAGTCCCACTCTTCTGTCCTTTCACCTTTGACAGATGTTTCCACCCCAAGATAAGTGAAAATGACCAATAGGATGCACTGTATTTTTCATGAAAGTGTTTCTGAAGGGCAGGCTGAGAGTGAGAGGCCTGGGGCTCACTGGGTGCCTCTGGCCTTGTCCTGGGCCCAGGGACACTGGTCTGTGCCCGAGGTATTCCCTATCCCCCCAACCCCGCTGCATTTGGCCACATCCTTCAATGTTTGCGTTGTGTCCAGCGTCCGCAAACCAACTGTCATGGGATCATACTGGGGCTGAAGTACGGTCCCACCCCTGCCCTGTCTGGGGCTGAAGTACAGTGCCACCCCTGCCCTGTCTGGGGCTGAAGGACAGTGCCACCCCTGCCCTGTCTGGGGCTGAAGTACAGTGCCACCCCTGCCCTGTCTGGGGCTGAAGGACAGTGCCACCCCTTCCCTGTCTGGGGCTGAAGGACAGTGCCACCCCTGCCCTGTCTGGGGCTGAAGGACAGTGCCACCCCTGCCCTGTCTGGGGCTGAAGGACAGTGCCACCCCTGCCCTGTCTGGGGCTGAAGGACAGTGCCACCCCTGCCCTGTCTGGGGCTGAAGGACAGTGCCACCCCTGCCCTGTCTGGGGCTGAAGGACAGTGCCACCCCTGCCCTGTCTGGGGCTGAAGGACAGTGCCACCCCTGCCCTGTCTGGGGCTGAAGGACAGTGCCACCCCTGCCCTGTCTGGGGCTGAAGGACAGTGCCACCCCTGCCCTGTCTGGGGCTGAAGGACAGTGCCACCCCTGCCCTGTCTGGGGCTGAAGGACAGTGCCACCCCTGCCCTGTCTGGGGCTGAAGGACAGTGCCACCCCTGCCCTGTCTGGGGCTGAAGGACAGTGCCACCCCTGCCCTGTCTGGGGCTGAAGGACAGTGCCACCCCTGCCCTGTCTGGGATGTTTAGCCCCTAGATGCCACTGGACTGAGCCGCTACTTGCTTTTGGGAAAGAGGGGTGGGGGTTAGGGGTCTGGGCGAGGGGAGTGCAGGGGCTCCTCCTTGGCCTGAGAGCTGTTCATACAGACTCCTCGCCCACTCCCTGCAGGGTGCTGGGTCCCAGGGGGGAAATGGCCCTTGGTGCCAAGAACGTGAGTTGGGGCTAGTGCCAGTGATGATGGAGAACAGCTTTTTATGGGCACACAGCCCACAGCACTGTGCCAAGTGCTCGAGGCTTCCCGAGAACCAGGCAGAAAGGAGGACAGTCGAGGTGTGCTGACTGCGTGGTGGCTGCGTGATCTAGAGCGCGGGTCACAAAGGCGCGAGGGAGCTCTGGCCTTGGGTTTACCGCAATGACTGCCAGTGCGGGAGACTGGAAAAGGAATCTCACGTATTGGTTCCGTGTTTTGGGGACTCCATTCAGATGTCACTTAGGAGTGAAAGCATCCCTTCGTAGAGCCTCTTTCTGTGTCACCCTCCTCAGCTGCTCCTGGGGTTGACTGGCCCCTGATTCATGCCTTTAGCATGTGCTGGAGCTTCCCAGCAGCTGTCCAGCCCCTGCCCCACCCTCTCTGTGGGCTCCCTTGCCCGTAACCTGGGGTGTCTGAACGACCCTTGCTAAGGGGCAGACTGTTAGACGGTAGGCATGTGCTGAGTCCCAGTGGCCACACCCACCCACCAGGAGCCTGGCACTGTGGCCGCAGCACTGAGCAGTGCCCCGTTTCTGTGGCAGGTGTCCATACACTCCGTGTGGCTGGGGAACAGCATCACACCCCTGAGGGAGGAGGAATGGGACGAGGAAGAGGAGGAGGAGGCCGACGCCCCTGCACCTTCGTCACCACCCACGTCTCCAGTCAACTCCAGGTTTTCCAATGGCCTTTTTCTTTTTAACAGAAATTTGAAATTTCTTATCAGTCATTTGATTTGTTTGAGGTGCTTCTTGAAATGAGCCTCTCATCTCATGTACTTGGAAAATACCCATCTCGCATATTCCACAGGAAACACCGGGCTGGAGTTGACATCCACTCCTGTTCGCAGTTTTTGCTTGAGTTGTACAGCCGCTGGATCCTGCCGTCCAGCTCAGCCAGGAGGACCCCGGCCATCCTGATCAGTGAGGTGGTCAGATCCGTAAGTGAGCCTTCCCATTCCCCTCACACCTGCACGTGCCACACGCACCACACACGCCACACACCCCACACACACACACCGCCCACACACATGCCACTTGCACACACACCCCTCATGCATGCAACACACACACAGGCCACACGCACCATAGACACCACACACACATGCCACATGCACACACATACACGGCATGCACCATACACACAACACACACAGCACACATGCCACACACACACGCCACACCACATGCACCACACACATGCCACATGCACACACACTCCACATGCATGCACCACACACACACACACACACCACACACACCACATGCACCACACCACACAGGTTACATGCACACAACACACACATGCCACGTGCACACACCCCACACACCACATGTATGTGCCACACACAGCACACAACCACACACATGCACCACACACATGCCACATGTGCATGCACCAGACACATGGCACACACTACACACACGCCACGTGCACACACCCCACACACATGTACGCACCACACACATGCCACACACACATGCACCACACACATGCCACATGTACACACATGTATATACACACCCCACACCACACACACACCACTTGCACACCACGCACACACACCACATGCGCACACACACACCACATACGCCACATGTACACACCATACACACACCATACATGCACCACGTGTACCACGCACCCACACAGACACAGCACACGCATACACCACACACACACGCACACATGCGTCCCGCACAGTAATGTCTCTTGGGTGTAAGAACACGACTTGCCAGTAGTAGCGTTCTGGATGCGTTGCCTGGATTCTAACAGCGCGATTCTCCCCTTGCCCTCCTGGTTTTCCACATCTCCAGCTTCTAGTGGTCTCAGACTTGTTCACCGAGCGCAACCAGTTTGAGCTGATGTATGTGACGCTGACAGAACTGCGAAGGGTGCACCCTTCAGAAGACGAGATCCTCGCTCAGTACCTGGTGCCTGCCACCTGCAAGGCAGCTGCCGTCCTTGGGATGGTAAGTGACAGGTGGCACAGAGGTTTCTGTGCTGAAGCCACGGGGGCCCATCTGCCTTGGGACCTGGTGTTGGCCAGAGGTGCCGGGTGCGGCTGCCTCCTTCCAAGAGTTGACCCGAACCGGACTCCACGGCCCACGTGAGCTGCAGTGCTTCTCAGATGGAGGGGGTTCAGCGACGGTCAGTGCCATTCACAGGTCACTGTGATGTGGGTTGTGGCGGCCAAGCCATGGTTTGGGGTCCCGTATCCCTGGGCTTATGACATCATTGTAGTAGCCCATCCCCACAGAACCACGGTGTGTGGTGGCGCTGAGGCATCGTAGATGGTGGAAATGCTACTGGCTTCCCCATGCTCTGCCCTGAGGCCTGACTGCCTCACTCCCCTTCTCAGTTATGTTCCAGGCCCCCCGAGCTTCCTGGCTGGACAGCTTCTCTCCTGGGGGCCGTTTTGTCACAGTGACCCTGTGTTTCTAGTCCCAAATCTGGGTGCTATAGTCTCTTTTTAGCGTGGTGGTTGTCTTAGTCTTTTTTGGCTGCTACCACAAGTTACCTTAGACTGGGTAATTTATAAACAGTGGAAATTTACTTCTCACCGTTCTGGGGGCTGGAAGTTTTCATGGTCAAGGTGCCAGCAGATTTGGTGTGTGATGAGGGCTGCTCTCTGCTTCATAGATGGCATCTTCTGGCTGGGTCCTCACGGTGGAAGGAGTGAACAAGCTCCCTCAGGCCTTTTAGAAGGGCCCCAATCCACAAGGGCTCTCCCATCATGACCTCATCACCTCCCAAGGCCCCACCTTCTTGTACTGTGGCACTGCAAATTAGGTGTCAGTGTAGGAGTTTCAGGAGGGATAGAAACATTCAGACCATCCCAGCGGTCAAGTGTTCATCCTCTTGAGTTCCTCCTTATTCTGCTTCTGGTTTATCAGGATTCAGCCAGTGCAGCATGGTACCTGTATTCTGTGGCACATCACCACATGGTATTTGCCAAGTATCCATCACCTGCACACGTGAAATCATTGCCCGTGGGTCCCGACATCTGGCGAAGCATATTCAAGGATGGCAGAACTGTCAGAGCTGGCACCTCTGGTTCCTTGTCATGTGGCATTACCTAGTAATCCATTTTATGATAGCAATGGAAACTCATTTCTTCAACAAACACCTGAGTGGCTGCCGTGTGCCAGCCGTCTGGGGCCCTTGGTGAGAATGGCATGGTGGTGCCCATCAGGGCCTGCCTAGCCCGTGCTCTGGACGGGCTCCTGTGTGTCAGGAACGACAATGCTGTCATGACGGTGAATGATTTTTTTTTTTGCCATCACTCCAGCCGCTAACATTTGCGGAGCTCTTCCTCCCGCACCCCCACCTGACAAGGCCAAGGGTGACCTTGGCCCCACCCTAGGCGGCCAAGGTCAGAGGTTAGCTGGCTTGTCTGGGTCACACAAAATGCAG
This sequence comes from Homo sapiens, assembly GCF_000001405.40. NCBI lineage: Eukaryota > Metazoa > Chordata > Mammalia > Primates > Hominidae > Homo > Homo sapiens. The sequence continues at coordinate 3,231,487 of NC_000004.12, forward strand.
CAGAGGTTGAGGTGAGCACATGTCCGTGACCTGGAGCCTGACTCCCTCTCTGCGAGTCTTGACTGCTCTTGCCTAGACTCTGTCCTCCCCGAGCCCAAACGCCAGTCATCTTCCCTTGTGGGTGTCCTTCAGCCTGGTGCCATGCTGGTGACTCAGCAGCCGTCCAGGGAGTGGAAACAATTGAGTGTGTGGGTTCCCTGTGTGGGCATCTCTCTTCACGGCGAACACCCTCTGGGTGTTGCCCACACGATGTCAAAGCGGCTCTTGGAAGGGGTCCTTCTCCTTTGTGGGAAGTTTCAGCTGCTGGGCTAACTTGAATTGTAACTGTGGTTTTGTGCTCAGGCCCAGATCCCCCTAGGCAAGTGTTGTGCCATCAGTAATCAAATGAGAAATAATCATTTTGAAAAGCAGATCCTAAGGCAGGATGGTCATGGACACTCACTCCCAGCTCTTTGTGCACTCATGCTTTCTGGAAGATGGCCATCCTCTGTGAAGGTTTTCAGCGCGTCATGCTTGGTACCCACGTATCCAGAGCATGTCGTTTTGAGGTATTTGCCCACCGTTGTGAAATCCGTGCCACCCGAGAGCAGGTCCTGATGTGGGGCTTTCAGAAGTGGGACCTGGGGCCGTACGCAGTCCTTAGGGAGGGGCCGTGTGGCGTTGTGCGTGTGAGGGGATAGCACAGGGTGAGGTGGGGGCCCAAGAAGGAAGTGACCCACAAAGAACAGCCTCCTCTTTTGGTCCTTGTTCCTGGGATGGCTGGGAGTGGCTTCTGTGTCGTCCGGCCATTTCCCCTGCGGAGAGGCTCCTACCACTGCCGAGAACCTCATCATTCCACAAAAACAAGAGGCCGCCTGGCCATCCAGCGCTCCATGGGAATTCTGTGTCCCCATAGTCTTGGGCTGAAGGAGGGTGACATTCCTTGCTGACTTCTGCAGGGGTCTCCTCACTGTTAAAGAGCAGATTGAAAGTGAAGAACGTGGGCTAAGTGTTTAGGTCGATATTTAACCCTGCTAGGTTTTGGATACTAAGTGAAATTGAGGCCATTTTGGTTGAAGTTGACAGAAACCACTATCAGGGATCCCCAAGACTACCCCAGGCTTTTCTAGAAAGACTCTCAGCTAAGATGTGTTATGGTAAAAGCACACAAAACAAAATCAGCAAAGAAAATTAGCAAGGGCAGAGGCCCATGGGGCGATGTCCCGAGGACACCAGGCTTGAGCTTCCAGAATCCTCTCCCAGCGGGGTCGTGCAGGACGCACTTAACTCCCCGCACAGTGAGCCGTGACAGCGCGTGTGCAGTGTCGTCGCCAGGAAAGCACACTAGAGACTCGGTGCCAGGGTTTTTACTGGGGGCTGGGCACATGGGCACCCTCTGCCTGCCTCGTGCCCAGACTCTGGACTCCCGGAGGGAAGGCAAGTTCTCAGCACCAACCCTGGTGCCCACACAAGCAGCTGAGCACAGGGAGCCCCTCCTCAGTGAGGATGGTGGGCACCGTCCCAACACCAGCCAGGGGCCAGCCTTGCACACAGGCCTCTCAGGATGGTCTCCGGCCTGCTGTGTAGTCTCTTCTGCACACAAGCGTGAGGGCAGCGCCCCCGCCTCGGCTGTGGGGAGGAGCCACTGGGACGTGAGCTCTGGTGGCATGCAGCAGCTTTTGTCTGTGTGTGCCTAGGACAAGGCCGTGGCGGAGCCTGTCAGCCGCCTGCTGGAGAGCACGCTCAGGAGCAGCCACCTGCCCAGCAGGGTTGGAGCCCTGCACGGCGTCCTCTATGTGCTGGAGTGCGACCTGCTGGACGACACTGCCAAGCAGCTCATCCCGGTCATCAGCGACTATCTCCTCTCCAACCTGAAAGGGATCGCCCAGTGAGTGGGAGCCTGGCTGGGGCTGGGGCGGGGGTCTCAGAATGAGCTGTGAAGGAAGCAGCATCACCCTCTCCAAGTGCCCAGGCTCCTGGCCAGATGGCAGGCCAGGTATCAGTGGGAACCCAGGTGGGTGCCATGGCTGAGGTCAGTGAGACGCAAGAGCACAGGTGCGTCCTAGAGGCTTCCTCGGGCACCTCCAGCGAGCTGGAGCTCTCGCCTCTGCTGCTGTCTCATGTGGCGCTTAGCACACTCTCCCACGTGCCCATTCCTGACTCTGCTCTCGAGGCCATCGGCTCTCATTCTCTGCTCCCAGAACCCTGTTATTACCCAGGCTAGCCTCCTCTCTGCACCTTCCCCGCCCTGGCCCAGTACCTCCCTCTTGTTTCCACTGTGATTCCGACCTCACCTTATCTTAAAGCTGCTGGACGGCAGGTTCTGTACACACGTGTCCTTGACAAAGCACGGCTGGTGCCGCAACCCCTCAGCGAGCAAGTCAAGCTCTTCACAGCGATGTCTTACAAGCGCAGAGGGCTCTGTGACACCCTGGTCTCACCGCCACTCTTCCAAAGTCGCAGAGGCTTTAGCAGAGATGGGCCCAGCCTCTCTGAGTCATAGGCTTCTGCACACGGGAGCTGTCTTTAGAGGGAGGGTGGAATTTCATCAGCCACCCACATGGGGGAGTTGAGGGCAAGAATTAGGAGCAAAGATGGGAAGGGGTCTGGGAGGAATGGCCAGTGATCCCCTTTGACAAGTGGGCAGGAAACGGGGGCTAGGTCAAAGTTGAGTGGAAGACCTGGAGGGAGACGGGAAGGTCTCTGTAGGCACAGTTCAGACAGGAGGGAGGTGTGAGCCAGGGCACATGCCGGTGGCCGTCTGGCAGGATTTGGGACATGCTGGAGCAGGGACAGCGGCTCATCAGGGGCCATTGCCCTCATCCAGGCCAGAGTGTCACAAGCCCGTGGGGAGGCCCTTCTCGCCTGTCATCCTTGCTGGGCAGTGGGTGCTGTGCTAGCAGGACAGGCGGACGGCTGGCAACTGTCTCTGCATCCCTGGAGCCTGGCATAGGGCCAAGTCACACGGGGCACAGGCCTGCAAATCAGGCACATATGTTGGTGCAGTGACGTGATTTTGGGGGGCAGCCCCAGAACAGGCCCCAGACACAGGCCAAAGCCCTGCCTGTGCTGGTGTGTTGGGCTGTTCTATGGCTCTTGCTGTGGGCATGGAGGACTCAGGGAAGGAGAGTTGAGGTGGTCCAGGAGTTGCGTTTGGGATGCAGAGAGCTTGTGGCATCCAGGTAGAAATGGTGCGTGGGGCTGACCTCAGCACCATGGGCAGAGGGGCCGTGTCACGTGCCTCCGAGGTGGAGGTGGGACCACGTGGTGACAGATATACGCATCACTGGGCACGTTTTTGTGGGTGTTGGGGGGCATCGTATTGGCTCCTCTGTTCACAGTGGCCACTCATTCAGTCCCTGGCTACCAGGTCCTCACTGTGCCATGGGGAAGGCCGGCGCTGTCGGGGGATCACAGAAGGCAGCACGTCATGATGGCATGTGCCATGAAGGAAAAGCACAGGGCACTCAGGAAGTAGAGGGGACTGGCCTGGGGTGTGGGAATCTAGGGCCTCGTTGAGGGACAGAGAGAGGAAGTGTGTGGTGGCCAGCATGGAGGTGGCCACAGGGGAGGCTGAGTTAGGCCGAGAGGGCAGGGCGTTGGGGAGGTAGACGGGCTCAGCCACTCAGGGAGTGGTCAAGCAGAGGCTGAAGGGTCAGGCCAGGTTGCAGGGGCCTGGGGGAGCCACTCAGGGTAGGCGCTCCCGGGAGCCCGCCTGGCCCATAGCTCTACACTCCCGCGTGGGGCCGGACATGCTGTGAAGCCCTCTCCACGTTGGATGGGGGTGGCTGAGCCTGGATGCTGTCTCCCGTTTTCAGCTGCGTGAACATTCACAGCCAGCAGCACGTACTGGTCATGTGTGCCACTGCGTTTTACCTCATTGAGAACTATCCTCTGGACGTAGGGCCGGAATTTTCAGCATCAATAATACAGGTGAGTGGGCCCTGGCTGTCTTCCTCTGCACACGGGGAGTGGGCTTCCCTTCTCTTTTCCTTGCAGGATCATACCAGTGGGCCAGTTTTGACTTGGTCGGGAGGAGGCATGAACACCTGAGACTGTGCAGCGATTCTTTGACACAGAGGCCTTTCTCCCTGTGCAGATGTGTGGGGTGATGCTGTCTGGAAGTGAGGAGTCCACCCCCTCCATCATTTACCACTGTGCCCTCAGAGGCCTGGAGCGCCTCCTGCTCTCTGAGCAGCTCTCCCGCCTGGATGCAGAATCGCTGGTCAAGCTGAGTGTGGACAGAGTGAACGTGCACAGCCCGCACCGGGCCATGGCGGCTCTGGGCCTGATGCTCACCTGCATGTACACAGGTGAGCATGTACACGGTGCCCATAAGGCCAGCCCAAGTCCTGTTCAAGGGAGGCAGGAGCATGCTCACTCAAGGGACCTCGACTAGGTGCCCTCTGATTTCACACTTCTGGTGTTGCCCCAAGCCGGCCCCATCACCTTGCAAGAAAGGCTCTGGAGCCCCCAGGGCTGGAGTACCTGGTCAGGGTTGACCGTCCCTGTGGTCACTCATCCCATGTGGCTGAGCTGGGCTGGGTCCTGGGCAAGCAAGGGGCTGATATCACCTGCTTTCAGATCTCCAGGGACTCACTGGACCCCTGTGTACAAAGCACTGTCTACAGAGCCTATTGGGTTGTATAGAGGTAACCTTCGTACTGAACACTTTTGTTACAGGAAAGGAGAAAGTCAGTCCGGGTAGAACTTCAGACCCTAATCCTGCAGCCCCCGACAGCGAGTCAGTGATTGTTGCTATGGAGCGGGTATCTGTTCTTTTTGATAGGTAAGAAGCGAAGCCCCATCCCTCAGCCGTTAGCTTCCCTAGAACTTTGGCCTGAAGCTGTGCTTTTGTGTGTGTCTGCTGATCCCCTGGCGCTGTTGCTGGAGTCCTGCCAGTGATTCCCCACCACAGCCTGACCATGGGCTGCCTTGGCTCAGGGTTCCACTGGCGAGCTGGTGGTCCTTGGACCCCAGCACTCAGGTGTAGCGTTGACCAGTTCCAAGGTTGTCCCAGTGCCTGCCCATCTCTCCTGAGGGCTCAGGGACAGTACCTGGCAGTTGGGGGTGTGGCAGGGGGCAGGAATGACCAGCCTCTGGGAGGGTGGGGCAGAAGCCTGTACAGTGAGGAGGAGCTGGCTCAGCCTGGCTGCCTATCGTGAGAGGGGAGCCCACGGGGCTGTGGGAGGGGGGCCGTGGTGCCTGTGAGCAGGGTGAGGAGCAGCGGCAGGAGGATGAAGGTGGAACCCACACATGCATCTTTGAGACCCGTGTGGTCAGTGGCTTCTGCCCCCCACCACCCCCCACTGCTGTGCGTGCATAGAATTGGCTTCCCTCACCTGCTCTGGAAGTGGGTTAGGAGCTTGGTAGGGCTTTTTCTCAAGGACAAGGGCCCCTGATTTGCTCTCAGGCCTCAGTCCTGGCGACATGGTGGATCTGGAGCCTTGTTGCACTGCCTTGCCTGTGCTCTCCAATCAGGGTGGCCAGTGGGGAGCCATTTGGCTTTTCTCAAGAGCATACTCAGGTGGACCTTGCTCCACTGTTTGACCAGATGAGGCATTCTGAACAGCCAAGCCTGTGCTGGTCTGTTTTCATGTTGATTTTTTTTTTTCTTTTCTTTTTGAGATGGAGTTTTTCCCTTGTCACCCAGGCTGGAGTGCAATGGTGTGATCTCGGCTCACTGCAACCTCCGCCTCCCGGGTTCAAGTGATTCTCCTGCCTCAGCCTCCCTAGTAGCTGGGATTACAGGCACACACCACCATGCCCAGCTAATTTTTGTGTTTTTAGTAGAGACGGGGTTTCACCGTGTTGGCTGGGCTGGTCTCGAACTCCTGAACTCAAGTGATCCACCCTCCTTGGCCTCCCAAAGTGCTGGGATTGCAGGCGTGAGCCACTGCGCCCGGCCCCCATGTCGATTTTTAAATGCACCTCTGCATCGTTCTTCAGTCCCCATATGCTCACTGAGCACCACTGCGACTGGCAGACGGGCACAGGGAGGCGCCACGACCAGTCCTGGCCTTCAAGGGGCTTGTGGTCTAGTGGGCCCAATGCTAGGTGGCGAGTGCTCCAAAGAGTGTGGTGCACGCCTTCCGCTTGACCGCTCTCCAGACGCCACAGGGAGGCACCTCGCAGCTGACCACAGATTTCTCTCTGTGGAGCAGTGTCTTCAGAGCGGCTGCCATGCCACTGCTGGGCGAGGGTCTGCGGGCGGGTAGAGCCAGGAGCACCTGTGAGGAAGTGCACTGCCATTTTCGTAGCTGCTTCCCGTGTGTCTCAGTTACACACGGCTGGCATGTGTGCACTGATGAGACGGGAACGTGATGGTTGCTTTTCAGCACTGAAAGGGATACTGCTCAGGGGGCGTGTTTCAGGATCTGGTTAGGGAAGAAGCAGCGAGAGCACAGATGGGGCCCTGTGTGGTAACAAGAAAAAAGTCCTGGTTGACAACAGTGCCACGAAGCGTTAGAACACATAGGGATGTTTGTGGAGCATTTGCATGTGGAAAGCAGCAAAAACATAATGGGAACGGGTTCTTTTGTTATGATTTTTAAAAATCTCTTTTGTAACATCCTTCCCGCTGCGCCGTTTCTGCATATTCCTTTATGTAGCTTTCAAACTCCTCTTAGGAGTTCTGGTCCCTACAGGGCGTGGGAGCCCAGGCTTTACGTAGCTTTCAAACTCCTCTTAGGAGTTCTGGTCCCTACAGGGTGTGGGAGCCCAGGGCCTGTGCCGAGCAGCCTGCCTCCACGAGCTAGACAGAGGAAGGGCTGGGGTTTTGCCTTTTTAGTCTCAAAATTCGTACTCCAGTTGCTTAGGCTCTGACTTTCCCCACTTGGAAAGTCCCTCACGGCCGAGGGTCCCTCCCAGCCCTGATTTCACATCGGCATTTTCCCCAGTATTAGAGCCAAGGCCCTCCGCGGGCAGGTGGGGCAGCTGTGGGAGCTGGTGCCAGTCTCTGACCTGCGTCCCTCCTCCCAGGATCAGGAAAGGCTTTCCTTGTGAAGCCAGAGTGGTGGCCAGGATCCTGCCCCAGTTTCTAGACGACTTCTTCCCACCCCAGGACATCATGAACAAAGTCATCGGAGAGTTTCTGTCCAACCAGCAGCCATACCCCCAGTTCATGGCCACCGTGGTGTATAAGGTGAGGTTGCATGTGGGATGGGGATGGAGTGGGAAAGCCTGGAGGTGGAGTTGCCTCCGACTTCCCAGCAGATTCGCCAGCAGAGCCCAGCTCCTCCGCTTTAAAGCAGCAATGCCTCTGGCCCCCACCCCACCCCCGCCACCCAGGCGCAGCAGGTGCTTCCCGTCCCCCCAGCCCTGACACTCAGGCACCTGCTTGCTCCTTGCAGGTGTTTCAGACTCTGCACAGCACCGGGCAGTCGTCCATGGTCCGGGACTGGGTCATGCTGTCCCTCTCCAACTTCACGCAGAGGGCCCCGGTCGCCATGGCCACGTGGAGCCTCTCCTGCTTCTTTGTCAGCGCGTCCACCAGCCCGTGGGTCGCGGCGATGTATCCTCTCTGGGTCCCTGGTGCTGGCCCCGTTTCCCTTGTCAACACCGAGGCTCATGTTTCATGATAAGGTTTTGAAACCTAACCTTTGCAAAAACCCCACAGATGCCAGGGTGACAGGCCCTCAGCCCCAGGGAAGTAAAATGCTGACAGGGGTACAGAAAGGAGCACGTCCAGACATTTGCTGACCAGGGCCTCTCAGAGGGGCCGGTGTATGGCAGGAGGGTCGCAGCTGAGGGGCCTTTCTGTGGAGGGCCTGGGTGAGGGGAGCGAGGGTGGGCGGTGGTCTCTGCAGACGTCCCGCCCACTCGCGGGCTCTGTGTGGCTGGGCTTCTCCTGACACTGCTTCTCATTAGCTTTGGTCATTGTGCCTCGATCGCCCTCTCGGGGAAAGGCTTAAGTAAAGATCCAGTTCCCACCCCCAGATGCTGGCTGCCAGGAGTTTCCCTTTCCACAGCCCTTCCCCAAGACAGACCACAAGAGCCTCCAAGCAGCACAGTTGTCCTGGTGCTGACAGCACAGCCTTGCCCGGCGTGCCTGGCACGGCTCTGCCCTCACTGCATTGGAGCAGGGCTAGTGGAGGCCAGCGGAAGCACCGGCCACCAGCGCTGCACAGGAGCCAGGCCAGGTGAGTGCTGCCGAGTGGGTGCCCTGCCTGCAGGGCATCCAGCCAGCCAAGGGTTGCAGGAATGGAGGTGGAGGCGCTGATGCAGCTGGAGGCATCCAGGTGGCCCTTCCGGGGCTCTGCTCGCTCTCCAGGCTCCCTGGACCCCTTTGTAGACTGTTTCAGGAGAGGAACTCCCAGGTGAGGACAGGGAGGCAGCATTCCCCTCATTTGCCGGCCTTTTTCCTTAACTCCTGCACCAGCCTCCCACATGTCATCAGCAGGATGGGCAAGCTGGAGCAGGTGGACGTGAACCTTTTCTGCCTGGTCGCCACAGACTTCTACAGACACCAGATAGAGGAGGAGCTCGACCGCAGGGCCTTCCAGTCTGTGCTTGAGGTGGTTGCAGCCCCAGGAAGCCCATATCACCGGCTGCTGACTTGTTTACGAAATGTCCACAAGGTCACCACCTGCTGAGCGCCATGGTGGGAGAGACTGTGAGGCGGCAGCTGGGGCCGGAGCCTTTGGAAGTCTGCGCCCTTGTGCCCTGCCTCCACCGAGCCAGCTTGGTCCCTATGGGCTTCCGCACATGCCGCGGGCGGCCAGGCAACGTGCGTGTCTCTGCCATGTGGCAGAAGTGCTCTTTGTGGCAGTGGCCAGGCAGGGAGTGTCTGCAGTCCTGGTGGGGCTGAGCCTGAGGCCTTCCAGAAAGCAGGAGCAGCTGTGCTGCACCCCATGTGGGTGACCAGGTCCTTTCTCCTGATAGTCACCTGCTGGTTGTTGCCAGGTTGCAGCTGCTCTTGCATCTGGGCCAGAAGTCCTCCCTCCTGCAGGCTGGCTGTTGGCCCCTCTGCTGTCCTGCAGTAGAAGGTGCCGTGAGCAGGCTTTGGGAACACTGGCCTGGGTCTCCCTGGTGGGGTGTGCATGCCACGCCCCGTGTCTGGATGCACAGATGCCATGGCCTGTGCTGGGCCAGTGGCTGGGGGTGCTAGACACCCGGCACCATTCTCCCTTCTCTCTTTTCTTCTCAGGATTTAAAATTTAATTATATCAGTAAAGAGATTAATTTTAACGTAACTCTTTCTATGCCCGTGTAAAGTATGTGAATCGCAAGGCCTGTGCTGCATGCGACAGCGTCCGGGGTGGTGGACAGGGCCCCCGGCCACGCTCCCTCTCCTGTAGCCACTGGCATAGCCCTCCTGAGCACCCGCTGACATTTCCGTTGTACATGTTCCTGTTTATGCATTCACAAGGTGACTGGGATGTAGAGAGGCGTTAGTGGGCAGGTGGCCACAGCAGGACTGAGGACAGGCCCCCATTATCCTAGGGGTGCGCTCACCTGCAGCCCCTCCTCCTCGGGCACAGACGACTGTCGTTCTCCACCCACCAGTCAGGGACAGCAGCCTCCCTGTCACTCAGCTGAGAAGGCCAGCCCTCCCTGGCTGTGAGCAGCCTCCACTGTGTCCAGAGACATGGGCCTCCCACTCCTGTTCCTTGCTAGCCCTGGGGTGGCGTCTGCCTAGGAGCTGGCTGGCAGGTGTTGGGACCTGCTGCTCCATGGATGCATGCCCTAAGAGTGTCACTGAGCTGTGTTTTGTCTGAGCCTCTCTCGGTCAACAGCAAAGCTTGGTGTCTTGGCACTGTTAGTGACAGAGCCCAGCATCCCTTCTGCCCCCGTTCCAGCTGACATCTTGCACGGTGACCCCTTTTAGTCAGGAGAGTGCAGATCTGTGCTCATCGGAGACTGCCCCACGGCCCTGTCAGAGCCGCCACTCCTATCCCCAGGCCAGGTCCCTGGACCAGCCTCCTGTTTGCAGGCCCAGAGGAGCCAAGTCATTAAAATGGAAGTGGATTCTGGATGGCCGGGCTGCTGCTGATGTAGGAGCTGGATTTGGGAGCTCTGCTTGCCGACTGGCTGTGAGACGAGGCAGGGGCTCTGCTTCCTCAGCCCTAGAGGCGAGCCAGGCAAGGTTGGCGACTGTCATGTGGCTTGGTTTGGTCATGCCCGTCGATGTTTTGGGTATTGAATGTGGTAAGTGGAGGAAATGTTGGAACTCTGTGCAGGTGCTGCCTTGAGACCCCCAAGCTTCCACCTGTCCCTCTCCTATGTGGCAGCTGGGGAGCAGCTGAGATGTGGACTTGTATGCTGCCCACATACGTGAGGGGGAGCTGAAAGGGAGCCCCTCCTCTGAGCAGCCTCTGCCAGGCCTGTATGAGGCTTTTCCCACCAGCTCCCAACAGAGGCCTCCCCCAGCCAGGACCACCTCGTCCTCGTGGCGGGGCAGCAGGAGCGGTAGAAAGGGGTCCGATGTTTGAGGAGGCCCTTAAGGGAAGCTACTGAATTATAACACGTAAGAAAATCACCATTCCGTATTGGTTGGGGGCTCCTGTTTCTCATCCTAGCTTTTTCCTGGAAAGCCCGCTAGAAGGTTTGGGAACGAGGGGAAAGTTCTCAGAACTGTTGGCTGCTCCCCACCCGCCTCCCGCCTCCCCCGCAGGTTATGTCAGCAGCTCTGAGACAGCAGTATCACAGGCCAGATGTTGTTCCTGGCTAGATGTTTACATTTGTAAGAAATAACACTGTGAATGTAAAACAGAGCCATTCCCTTGGAATGCATATCGCTGGGCTCAACATAGAGTTTGTCTTCCTCTTGTTTACGACGTGATCTAAACCAGTCCTTAGCAAGGGGCTCAGAACACCCCGCTCTGGCAGTAGGTGTCCCCCACCCCCAAAGACCTGCCTGTGTGCTCCGGAGATGAATATGAGCTCATTAGTAAAAATGACTTCACCCACGCATATACATAAAGTATCCATGCATGTGCATATAGACACATCTATAATTTTACACACACACCTCTCAAGACGGAGATGCATGGCCTCTAAGAGTGCCCGTGTCGGTTCTTCCTGGAAGTTGACTTTCCTTAGACCCGCCAGGTCAAGTTAGCCGCGTGACGGACATCCAGGCGTGGGACGTGGTCAGGGCAGGGCTCATTCATTGCCCACTAGGATCCCACTGGCGAAGATGGTCTCCATATCAGCTCTCTGCAGAAGGGAGGAAGACTTTATCATGTTCCTAAAAATCTGTGGCAAGCACCCATCGTATTATCCAAATTTTGTTGCAAATGTGATTAATTTGGTTGTCAAGTTTTGGGGGTGGGCTGTGGGGAGATTGCTTTTGTTTTCCTGCTGGTAATATCGGGAAAGATTTTAATGAAACCAGGGTAGAATTGTTTGGCAATGCACTGAAGCGTGTTTCTTTCCCAAAATGTGCCTCCCTTCCGCTGCGGGCCCAGCTGAGTCTATGTAGGTGATGTTTCCAGCTGCCAAGTGCTCTTTGTTACTGTCCACCCTCATTTCTGCCAGCGCATGTGTCCTTTCAAGGGGAAAATGTGAAGCTGAACCCCCTCCAGACACCCAGAATGTAGCATCTGAGAAGGCCCTGTGCCCTAAAGGACACCCCTCGCCCCCATCTTCATGGAGGGGGTCATTTCAGAGCCCTCGGAGCCAATGAACAGCTCCTCCTCTTGGAGCTGAGATGAGCCCCACGTGGAGCTCGGGACGGATAGTAGACAGCAATAACTCGGTGTGTGGCCGCCTGGCAGGTGGAACTTCCTCCCGTTGCGGGGTGGAGTGAGGTTAGTTCTGTGTGTCTGGTGGGTGGAGTCAGGCTTCTCTTGCTACCTGTGAGCATCCTTCCCAGCAGACATCCTCATCGGGCTTTGTCCCTCCCCCGCTTCCTCCCTCTGCGGGGAGGACCCGGGACCACAGCTGCTGGCCAGGGTAGACTTGGAGCTGTCCTCCAGAGGGGTCACGTGTAGGAGTGAGAAGAAGGAAGATCTTGAGAGCTGCTGAGGGACCTTGGAGAGCTCAGGATGGCTCAGACGAGGACACTCGCTTGCCGGGCCTGGGCCTCCTGGGAAGGAGGGAGCTGCTCAGAATGCCGCATGACAACTGAAGGCAACCTGGAAGGTTCAGGGGCCGCTCTTCCCCCATGTGCCTGTCACGCTCTGGTGCAGTCAAAGGAACGCCTTCCCCTCAGTTGTTTCTAAGAGCAGAGTCTCCCGCTGCAATCTGGGTGGTAACTGCCAGCCTTGGAGGATCGTGGCCAACGTGGACCTGCCTACGGAGGGTGGGCTCTGACCCAAGTGGGGCCTCCTTGTCCAGGTCTCACTGCTTTGCACCGTGGTCAGAGGGACTGTCAGCTGAGCTTGAGCTCCCCTGGAGCCAGCAGGGCTGTGATGGGCGAGTCCCGGAGCCCCACCCAGACCTGAATGCTTCTGAGAGCAAAGGGAAGGACTGACGAGAGATGTATATTTAATTTTTTAACTGCTGCAAACATTGTACATCCAAATTAAAGGAAAAAAATGGAAACCATCAGTTGTTGCTGTGTGAGGCTTGCTTTGCTTCATGAGAACCTAGACCTTGCTGAGCTGGAGTCTTAGGAAGCAGTCTCCTAAGTGCTTCTCCAGCAGGGGCAGAAACTGTCCCACCAGCTAACATCTGGCATTATGGAGGGTCCCCCAGGCAGCTGCCAGCAGGGACAGGCCCCGTGTTTTCTGTAGCCAGGGATGAGGAAGTGGCCCCAGGGCATGGGCCTGGCTGGGTGCTTCTGCAAGGGCCTTCCCAAACCACAGTACAGGTGGTCTTCCTGCCCTGCAGATGGGAGCTGTGGGAGCTGCTGGAGCTGCTGGAGCCTTCATGGTCAAGTGACATCATAAGCTTATATGACATACACAAGCCTCAGGACTTGGCCCATGGCACTGAAGCAGGTCATCAGGCCCAGCACAGAGACTAGAGCTGTGTTCTCACAGGGCCCACCACCCTTCCACCTCCTTGGCCATTGACACCTGCGTCCCTGGCCCAGCTGCTCCCAGGTAACCCCCAAAGCAGCTGGCACATCCCACCTCTGGTGTGGCCGGGGCTGCTGTGTGTCCGCAGGGCCTGCCCCGTCTATTCTAGCTTGTTTGTCCTGTCTGAACCAGCGCCTACTCCAAGAAGCCTCTGCTCAGCCCAGCGGGGATGCTTCTAAGCTCCGGACGAGCCTCTCGGAAGCCTTGGTGATTGGTGGTGTAGTCATCTTGGGATGCAGATGTCTTACCAACCTGCAAGAACAAAAACCCTGTGGCTTCCTCTGGTGCAGGGTATTTAGTCAATGTTTGCTGAGGTCCCGTCTGGTTCTGGCTAATTGGCAGGGGTCGTCCACCCATTCTTTCCCTGCTCTGCTGTCTGTGCCAGGAGAGACGGGGGCCAGTCGGCCAAGGGGCCAGCTCCTGCTGCCTGCTCCTCTTGGGCACGTGCGGGGGCCCCCTTTCTCTGAGCAGGGATAGGGATCAGTCTGCCGGAGGGATGTGGTGGACAGGCCTAAAGCATTTGGGGCGGGGCATGCCACTTGAGCTCCCTAAATCTGTCTCCTCATAGGTGACACCGCTCCAGGGCCCCCCAGTGGCCTCTCCTTTCAGAGCTACCTAAATTCTGGTCACTTCAGAGAAATGGAGCACCCCCTTCTCCCTGGTCCAGGTGTGGACAGCCTGGCACACTGAGCACACCTGGCATGGCTGGTAATTTCAGAAAGAAGAGGGGCCGGGGTCCAGTGGGAAGCAGCGGTGAACCCCTCGTGAGTGGGCTTTGCAGTCCCTCCCCATGCCACGGCAGAGCTGCCCTCAACACAGCCTTCCTCTTCCTCATCGGAGAGCACACCCTGTCCCCTTGCCGAGCTGTGCCCTGTGCCTTCGGTGGTATTTGATTTTGGCTGCTACTGGCTTTGTTGGGATCTGGAAGTCGCTTCCCCTGCGTGGTGCGTGGAGCACTGTAAGTCAGATGAGGGAAGTAGCCAGGGTGAGGTGAGTACCGGGTGGAGCCGCCACTGAAGGGACTGGGTAGGGGGGCCTTGCCTCTACATGATGTGACACAGCCAACCGAGGACAGAGGAAGCCCCGTTCCTGGGGGTGTGGGGTGCACCCCTCAGGGAAGCCTGCAGTGGGGCCTGAGGAAAGGCATCCTCCGCGAGCCCACGAGTCTGGTCCATGAGCACCGTGACAGTGTCTGTGGGTAGAGGTGGACCCGGCCTTGTGTCATCACCAGGACCTCTTTTGGGAAACCATGTGGACATCGCTTGCGGGTCCCCCAGGCTCTGCAGCCCCAGCAGCCTGGCTGCCTTTTGGGCAAGTGGCTTGAGCCACAGAGGACCCAGTCCTGTTGCAGCCACATCCTCTGGGGGGGCCCGCCAGTGTGGCCGGCTTTCTCCACCCTACACCAGGCCTCCAGGTGTCCTGGTCGGGGGTGTCTGGGCCCTGGGTGGGCCCTGTGGACCTGTGAGGTCAGGGTCAGGGCATCACTGGAGGCAGAGGGCTGAAGTTGTGGGTCTGGGTTCCCCTTGTGTGCACAGGCCCCTGCCCTCCATGCTTGGTCAGGCAGCTACCCCCAAAACTGCTAGGACAGGCTGGTCCTGAGGTGGATCCTGGCCCCTGTACCCTCTGGACAGCCCACCCGCCCAACCTTCTACCCTGCCCCAGCGGCGGCAGTGTTGGCCACATCCTTCCCCTCCTGGCCCCAATTGCTCTGGGGAAGTCCAGGCTCCGGAGCCTGCCCAGGGGCCCCCCGTGATTTGGGCCCAGGACTCCACGTGGTTCTCTGCCTTCACCCAAGCCCTGAACTCCTCAGCTGCCAAATCCCCACCCATCTGCACAGGCTGTGCTCACCACTGCTGCTCCTGGAAGGTGCCCCTCAGTGGGACGCCCACCTCCTCTCTGGGCTTCTGTGTTTGGGAGCCCTGCTGCCCCCACCCTTGGTCAGTCCCCATGTCCTGCTGGCCTGTCAGGCAGGGCAGAAAATCCACCCAGAAATGCTGAGCAGGATGAGAGTCTAGTTGGGCCCAGCCTCATTATTTAGAAGGGATGGAGGCCTAGGGAGCATGCTTCTAGCCTGAGCCCAGCAGGGCCCCGCCCATGTCCCAGGTCTGCACCAGGGACAGCTCCTGCCGAGGCCTGACCTGCCCCTTCTCCCTCAGGTGCTGCTGGTTGACCAGCCTCTGGCCCTAGGAGACCCCGTAGCGACTGAGGGTCCCAGCAGGCCATGCAGCTTTGCCAAGGTACGAGCCCCTCCCCAGCAGGGGACAGATGTGGGGACCCTCCCAGGCAGGAGCAGCTGGGTGCCTGGTGCTGCCATCTGCTGCCTGCCTGGTTCTTGTCCTCACATTGGAGGTCAGTGTGAGGGCTCTGCCTCGGGAAAGGCCATGGAGCTTGCCCTGTCCAGGGCCTCCCATGTGCACTGAGCCTGGGAAGAGAGGGTTGGAGTTGAGCCTTTTACCCTGGGAATGCTGCCTGGAGGATGGTGCGGGTGTGGGGTGGCACCCTGCCAGGCAGGGCCCTGCCTCCCTGCGCCCACTGGAACTCGGGCAGGCAGGGGTGTAGGTGCCTCCTCTAGAGCCGTCCGGTGGGGGCCCCCGGCAGTGGTGGTGGTGTCCACTGGCCAGCAGCTGCCCCTTCAGCCAGGACAGTAGGCCTGACGCTGTCCCCAGCAGCTCCAAGGTGGATTTGTGGAAGGGGGTAGAGGGCACGTAGAGGCCCCATGACCTCCCCAGGGTTCTGGGAGGGCTGTGCCCCCTTAGCCAGCACCATGCTGGGTGATATAGTCAGATCCTGTTACCCCTGTTGTGGAGGTGAGGAAACAGGTTAGTGGGGAGGACATGACTAAGGTCCATGCTGAGTCGCTAGAGCTGCACCCAGAACCACTGCTGGGACCCCATGCCTTTCTGCTTACCCCTTGTGCCGGGAGATGCCAAGAGATGCTGGGAGCCAGCCCCACCTCTGCCCTTGGAGTCATGGCTACGGAAAGGGCATTCGGACCGGTCCCTGACCTCACCGGGGAGGGCCGAACCCTGTTCCTGAGGAGCCAGGGCTTCCTAGAGGAGGTAGGCCTTCTAGTCACTCCTTCATCTGCAGGCACTCCACAGAGCTCTCTGTGCCAGCCCCCAGCACGGAGGGCTGACCTTAGTCGAGTGGAGATGCCCCAGTGCCAGGCAGTAGGGATGATGTCTCCTGAGGCCCAGATGGAAGGGACTGGACTAGTCTCATGGGGCTGATGGTGGGGCCAGGCCTTGACCAGGGACCCAGTGTAGGGGGTGCAGAGACCCCTCTGAGTTCCTCACACATCCCTGGGGCCCTCCCCATACACTTCCTATCCTGACTGCGGGCAAGAGGGAGCCCCAGTTCGCCTTCCCTATGCTGGGCACCCACAGTGGGGCTGGGCACCCCCGCCATGCCCCTGCCCTGTCCTTCCCCTGAGAGCCTCGGTCCCACCTCCAAGGTGCCTCAGAGGACAGCAGGGGCAGCGGGCAGAGGCCGAGATGCCTCCTCATTCCAGGCTCAGCTGCCCTTCTTGGGGCAGCCCACACCTGAGAGTCTCCTGCAGTTGGTCAGGCCTGAGGAGGGCAGGGGGGTGCCTGCTGTCCCTCTGCTGACCACAGTGGCATTTAGCCTGGGCACCGCGCCCAGCACAGTCCATGCTGCACAGGTGCCGTGGGCTCCACAGAGCCCTGCCTGACATGCATGTGTTACGTTTCGGGTGCCGATGCCCTTGGGCGGCACTTCTCCGGGCAGAACCCCCAGGCCACCGCTCCGGTTCCGGTTCCGCTGCATCTGGGGCTCTCGGCAGGCTGTGGTCCTCCGGCCAGCCTGGGGGCATCTCAGTCCCTCAGCCCCACAGGGGCCTGCCCCGCAGCCTGGGCCTCGAGCCCCGTCTCCGCACGCTGTGCCGAATCTGGCTGCCCATCAGCTCCCTGCGTACCCAGACTGTGCCCTGCCATGCCCGTGGCTCTTCCCAGGAGTGCCCTGTGGCCTCCCCCTGGCTTGCTGGGCTGATTCCCTCCTGTGTCTCAAACAGAGCTCACCTTTGCCATCACTGCTGTCCTCACCGGCCGGTGCCAGAGGCCCGTGTCTGTGTACCCTGTGTCTGCACCTCTGGGCAGGGCCTGGCTCTGACCAACCCGGGCTTCCAGTGTCCACAGACCTAAGGCCCAGGGCGCCTGGGGGCTGGAGCAAGAGAAGCAAAAGGAGCCAAGGGTGGGGGTTTGGGGTTCTTGTGAGGGCCCAGCCCCAGGACCCCAGGACCAGGACACCCAGGAGCCCCAGGGCCCAGCCCCAGTTCAGAAGGCAGGGGCCTTCTGAGGGAGCTTAAGGGTCCCACAGCCCAGGACCCCCACCAGGGCCAGTGGCCAGCGTTGGGGGACTCAGCCTCCTCGTCGCTCGTCCTCTCTGTTTCTCCCACCTTTTGCCCCCTTTCTCCTTGCCTGTTCCCACCCGAGGCCCCCTCTTGGCCTGCGTGAGCCGGGGCGGCACTGAACTGGGGGCCGATCCGCCTGGGCGGCGGTGAGAGGCAGGGCCGGGAGCCGGGCCGCTGGGTTTGGGCCTGGCCCGCTCGCCGCAATATTGATGGCCCGTCAGTGCAGCCCTGATTCCTGTGCTTTCAGTTAAAAGGTTTCTGTTGTTGTAGCTTATGCAGTTGCTCTGTTGCTATGGAAACGTGACATCAAAATGACGTTTCCCGTTTAAAAGCTTTTAACTAAATTCCTGCCTGTCAGATGTAGGCCCCATTTTGAGCGTGGAGCTGCCTTCGAGCGAGCGTGAGCGGCGCCTCCCGCCCATGGTGCGTGGGGCCGGGCCGGGGCCCTCGCTGAGCGCGCTCTCTCACCCCACAGGCGCCTCCGGCATGGCGGCGGCCGAGGGGCCCGGCTACCTCGTGTCTCCCCAGGCGGAGAAGCACCGGCGGGCCCGCAACTGGACGGACGCCGAGATGCGCGGCCTCATGCTGGTCTGGGAGGAGTTCTTCGACGAGCTCAAGCAGACCAAGCGCAACGCCAAGGTGTACGAGAAGATGGCCAGCAAGCTCTTCGAGATGACCGGCGAGCGCAGGCTGGGCGAGGAGATCAAGATCAAGATCACCAACATGACCTTCCAGTACAGGTGGGCGAGCGGGCAGTGTGGGCCCCACCAGGACGGGCGGGCCCGGGCGTGGCGGGCCGCTCCTGACTTTCTTGGAGCTCTGAGTCGGGACGATGTGTGGGTCGTGGCCTGCCTGTCGGTCTCCTCTGGCCGGGTATGGGCAGAACCCCACGGGGTGAGACGGGGCCCACGGAAACCGTGTGTGCAGCCTTCCATTGGGGAAGTGGGGAAACTGAGGCCCAGCAAGGGCAGGAAACCAGTCTAAGAGCTGAGGGGTAGCAGGGGTGGGGCTGGTGCTGGGCAGAGGCCAGGATGGCTCCCAGGACGTATGGGCGGTCTGGGCACTGTCCCTCGGAGGCAGCAACACTCATGGTGGTGCCCACTGACCTCACACCCTGCTCCCCCATAGGGAGGCGGCGGCTGCCAGTGCCCTCCCCACCACCAAGCTCCCAAGCTCAGCAGGGGTTTCAGGGGCCTACTGCGTCATTGGGGAAATTGAGACTGCAAGTGAGAAGGAGGCTCAGTGCTCTGCGACTTGGAGCATCCACTGAGCCTCTGCCATGAGCCGGTGAGCCCCACTGGGGCTGGCCCTAGGGTCACGGTGGGGTATTTCCAGAAATCACCAGGTGAGGTGCAGGACCAGCCAGCGCATGGGTGGGGCTTACGGTGCGAAGAAGAAAGAGGTGGAGGCCTGCCCTGGCCCAGGACTCCCAGCGTGGGGGCTCCCGGCCTGGCCCCACCTCTGCTCCTGCTACATGGCAGGTGGGCCCTTCCTGCCCTGGCAACCTGCAGGGAAGGCCGGAGGGGACCACCCAGCCAGGGAGATGTTGGCGTCTAGGAGGGGACAGGTGTGGTCCCACACACCCAGCATCTTAAAGTGCGTGGGTCCCCAGCCCATTAGGACAGGGTCCCGGGTGGGCAGGGGTCATGGTGGGGTGAAGGTCTCAGGCACAGGCAAGGTCACAGGTGCGGTGAGGGTCTTGCAGGGTGTGAAGGTCATAGGTGTGCGGTGAAGGTCACAGGTGTGGGGTGATGGTTTTGGGTGTGGGGAGGGTCTTGCACGGAGCGAGGGTGGCAGCAAGAGCTGGAAGCTGCAGGGGGAGAATGGCAGCAGAGAGCACCCGGCCCTGTGGGCGGCCTGGACAGGGCTGGGCCTGGGGCTGCCGGAGAGCCTGTCAGCTTCCAGGATGGGAGTGGCCTCACTCAGCTGCTCCACCTCCGGGTCAGGCAGGTGAGCCTGGGGCAGAGAGGCTGAGAGCACCTGAGCCACTTGTGGGAGAGGCCACCCCCACTGCCCCCCTCAGGCGAGGAGCCGGCCTCCAGCACAGCAGAAGGGAACCCCCAGTCCCCAGCCCTAGTGGGAGTGGGGAAGAGGCCCAGCAAGGCCCCGGACAGACCGCCAGCCTGTGAGGTCTCCGCTTTCAGTTGCGTTGATTTGATTTTTTCTGAGCCTTGAAGGAGGGGTCCGGGGCCTGGCCCTGCCCAAAGGCCCCTAGGCAGGCCCCAAAGCCGGGACCTAGGGTGCTGAGCATGACGGATGTTGGGTTTGAGCGGCTGGCTTGCGACGTGAGGGCTGAGGTGTGAGCCTGGGTATCTTCAGAGGTTCGGTGGACACAGGCAGCTGCCCGCGGCCCCACTGTTCCCGTGGCCTCCTAGTCCTGCTCAGGCACCTGGTGAGGAAGGGACGCAGAGGGCAGTGGGAGGTGGCCACGACTGTTCCAGCAGGCTCCCCTCTGACTCAGGAATTCACGGGCACCACCTCCCTGGCTGGCTCTGGTTGGTGTCTGGCCAGGTTATTCATTATTTATGCTGAAAGCCTCTTCAGAGTCCCAGGGGAGGGTTTCTGTCTCCATTCCTGGAGGCTGAGAGATGAGGGTGCAGCAGAGTGGGGGCCTCCACTCCAGACCCTGCAGTCTGGGCTGGCCAAGGGCTGCACCGGTGCACTGCACGTCATGGCTGATGAAGCACTTCCACACCGCAGCCCCTCAGAGCTGCCACAGTCAGCCTTAGTTCACCGAGGGGGAAGCTGAGGCCCAGAGCATGAGAGGGACTTGCCCAGGGCCACATAGTCCTTAGCAGAGGAAGCTGTGGCTGGGTGACTCGATCTTTGTCCTTTTTCTTTATACCCGCAGTCTCCCCATAGCAGAGGCTTTTCTTTTTTTTTTCTTTTTCTTTTTTTTTTTTTTACAAGAACTCTTTATATATTAAGGCTGTTGGGCTGAAGAAGCCTGAGAGGGTGGCTGGTTCTGTGGAGCATGGTTTGTTGAAGTACAGTTTGGGGGCCTCCTACACTGAGAATAGGCCTTTTCTCGTTTCTCCAAAGAGTGGGCTGGCTCAAGTAGGGCAGAGAGAGAAGCCTGGGGCAGAGGTTAGGGATGGGCACCCAGCGCCTGCCCTCACACGCTCTGTGCTGGTGTCTTCACAGCCACGTGCCACCCTGGGCAGCATCCCCTGCTCACCATCTGGCTGTGCCTGTTTGCTGGGGGCACCTCATTCAGAATCCAGCTTATTGTTTCCAACGGCCAATGGCCACACCCTGGCAGGTAGCAAGAGTAGGAGAGAGGAGACACCCACTCCGAGCACAGGTTGGGTTTGGAGCCCGGCCTTGGGGCACTCTGTCACTCAAAGGCAGAGTGGGGAGTGGGCACTGGGCCTTAGGAGGTACTGGGTCCAGTGAGGCAGAGATGCCCCTGCCCCACCCCCACCTTGTGGCTTCTTCCCTGGCCTGGCCAGAGCTGTCTGGCCGCCATGGGGCCCTGTGTCTCCTGCCTTGACCTCCCAGAGGGCAGCCGAGGCCCAGGGGAGGCCTGGGGACTTAGCCTCTCAGGGCAGGACCTGTCTGCAGGAGTAGGTGGGTGCTGGGGGTCCCAGTGGTAATGAGGCATCAGGCAGTGTGGGAAGGGGCCCATCCGGCCCACCCCAGGGCCTCTGGGCAGGTTGCAGGTTGTAGCGCTGGATCTAGGCTCCTGCCCAGACTGTAGGTTCAACCAAGAATGGCATGGGAGCCCAGCCTGCTGTTTGCTTTATTAAATCTGCCCTGTAGCTGGGGGAGGGGCTTACTTTGATCATCACTATGTCATTGATATAAAAATAGAGGCTCAGAGAGGTGAATGAACCTGCCCAAAGTCACACAGCAAAGTGTGGAGATGAGATACTGACTCAGGGCTGTGGACACTGAAGCCTGTGCTCTAACGCCAGTGGCTGTCGCTCCCTGAGGCATTCTCTCCCGAACAACACAGTTATTATATTACAAAATATTATCACTATATTTATATATCTTATAATACCTTATTATTACAATAAAACCTTATTACTCTACCTTTCAAAATGAATTATTTAAAAAGCAGTATTTGCTCATTGCAGAGAGTCTAGAAACTATAGAAAAGCAAGGGAAAAGCAATAGGACCAGCCCCAAGGTCCCAGCATGCACAGATAACCTTAGTAATACTGGGACGTGTGCTTCCTTTTTAACATCTGAGCCCGTGTAGGTCCTGAAGCCCAGCTTCTTTCTAAGTCCATTGTCATCTTGACCCTGGAGCCTGGCCGATTTTGCTGGGGAGGCCCTTGCCAGCCGAGAGCGGCTCCTGCCTGTGCCGGCGTGGCGCGCCCCTCTGCTGAGGCTGGGCAGGACAGGGGCTGGGCCAGCTCTGTTTCTCACCCTTGGCTCTTGTGTCTCTCGTTTCAGGAAATTAAAATGCATGACAGATAGCGAGTCCGCCCCGCCCGACTGGCCCTATTACCTAGCCATTGATGGGATTCTGGCCAAGGTCCCCGAGTCCTGTGATGGCAAACTGCCGGACAGCCAGCCGCCGGGGCCCTCCACGTCCCAGACCGAGGCGTCCCTGTCGCCGCCCGCTAAGTCCACCCCTCTGTACTTCCCGTATAACCAGTGCTCCTACGAAGGCCGCTTCGAGGATGATCGCTCCGACAGCTCCTCCAGCTTACTGTCCCTTAAGTTCAGGTAGTGTGTCTGCTTGTCCTTCCCCTGCCCTGGGGTATCTCAGCCCCCACCATTTAGAGAAAGGGACTGGGAGTGGCAAGGCCGGCGGCGGCGGCCACAGTGGTTGCAGAGGCCGTGGCTGCGGGCAGCGCCTCCAGGGACAGGCGGCCTCAGACCAGGGAGGGCTTTAGTGTCCACAGGCAGACCGAGTTTGTCTCCCAGCTCCATCACTTTTGAGCTGCACGGAAAGTTCCTTGACTTCTCTGGCCTCAGTCTCCCTCCTATAAAATGGGGGTAAATCAGTACCTTTCTCAGAGGGTGGCTGGGAGCATCACAGGAGAGAAGACGCAGCATGGGGCCCGGCACACGGAGGGAGACCAAGCCCCAGACCCCAGAATGCGCCCCCTGGCCTCCCTTAGCCCACACAGACCCCACCCTCACAGGCTAGCTGCCCTCTCAGCACTGGGGAGGGTGTCGGGCTGCACCTCATCACGTGTTGCCGTGGGCATGACCCGTCCCCTCTGCCATCCATCCCACACCTCAGACCCGTCCCGTGCTGGCCACGTGACTGTGCCTGCAAGATGCTCACAGGGCAGCCGGGAGCCAGGCAGCATGCAGGACAGACACCTGCGGGGTGGGCCTGGGGAGCCCAGAGAAGGTGCTTTTGAGGAGGGGACATTTGGGGTGGGCTTTCAAGGTAAAATAGAAGTTGGCCATTTGGAGGCAAGAACAGGAAGATTGTGGATTTGAGTCACAGCTTCTCCCCTGCCCTGGTCTTCAAGTCTTTCTGACAGGAGGTGTCAGAAAAGTATCTTTAGTAGAGAAGGCGTCTCCGAGGAGGGTCCCTCTCATGCCGGGGGCCGCTGCTTGACTCAGGATTTCTCATTGAAGACCTGAGACAAAAACGCTTTTGCTGGCAGCTAGAAGGAACCAGCAGGAGGCCTGAGATTTGTGGCTGTTGTTCCCGTGGACTGAGCCCAGTTCTCAGACTCAGCTGCCTGGGGCCTTGCACAGGACTGGGGCGTGGGGGCTGCCCTCCCTGATCAGGCCCAAAGCGCGGATCTCACGCCCCTGAGGTTGGCTGTACCCTCTCAGCTCAGAGCAGAGTGTGGGCCAGGGATGAGCAGGCACTGGAGCAGGGCCCTGGGGTCTGTGGGTTTTGGCAGCTCCCTGCCCTTCAGGGAGGTCTGCTGAGACCACGGGTGGCCCCTACCCCAGCAGCAGAGCTCTCAGGAGGCGCCCACAGGGCTGGACTGCCTTTACTCACCACCTCTACCAGAGCTCTGAGGTCCTGGGGAGAGAGCCCAGGCCTCTTGTGGGCCCCACACCCTCTAGGTGCCTGTCCTTCTGCCTCTCTACCAAGGTGTGCCGGCCCCATTTCTAGGCCGCCGGGAGATAAGGGGGCTCACATCTCAGGCCCTTCCTTCTGGGACCTCAGTTTCCCCATCTGCCTAAGGCCGGGTGGGGCTGGTGGTCTTGGCTTCCCTACAGGGGTCCTGAGTACTCTGCACTACCCAGCACCCCCCACCCCTGCCTTCATCTCTCCCTGGGGGTGGTCTCTCCACCCCTGGCCCCCAACTGGGGCTGAGCCCCCACCTGCCCAGTTTGGTGGGTGAAGGGTGCTCCCTGGCAGGATATGCCCCTCTGCAGCCCAGAACATCCCACCCTTTCCAGACCGAAGGGGTGTGGATTGTCCTGGGACCCTGGTCATTGGGGTCATCCGCTAGTCGCAAAGGACGGCAATGCCTGTGGCCTCTCTTTCTTTCTTTTTCTTTTTTTTTTTTTTTGAGACGGAGTCTCGCTCTTGTGCAGAGAGCAGTGGCGCGATCTTGGCTCACTGCAACCTCCGCCTCGTGGGTTCAAGCGATTCTCCTGCCTCAGCCTCCCGAGTAGCTGGGATTACAGGCACCCGCCACAACGCCTGGCTAATTTTTGTATTTTTAGTAGAGATGGGGTTTCACCATGTTGGCCAGGCTGGTCTTGAACTCCTGACCTCAGGTGATCCACCTGCCTCTGCCTCCCAAAGTGCTGGGATTACAGGCATAAGCCTCCACACCCGGCCACCCCTGTTACTTTCTGTCAAAGGCGGTGGGTTCTGGCCCCTCCTTTGCACATGGAATATGAGACCCTGAGTAAGTGACCTGACTCCCTGGGGCCTCAGTTTCCCCATTTGCCCAGTAGGATTGTCGGGAGGGTCCGGTGAGGCCCCTGGTGTGCCCAGGCTCTGTGGCCAGCACGTCCACAGCCGGCACTGTCCTTCCAGGTCGGAGGAGCGGCCGGTGAAGAAGCGCAAGGTGCAGAGCTGCCACCTGCAGAAGAAGCAGCTGCGGCTGCTGGAGGCCATGGTGGAGGAGCAGCGCCGGCTGAGCCGCGCCGTGGAGGAGACCTGCCGCGAGGTGCGCCGCGTGCTGGACCAGCAGCACATCCTGCAGGTGCAGAGCCTGCAGCTGCAGGAGCGCATGATGAGTCTGCTGGAGAGGATCATCACCAAGTCCAGCGTCTAGGCCAGCAGGCGGCGGCGGCGGCGGGGCCGGGCGGCTGGTGGTACTGCTCAGGCCACCCAGGGCAGGCCACTCAGGCCAGGCGGGCAAGGGGGCCGCCCCGCGAGCGGAGACCGCCTTCCACCTGGCCTCTGGCAGGATGTCCCTTCTGAGGGGTATTTTGAGGAACCCCCAGGCCCTGGGGACCGTGAGGCTCCAGTCTCCAGCATGAATGCCCTTCCTCGGACACAGGCCAGGGCCTCTGGGGTTCACTCCGAGTAAGAACGTCCTAGAGCCACTCTCCAGTGTCGTTACTATCAATGATACTTGACGTGGCTTTGATATTAAACGTATACTTTTTCATTCTTGCCTGGAACGCACAGTTTGCTGTTGCTGGCTTGGTGAGGATGCCCTGATTGATGGATCCCGAAAATGAAAGCAGATGGAAACGGGTTGGGGCAGGCTGGAGCTGGGGGAGCTCTCTCCTGAAGGGAACCCTGTGTCCTCCCTCACCAGGACCTCTGCGTCTCTCCTTAAATGGCCTCTGACGCCTGATGAAAACCCCAGCGACCTTCCAGGAGGCTTTTATTCAGCTCTGTTTGGAGCATCAGGTGTTTCCACTGCCTCCTTAGCAATGACACTAATAAAAGTCGTAACACCTGTTCACATGCACAGCCCTGTTGAGTGTTCTGGGTGCTGGAGATATCATGGTGGATGACACAAAGGCCCTGGCCTCTTGGAGCTTATGCTCCCATGCGGGGAAGACACATGGGTCAGTAGAGAAATGGTTGCAGGTTGTGATAAGTGCTGGAAGGGAGGGGTTGGCCTGAGGACACGGAGGCAGACATACGTGGAGCTGGGAACAGTGGCCACACAGGGAACGGCCAGTGCGAAGGCCCAGAGGCAGAGGACACTGGAGCAAGCCCAGGAGCAGCTAGGAGGCTGGTGGCCAGCAGCCAGGCCACGGAAGCCCGTGCAGCCCGTGGGGAGGAGTGTTCATGCTTTTCAAGCTTAGTGGGAGTCTTTTGGCCAGTGCAGCTCTGGGTCTGACATCGGTGGGGGACAGAGGGGTGGTGGAGCGGCCACAGCTGCAAGCTCACCTCACTGCCGGCCCTTCCACCAGTTTCAAACTCTTTCTAGAAGCTCCAGCTTTCCCAAAGCTGAATTCTCTATGAGCCTCCTTGGCCGGGACTCGGGCGTCTGGTTGCCCTGGCTGCAAAGGAGGCTGGGGCCAGGTGTGTTTGAGTCACCTCCTGGAATTAGGCAAGTTGCTGCCCAAATAGAAGGTTGTTGGCAGGTGGGTCAGCAGGTGAACAGCATGGTTTGACTCAGGGTTCAGAAAAATCTCCCTCTGGCTGCCAAGCGAGCAGGCCGTGGAGACAGGTGCAGAGGCAGGTGTGGCAGCAGGCATCCTGCCAGGCAGTGCTGCAGTCATCCTGCGACAAGCAGCAGCAGCTCATCCTACCCTCTAGGGGGTCTTGAGGTCAGCCAGGCAAGAGAGCAGCTTGGACTCCACTGGGTGTGGGACCAGCCTGTGGACCATGGTGGTGTGGAGGGTGCCCTCGGCCTGCCTGTGTGAAGGAGAGGCCGGCGTGTTCTGTGGAGCCCAAAGGGGAGCTGGGCAAGCAGGATTCACTTCACTCTGAGGGTCCTGGAGCTCCCACCCTCCTCAGCCATCTCCCCAGAGCCTGTGTGCCGAGGACTCGGCCCATGTTGCTGTGGGATGAGAGGCAGAGTGTCGTGAGGGTGTAAGGAGCGGCGGCAGTGGTGGGAGGAGGGAGCAGCAGCCAGCGCTACGGTGCCAGTTTCCAGCTGCCAGATGACGCCGCTGACCCTGTGGTTGAGAAGAGATGCACAGAGCCAGCTCTTGCAAGCCAGTGTGGCTGCCATAGCACCTGCCGAGAAGCAGAAGGAAGGGTGGCCCCAGGAGGACAGAGGATGCGGGCACATCTGATGCGGGCCTGAGTTTTGGGAGCTTTTGCTCTAGCCAGTTTCCAGCTCCGGGACCCACCCGCCTCGTAGGCAAGACACCACCCAAGAAATCATTTGCTTAACAAACACACTGGGCTCCAACTGGACACCTGTGCCACCCTAGATGCTGGGAACCCAGCCATGACACAGGCACCTGCCCCCAGCTGCTGACCACTGAGGCTGGCTAGCAGCTCCCATGGGGCCAGTGTGGGGTTCCCCAGCCTCCTAACAGGGAGCCAGTCACAAGCCCTCGAGAGGGAAGGGTGCCCGCGGCCCTGGCAGGAAGGTTAGGCTGGACGCTCCCACAAGACATAACAGATGGAGGTTCTAAATGATGTAGCAACTTCTTCACCCTGAAACTGCTGTAGAGTCAGCCATGACGCACCGGTACTTCAGTAACTGCCAGGCATCCGGGACAGCACACCGCGAGTCGCTGCTGTGCTTGGGTTAGAAGTGGTTTGGTCTGTTTTCTTCTCGCCCTCTCTAATCAGAGTCAGTGATTCATGCCCTTCCATCACCTTAGAGAAGGGGCAGGCGCTGCCCGACCTTCTCCAGGCTGGAGCAGCATCGCCTCATGTCAGCAGAACTCAGCTGTAGAATATCGTGGGGTTGGTGCCTTTCATCAGCAGCATGTCCTTAACAACTTTCTGATTTCTTCCTTAGTTGTTGGTCCATTAAGGAGAAAAAAAATGATCTCAGCCATTGCTAAAATATTTGATAAGATTCAGCAAAGCAGCATGTTAACATTGAAAACTAGAATCAGGAGCCAGGCAGATGTGCTTGCTTTTCACCTGTAGTATTTCATGTTGTTTTGACGTTTTTAGCTAATGCATTAAGATAAATAAACAAAAGCCGGGCACGGTGGTTCACGCCTGTAATCCCAGCACTTTGGGAGGCTGAGGCGGGAGGATCCTCTGAGGTCAGGAGTTCAAGACCAGCCTGACCAACATGGAGAAACCTCGTCATTACTAAAAATACAAAATTAGCTGGGCGTGGTGGTGCATGCCTGTAATCCCAGCTACTTGGGAGGCTGAGGCAGGAGAATCGCTTGAACCCGGGAGGCGGAGGTTGCAGTGAGCTGAGATTGCACCACTGCACTCCAGCCTGGGTGACAGTGAAACTCGGTCTCAAAAAAAAAAAAAAATTAAAAAAAGATAAATAAAATAAGCAGGATAAGAAATGAAGAAAGTAGAGTTACCTTTGTTTTCAGATTTCATTTTTGTATACCCAGAAAGCCAAATGTACAAAAGACTGGGAGCTCTTTAAACCAGCTTAAACTTGTTGAAAATGAGGATGAAGAAATATCCCATTCAGAGTTGGAATGAATTTAACCCAGAAGGAACAGGACCTCTACTGAAGAGAACTATGCAGTCTTACTGAAAAATCTAAATAATACCTGAGCGCTGGAGAAACTTCGCACACTCCTGAAAGCTCCAAAGTCAATGTCATCATTTTATTAATGTCATTCCAAACATAGTCTCAATAATATCACTTCTTGGTTTTGACATGGACGCGATGATGTTTAAATTCATATGAAAAAAGAACGGGGCCAAAAGTCCAAGGCCAGTCAGCGTGAGAAGACCGCTCGGCCTCCCTCGGAGTCGGGGAGTTGGAACCGCAGACTGAGATCATGTGGCTGCTGGAGGCCAGGACGAACGTCGGGAAATGGAGACTCCTGCGTTGCTGGTGGGATGTGGTGCAGCCGCTTCCAGGAGCAATTTGGTGTCCCGTCCTAAAGCTGAAGAAACGCATTTCCTCTGGTCAGTGCCACTCCTAGACAGGCCACCCTGCGGCAGCCGTCCTCAAACTGGTCTGAGGACCCCTCAACGCTCTTAAAAATCATTAAAAGTGGGCCAGGTGCGGTGGCTCACACCTGTAATCCCAGCACTTTGGGAGGCCAAGACAGGCGGATCACGAGGTCAGGACATTGAGATCATCCTGGCTAACACGGTGAAACCCCGTCTCTACTAAAAATACAAAAAATTAGCCGGGCGTGGTGGCGGGCGCCTGTAGTCCCAGCTACTTGGGAGGCTGAGCCAGGAGAATGGCGTGAACCCAGGAGGTGGAGCTTGCAGTGAGCTGAGATCACTCCACTGCACTCCAGCCTGGGCAGCAGAGCGAGACTCTGTCTCAAAAAAAAATAATAAATAAATAAATAAAAATAAAATAAAATAAAATTCATTAAAAGTGCCAAAGAACTTTTGCTTATGTGAGTTCTAATGACCAATATTAATACACATTAGAATATCTTATTAGAAATTAAACCTGAGACCTTTAGAAAACATGTATTCATTTCAAAATAGCAATAAACCCATGACATATTAACATAAATAACAATTGTATGAAAAATATATTTTCCAAAACAAAAAGTTTTCGGGAGAAGTGTGGCATAGTTTTACATGGTCGTAAATCTCTGGCTTAAGAGAAGCCCACTGGCCTCTCAGCAGGCTCTGGGTCCGTCCACTTTGGGGGTGTTTTGGTTGTGAAGTATAGGAGTGAATGGAGAAGCTCATTCTTACCCAGATGTGTATTTGAAAAGAAAAGGAACATTTTAATAACCTTTGCAAATAATCGGTATATTCTTCCGTGATCCTATTCCAACACTGGACAGGTGGTGGTTTGTTTTTTTTTTTTGGAGACGGAGTCCCGCTCTGTCACTCAGGCTGGAGTGCAGTGGCGCGATTTCAGCTCACTGCAAGCTCCGCCTCCTGGGTTCACTGCAAGCTCTGCCTCCCGGGTTCACGCCATTCTCCTGCCTCAGCCTCCTGAGTAGCTGGGACTACAGGCGCCCGCCACCACACCTGGCTAATTTTTTGTATTTTTAGTAGAGATGGGGTTTCACTGTGTTAGCCAGGATGGTCTCAATCTCCTGACATCGTGATCCACCCGCCTCGGCCTCCCAAAGTGCTGGAATTACAGGTGTTAGCCCGGCCGACAGGTGGTGGTTTTTTACTGGCCGGTTGTGTGTGGAATCTGATACCCTATCAATGAACTTCTACTTCATTTCAGGAGAATCCATTGGTCCGTCTTGTGCTTCAAGGACTCTGTCCATCATGCCTTTGTGACCTCACACGCTGGGCCTTTGGTTCACTAAGTTATGCGGATATTCCAAATGCTGACACAGTTCCTTAATCAGTATTTTAAAATCACTTTTGGCGATATCACCAATCTTAGAAAAGTCTTTCAGTTGGAAAGGTGGTGAACTCATGGTGGTGTCTTTCAGAATTCTGATTTTTGCATGAAAGCTTGAATTTTATCATTGGTAACAAATGCTGTCAGCTATTTTCTTTGAATGAGACAGGCTCACTTTGTTCGTTTTCCAAAAAAAAAAAGTCTGCCAGGACACCCAAGGCTGAACAACCAGAGTTTTTGCACATCCTTTTTTTGAGTAAAAAGTGTGCTCCATACGTGTGTTCCAGATCCAGACGGCAGCTCAGCCCATTGCACACCTGCATTTCCTCAGCGTGGACGTGGGGCAGGCGCGCCTTCCAGTTGCTCGGGCAGGACGTTGAAAAGATGTGGACCCAGGGGTCAAGACCTCACACACTCGACCATTTTCACTCCATCACGGACATTTGGAAGTGACCGGCGTTTCACACTGCAGCTGTGCGGTGCGAAAACCCCTCAGGGCTGCGCCGGGGCTCGGGGCCTGCCTGCGTTCCTGCTCAGGTCTTGCCACATCAGTGCGCATGTCAGCTCCGTGAAGACCCCGTGAAGACCCCGTGATCATCAGACTATGATGAAAGCAGCTGCAACCTCAGGGACCCTTGGTGACCCACAGGCCGAGACCTGAGAACCACTGCCTGAATGCTGGAGCGGGCACACAGGTGACCTGAGCGAGCCTCGTCTGTCCTTGCCCGGTACCCAGAGCTGGCTCACTGGCGATTGGTGGACGCACGGGCGCTGTCACACAAAGGGGCCCTCCGTGTGACTGGGTGGCGTCATCACAGACAGCGTGTGGGAACCGTGCCCCCAAGCGGGCCCAGAGGGACTCCCTGCTGTCTTGTAGGCACTGGGGATAGGGTCAGGTGGAAAGCAGATACAAATCTTTGTCTTTACAGGGTTTCGAGTTGAGGGTGGGGCTAGACCAACAATAAACACGTAAGTGTCTAGTATGTTAGAAGAGAGGTGCTTTCCAGGGAAATAAGGCTGTAGGGGGATTGGAGCCGTGGGGTGAGAGAAAAGGCCTTCAAAAAATGTCATGTGAGCGGATGGAGTGGGAGGGGCGCCCTCACCTGAGCACTGGGAGCTGCACTGTCTAGGTGGGAGCTGGCTCTGAGGGCGAGGTGGGCCTGGACAGGGACACCCTGCTTTCTGCTGGGACAAGAGAGTCCCGGAGCAGGGAGGGTCAGGTGTGGCGTGGAGCCTGGGAGGTGGGTGAGGGGTGCTCAGGAGGCATCCTGGCCTAGGGGAGGATAGAATGGTTGGACTGGCACAGGCCTTGGCTGTTGCCCGGGCATGGGGAAAAACCAGAACCTCTGTGTGCTGGCTTTGCGCTCGTGGCCATCTCCAGGACTCAGAACATGCGAGAGGCACGCAAGGTGGAGCGTGTGGGAGAAGGTGCTGCCTGTGGTTTCAGCCCAAGTTCATCTCAGCTGGGTCCGGAGGGAGAGGGCACCCTACCCCTAGAACACGAGCATCTTACAGTAGAAAAAGCCAGTTGGAAGCCCCTGGGGACCGCCTTACCTTCTAAAATAGAAGCCAAGAACTGACACATCTGTGAGGGACATGACCAGCCAAGCCGTGAACACTGCGCACATGTGAATTCCTGGTACATCCGTGGCTTGTGCAGGGACCACCACAGGCTCCCCTCAGCTCAGGGAAGTGGGACCCCTGCACAGCCCCTGCCCTGCATGCAGCAGTCCACCTGGTGCCTTTCGCTGCCCTCTGTTTATCTCCGCCTTGCTGGGCACTAGCTCAGCTTCACTGCTTTCCGTCAAGGCTAATCTGCTCTCCTGCTCTGCACCACCATGTCCAGACCTTGAGCGCCTCGTCCCCCACAAATGTCATATTTACCCCCTAGAGGACCTAGAGGACAGGAGGGAGTGGGTATGCTGGGTAGCGTGGTAAAACCCACACGTGTCTCAGGTCTGCCCTCCCCGTTGGGGCCAAGTGCCCGACCTTGCACTCCCTAAGAAAGGCTGTGACGTTTGGGGAACGCCTTTGGGGCTGGAGCCACACTTGGGCCTCATTTGGATGTTTTCCCTGATCCTTTTTCCAGGTAGCCCACAGGCTACAGCTGAGGGTGTGCCCAGGGCGAGAGAAGACTCTGCGGGGCTCTGGGCTGCCCTTGCGGCGTGAGCCGTGCACTCCTGCTGCCGGGCGTGCTGGGCAGAGGGGATGTCTGGGGTCTTGGACAGCTCTTCCTAGGAGGTCACGGAGGAAGCCCTGCAGCTTTGGAACTAAGCTACACCAGCACTGGGAAGTTCTCCTTTGGAAACGGTTTTTAGGGTGTGCACCTCTCAGCCTGAGTCCGATCTCACAGAGACTGTGTGAGCTGCTGCTCGCCCTCGTGACCCCCTTCAGCTCATGCCAGCCTGCCTGATCTGCCGCTAAGAACCAGCGCTGGCACAGTGTGCGTCTGTCCCCTGCCCAGGCTTTTCTCGCACAAGTACCTGCTGCTCTGAACCTTGCCATTTTCGGCAATATACCTGCGTTAAAAAGGTTTGCTTCTTGTTAATGCTGGCAGAATGCCCTCCTCCTCTTGAACGGGAGAATCGGATTCCAGTGTGTGGAGGCACAGTCATCTCGTGGGTCCCTTACTGATGGAGAGACTGTTCCAGGCTTTCTCTGCAATAAACCGTGGTGCAGCGGATGTCTCTCTGTGTACTTGTGTACACTAGTGAGTTTTGAAGGATGAGACAAAACACTTATAACTCTAGGGGAAACGAAAAGTTGTACAGGAAAGGGAAAGTCAGGCTACAAATGGCTTACACGTGAGGTCGGGTTGAGATTTACTTTTTTCCACACAGATATCCCGTTGTTACAGCACCGTTTGTAGAAGAGGGTGTCCTGTCGCTATGGAGTGGCTTTGGACTCTTTCTTGAAGATGGATGGCCTGTGGATGTGTCGGGCCCGCTCTGGAGTCTGCATCCTGTCCATTGATAATGATGTCAGTCCTCACGTCAGTACACACTTTCCTGATTACTGTAAGTCTTGAAACCTGGTCTAATAAATCTTTCAACTGTATTGTTCTTTTTAGAAAGTGGATATTTTTAAAGTCTTTAGCATGTCCTCATATTCTTTTTGTTGTGGTGAAATACACTCAATATACAATTTGCAATTTTAATTATTTTATTTATTTATTTATTTTGAGACGGAGTTTTGCTCTTGTCCCCCAGGCTGGAGTGCAGTGGCTCGATCTCAGCTCACTGCAACCTCCGCCCCCCGGGTTCAAGCGATTCTCCTGCCTCAGCCTCCCGAGTAGCTGGGATTACTGGCACGCAGCACCACGCCTGGCAAATTTCTGTATTTTTAGTAGAGACGGGGTTTCACCATGCTGGCCAGGATGGTCTCGAACTCCTGACCTCAAGTGATCCGCCCGCCTTGGCCTCCCAAAGTGCTGGGGTTATAGGCGTGAGCCACCGCGCCCGGCCCATTTTAACGATTTAGAAGAGAACAGTTCAGTGGCATCGAATACATTCACATCGTTATGCAGCCATCACCACCATCCCTCCACAGAATTCTTCTCATCTTGTCAAATGGAAACTCTGTCCCCCTTAAACACAAAGTCCCATTATCTCCCCAACTCCCCAGCCCCGGGCACCCACCACTCTTTCTGTCTGTGCATTTGACTACTCTAGGGACCTCATATAAGTGGAATCACACAATATTTGTCCTTTTGTGCTGCTTATTTCACTCGGCATAATGTCCCATCCATGCTGTAACATGTCAGAGGTTCCTTCCTTCTCAAGGCTGAGTAATATTCCACTGTCTTCCACCACGTTTTGTTTATCCATTCTTTTTTTCTTTTTTTTTTGAGACAAGGTCTCACTCTGTCACCCAGGCTGAATGAAGTGGTGCCATCATAGCTCACTGCAGCCTCGACCCCCCCAGGCTTAGGTGATCCTCCCACCTCAGCCTCCTCAGTAGCTGGGACTACAGGGGCTCGCTGCTACATTCGGTTAATTTTTATATTTTTTGTAGAGACGGGTTTTCGCCATGATGCCCAGGCTTGTCTGGAACTCTTGGGCTCAAGTGATCTGCCCACTTCAGCCTCCCGAAGTGCTGGGGTCACAGGTGTGAGCCACCGTCTCTGGCCTTGATTCATCTTTTGTTGGATACTCGAGTTGCTGTGCCTTTGAGCTAATGTAAGTAGTGCTGTCATGAACATGGGCTGTGTACGAATGTCTCTTAGAGACCCTACGTCCAGTGCTTGTGGGAATACTCAGAAGTGGAATTACTGGGTCGTATGGTAAATCTATATTTAACTTCTTGAGGAATCAGTAGCAAATATTTTTGTACTATTCCTACATACAGAATTTCTGGATCAAAGGAGGATGCATTTAGATTTTTAATAGATTTTGTCAGAATGCCTCCTCAAGATGCTATTTAAATAATTTCAGATCCTAAAAAAGAGAAAAATGTCCCCATTCATGTTATGAACCAATCAAAGCCTTAATACCAAAACCCGATTTTTTAGAAGTACAAAACAGGCCAGATACGGTGGCTCACACCTGAAATCCGAGCACTTTGGGAGACCGAGGTAGGTGAATCGCTTGAGCCCAGGAGTTCGGGACCAGCCTGGGCAACATAGCAAGACCTGTCTCTACAAAAAATACAAAAATTAGCCAGGCGTGGTGGCACATGCCTGTAGTCCTGGCTACTCTGGAGGCTGAGGTGGGAGGATCACCTGAGTCTGGGATGTCAGGGCTGCAGTGAGCTGAGATTGTGTCGTGCACTCCAGCCTAGGTGACAGAGCAAGACATTTTCTCAAACAAAACAAAACAAAACAAAAACAGAAAAGGAGATTTGCCATGTTCTTGTGTGGGTGGATAAGAAGAAAATGCCAAGCTCCCGAGGCAGGATGTAAATGTAATTCCAAGTAGAGCCTGGCACATCTGAACAGTGGAAGCTCAGTGATGAGAATGCATAGACATAGAGGGGAGCAACGCACACCGTGGCTGTCGGAGGCGAGGCTGGGAGGGGAGAGGATCAGAAAAACAAGTAGTGGGTCCTTGGCTTGACTTAAAAGGCTGAACCTGAAAAGGAAAGTGGGATAAAATGATTTTAAGCTTCTTGTGGAAGAAAATAAAGGAAAAGAGGAGCAGCGGCCCCAGGCCGGTTCACTAGGGAGAGAAACCTATGTCAGTTCCCAGCACTCAAAGCCACGTGGCGCTGCCACAGAACAAACAGTGTGGGGCACGCGCGGCCACACGGGGACAGCCCAGCTCGCCACGAGGGTCACCCTCATGTCTAGCGGTGCATAGGTGTGCTGGTGCAAAAAATAAGGACCTGTACAACCTCGCACGTGGCTTTCCATATGGGCTCTTTATTCAAAGTTGGTGTCAGGTGGATTAAAGGCTCATGTAAAAAACGGAGATATTGGCCGGGCGCGGTGGCTCACGCCTGTAATCCCAGCACTTTGGGAGGCGGAGGCGGGTGGATCACGAGGTCAGGAGATCGAGACCATCCTGGCTAACATGGTGAAACCCCGTCTCTACTAAAAATACAAAAAAATTAGCCGGGCGTGGTGGCGGGCGCCTGTAGTCCCAGCTACACGGGAGGCTGAGGCGGGAGAATGGCGTGAACCTGGGAGGCGGAGCTTGCAGTGAGCCGAGATCGCGCCACTGCACTCCAGCCTGGGCGACAAAGCGAGACTCTGTCTCAAAAAAAAAAAAAAAAAAAAAAAAAGTGGAGATATTGGCCGGGCATGATGGCTCAAGCCTGTAATCCCAGCACTTTGGGAGGCCCAGGCAGGTGGATCACCTGAGGTCAGGAGTTCGAGACTAGCCTGACCAACATGGAGAAACCACGTCTCTACTAAAAATACAAAATTAGCCAGGCATGGTGGTACACGCCTGTAATCCCGGCTACTCGGGAGGCTGAGGCAGGAGAATCTCTTGAGCCCAGGAGGTGGAGGTTGCAGGGAGCCAAAGTGGCGCCATTGCACTGGGCAAAAAAGAGTGAAACTCCATCTCAAAAAACAAAACAAACAAACACCAAAGAAATGGAGCTCTTCTAGAGGAAACGTGGAAAGATGCACGCCTCTGCTCTGAGGCCTTTCTGAGTGCATACGGTGAAAATACAGTGTCTAACTTGATTAATATTCCATAAGTTTCTGTATAGCAAAAGGGCTTTAAAAAGGTGAAAGAGGCCGGACCATGGCTCATGCCTGCAATCCTAGCACTTTGGGAGGCTGAGGTGGACAGATCACCTGAGGTCAGGAGTTCGAGACCAGCCTGGCCAACATGGTGAAGCCCCATCTCTACTAAAAATACAAAAATTAGCTGGGTGTGGTGGTGCATGCCTGTAATCCCAGCTACTCCTCGGGAGACTGAGACAGGAGAATCACTTGAACCTGGGAGGCAGAGGTCGCAGTGAGCCGAGATCCCGCCACTGCACTCCAGCCTGGGTGACAAGAGTGAGACTCCATCTCAGAAAAAAAAAAAGGGTGAGATAGCTACCATGGGCGGTAACAACACTTGAGCAGCATGCAGGCTGGACAGTGGTTATTGTGGGCCAGCGTTTGAATGGGGCTGGAAGTGTGCAGCCCCAGCGTCCTGGGAGGAGGGGCCTCCATCCCCACCCCGAGAGCCAGGCAGGGCCTCACCTTCCAGGGCACCCCTTTCTCACCACCCCTTGCCCAGCCCCTCCTTCCAGGGGCCTCTGCTCTTCCTTCTCGAAGCAGGTGCTGTGCCTGAGTGTCCAAGGCCAATTTCTGACGCTACATTCTGGAGTGTTCTACTGACACCATCTGCCAGGACCCACACTTCCAAGAATCCCCACCTGTGTGCTTCTAGAGCAGACAGATGGGGTCAGAGGTGAGGCAGCGGGGATTTGGGAGGCAGGAGGTCAGGGCCATGGTTGGCAGAGGCCACTGATGGTCAGGAGAAGCAAGACAGGGATGCAGGCATCCCGCAGGTGCCGGTTTGTCGGCTCCTCCTGCTGTGTGCAGCCTCCTTCCTGCCGGGCCCTGCTGACCAGCCCTGACCTCAGGCCGCCCTGAGGTGCACAGAGGTCGGCAGCCGGGGCAGCCAGCTGCAGGGATCCAGCAATCTTATCTAGGAGCCTGCAGGGTCCCATGAGACAAGTGAGATACCTGAAGAAGTTCCTGCCAAATCTGGCAAACTGCCTTAAAGGGGCAGGCAGGTAGGCTTTTCCTTTCCATATTGCTTCTTGCGCAAACAGACGAGGTGGAGGAGGTGTCTGGCTCTCCATCGGCCTTCTAGGGCCCTGAGGCAGTCCTGAGGGTGAGGGCCACGCCCACCAGAGCGGAGGGGCCTGAGGGCACTGTGGGCTGTCACCTGGGCCTGGCTGCTTCTGTGGGAGACAGAAATAAAATTCCCAACCATGCCAGCGTTATTTCCACGTTTGAAGCCAAATGCAATTTTTGAGAGGGAATTTAGTGCCCAAAAGGGGAGGGAGTGTTGAAAATGACAGGTTCAACTCCTACAGCATGGCATTGGCTCGTGAGGCTGCTGAATGGGGCGTGGGGAGGAGGTAAGGTTCCACCTGCTGCAGGCTGGAAGGCTGATGTGGTGGGAAACGTGGGGTCACACTGTCACCTGGGCCTCCTGGGCCAGCAGACCACCCACAGGCCGGGAGGGCAGCCTGAGGAGAAAGGCAGGAAAAACCTTCAGAATGTGGTGCCACTGTCAGCAAAGTTCCCCAAGAAGGAGATGGCCTTGGGGCACAGCCAGCGGGCGGGGTGGCAGGAGCTGCAGCTGGGCTAGGGAGCGCTCTCTGCCCGTGGGGTGCTATGAAAGCCGGTGTGATTTTGAGCTCTGCAGGGCTGTCCCCAGGCTGCCGACATTGCAGGAGGGGTCCAGTCCTAGGCACACACCATTGTCACTTCACCAGGCTCCACGGGGCCCCAGATCTGGGGACTGTCCAGTCACCGGACTCTGCGGACACAGAGTCAAATCTGACCCCATCCTGCCTTCAAGCCAGCGTAGATCAGGTCTGGGTACACTGGGCCTGTGGGGGAGGGGCTGTGGGTTGGCCCTCAAGGAGGGGAAGATGGGGGCGGCAGGCAGGGGTGGCGTTGTGGAGGTCCATGAGGAGGGCAGGGCAGCCTGGGAGCCTGGCATTGGTTGTAGATCCTGGCAGCACGGGTGAGTAAGGGAAGGGCCCTGAGGAGGGGAGGGCAGGGCTCAGGTCTTGCTCAGCCCTAGACTGGCTCTGACCCCACACCCAGGGTTGCAACGTGGTGGGGTGAGGTCAGGACCCCACAGCAGCAGGGCCACCCAGGAGGACACAGGGTCCCAGGCTGTGGCCCATGTACCCCATGCCCCAGGCCTGCACAGGGTCTCCAAGTCAGGAGGAAGGAGGCCAGGAGTGGAGCCAGGCACTGGGCTGTGCTGGCTCGGCCCTGCCACGCAGGGTTGTTAGGGGCTGGCTCTGTCCTACTGCTCGGGGTCCAGGTTCTGGGGCTCTGTCCTCTGCGAGCACCTCTCAGCCTCGCACCCCTGGGGAGCGGCTTTGAAACAAGCACAGCTCCCAGGTGCGCCTGGGAACCCTGTTCTCACCTGCGAAAGGGGAGCGGGGAGGGGAAGCACAGGGGCAGCGGGTTCCTCCTGCTCCTCCTCCTGCAGGCACCGCCCCTCCACCCCACAGAGGGCTTCTGCCAGCTTCTAGAACCTTCCCCACAGTGCTGCACTGACCACGTGTTCCTTAGTTCCCCGCAGGGTTAGACTCCTGACTTATTCCCTTGTTTAATCCTCAGCTCAGGGCGGGTGGGGTCTGGAGTCCGGCCTCCCCCAACAGCCCACCTGCTCCCCGCCCGGCCGCCTGGCGCAGAGGCCCTAGTTTGGAGAGCCCATTCACGCTCGGAATTTGGATTCAACCACGGGGCTGACCCCCCACCTCCCTCATTTTCCAAAACGCCTTTGTCTTTTCCTGTTCAAAGAACTTTCAAGAGACTTTCCAAGTTTTGTTCGGGAACAGTGTGGCTCCCCAGGGTGCCAGCTGGCATCTTGTGCAATTATCATTAAATTACAGGGACAATTTTAATTTCATGATAATTAGAAATATCAACTGCCGCTCAGCCTTCGAAACTAATGGAATTTTAATGGGCAGCTGCTTAGGTTACAGCTAAGAATAGCAGCGCTCCACCGAGCGGCTGCAGCAGGGCCCTGAGTGGGCGCCAGCCTCCATGTGGGAGCCGTGCCCAGGGAGCCGGGGCACCTGGTGTGGGCTGCGGGAGGCAGGCCCTGGGTGAACCTTCAGCAGCTGCCTGTAAGGGAGAAAATGGGACCGTCCTGGTCAGGTGGAGGAGACCTGTGTCCTGGACTTTGGACCCCGAGGCCAGCCCATTACCCCTGCAATGCAGCCCCAGGTCCACCTGCCCCACAGCCACAGCCTCAGGGCTTGGAGCTGAGCCTGCGACCTCAGACTGTGCCCTCTGGGGAGCCCACCCACTCTGGGCCTCGGCAGCCTGGGCTGACCAAGACCTTCCACTCTGAGCAAATCTGCAAGCCGGGGGAGCCCCAGGCCCTCAGACGGAAGGCGCCCTCACTCCTTCCTCTTGTCCTTAGAATTACAGTCCAAGGCCCGGAAACAGTCATTCCCCATGTTCTGTCCAGTTTTCCAGTCATTTGAAGCAGGGATGGAGGAGAGGTGAATCCAGAGCTTGTCACTCCATCCTGGTGGAAAGTGGAATTAATGGTGTCTTTCAATTGGGCAGATTTTGCTTTTGATAATATCAAATTTTAGCTAATTTTTTTTATGGCTAAAACATTTTGTGTCCTAAGAAATCTTCACCAAGGCCAGGGAGATATTTTCCCATATTGTATTCTAGAAGCTGTGGTTACATCTGGGTCTCTGTCCATCTCAATTGCTTTGTAGGAAATGAAATGGATATCAGAGCCATTTTTTCCACGTGATTCCCCTGTTATTCCAGAACTGTTTGTTAGAAAGCCTGCCCTTTCCCTATCGCGAGTGTCTGGTGCCTTTGTCAAAAAGCAATTCACAGAACAGGAGGGGGTCTATTATTATTATTATTTTTTTTTTTTTTGAGATGGAGTTTCATTCTTGTCACCCAGGCTGGAGTGCAGTGGCACGATCTCAGCTCGCTGCAACCTCCGTCTCCCAGATTCAAGCAATTCTCCTGCCTCAGCCTCCCAAGTACCTGTGATTACAGGCATCCACCATCATGCCTGGCTAATTTTTTTTTTTTTGCATTTTTAGTAGAGGCGGGGTTTGGCTGCGTTGGCCAGGCTGGTCTTGAACTCCTGACCTCAGGTGAACCTCCCGCCTCGCCTCCCAAAGTGCTGGGATTACAGGCGTGAGGCACCACGCCCGGCCGAGCGGGTCTATTTTGAGACACCATTCGGTCCTGTTGGTCTGTGCGTCTGCATTATCTTGGTTACTGTGCCTTTATAGAAAATCTTCAGGTCACCTAGTGTAAGTCTTCCAAACTTCTTCTTTTCCAAAACTGTTTTTGCTAATCCATATATTTTGCCATTCTGTATAAATTTTAAATCACCTTATTGATTTCTATCCCCAAAAAAGCCTGCTGAAATTTGTATTGAGATGGAATTGAATTCATAGTCCCACTTGATAAGAACTGACATGTTGAAAATATTGTCTTACAATTTATGAACATGGTGTATCTCACCATTTGGAGCTGTCTAATACATCCTTTATTAAATTTATTTATCAGTATATTGATTTTCTAACTTTTTGCTAGTATCTAGAAATACAGTTGATTTTTGTATCTGTAGCCTGCAACCCTGCTCAACTCACTTATTCATCCTAACAGCTTTTTCTTTTGTAATTCTTTAGGACTTTCCATGTTTACAATAACATCTTCTTGATGACAAGCTTCTTATCTGTGTGTGAATAAGGACAAGTTTCTTATCTCTATGTCTTTTATTTCTCTTTCTTGCCTTATTTTCTGGCTATGAGCTCCAGTACAATGTTGAAAAGAAGTTCGGAGAGCAGCACCATTGCCTTAGTCCTGATCTTAGAAAGAAAGTATTCAGTTGTTCGCCAATGAGTATGACATTAGCTGTAGGTCTTCTTTCTTTCTTTCCTTCCTTCCTTCCTTCCTTCCTTCCTTCCTTCCTTCCTTCCTTCCGTGAGATGGAGTCTTGCTCTGTCCCTCGGGCTGGAATGCAGTGACGCGATCTCAGCTCACTGCAAACCTCCACCTCCCAGGTGCAAGTGATTCTCGTGCCTCAGCCTCCCAAGTAGCTAGGATTACAGGTGCCCACCACCATGCCTGACTAATTTTTCTGTTTTTAGTAGAGATGGGATTTCATCATGTCGGCCAGGCTGTTCTCAAACTCCTGACCTCAAGTGATCCACCCGTCTTGACCTCCCAAAGTGTTGGAATTACAGGCGTGAGCCACTGCACCTGGTCAGCTGTAGGTTTTTCATAGGTGCCCTTTATCAAATGAGGAAGTTCCCTTCTAATTTTAGTTTATGTAGAGTTTCTATCATAAGTGGATGTTGAATATTAACAAATGCTATCTGTGCATTCATTAAGATGACCATAAGATTTTTCTCCTTTATTTTTATTAATGTGGTGACTTTGAAGAATTGCTTTTCGAATGTTAAACCCACCTTGCGTTCCTTGGATAAACTGCACTTGTTCATGATGTGCTATTCAATGTAGTAATATTCTGCTAAGGATTTTGTGTCTGTGTTCATGAGGGTCATTGGGCTGTAATTTCTTTTTCTCTTGATGTCCTTGTCAGGTTTTGATATCAGAGTTACATGGGTTTCATACAGTAAGTGCAAGAGTGTTCCATCTTTCTCTTTTTTCTGAAAAAAATTGTGTAAGGATGGTATTATTTCTTCCTTAAATATTTGATCTGTTCCAACACCACATGGTCCTGGGGTTTTATTTCTGAATCAATTTCCTTGTGGAAAACGTTAGCTTTTCCCCAAAATTTTTATTATGAAGAATTTCAGCCACTCAGAAAAATGAATAGAATTGTGTAATGAATAGTCATGCTCATTTCCTAGACTGACATTTTATTATATTTTCCTTATCACATATCTATCCATCTATTTATCATTCTGTCTTATTTTTTGATGCATCCCTTTAAAGTTCTTAATTATATTATTATTATTATTATTTTATTTTATTTTGAGATGGAGTCTCGCTCTGGCGCCCAGGCTGGAGTGCAGTGGCGCGATCTCGGCTCACTGCAGCCTCTGCCTCCTGGGTTCAAGCAATTCTCCTGCCTCAGCCTCCTAAGTAGCTGGGACTACAGGCGTGCGCTACCACGCCCAGCTAATTTTTTTGTATTTTTAGTAGAGACGGGGGTTTCACCCTGTTGGCCAGGATGGTCTTGAACTCCTGACCTTGTGATCGCCTACCTCGACCTCCCAAAGTGCTGGGATTACAGGCATGAGCCATGAAGTTCTTAACTATTAATTCAGTTTCTTTGATTGAAATAGAGCTGTTTAAACTTTCTATTTCCTCTTGTGTAATTTTTTTGCAGTTTTTAAAGGAACTTTAAAATTTTATATCAGTTGTCAAGTGTATTGTTATAAAGTTGCTTGTACTGTTCTCTTACTATCCTTTTATTATTATATCTGTAGGCTCAGTGTGATAGCCTAATGTTTGTAACTTGTATTTTCCCTCTATTTTTCATTAGTCTTACTAAGGGTAGATCAATTTTATTAGTCATTTTGAAAAACCAACTTTTGGTTCTTTTGTCTTTTTCTGCGGTTTGGCTGTTTTCTGTTTCAGTGATTTCCACTCTTATTTTTGTCATTCCCTTCCTTCTATTTACTTTAGGTTTAATTTGCTCTTTATTTTCTAGCTTCTTAATGTGGAAGCTCAGATCATTTATTTCAAACTAGTTTTTAAATATAAACATTTAAAAATTATAAGTATCTCTATAAGAACTTTAGTTATATACTACAAATTTTGATATATTTTGTTTTCTTTACTATTCAGTTAAAAATAATTTTCTAGTTTTCTTTGTGATATCTTGTTTGACCTGAGTTATTTAGAATTATGTTACTTTGTCATCAAAAGTGAATGGTTTTCTAGACATTGTTACTGATTTCTGTTGTTGTCAGAGAATGCATGCTGTATGACTTCAGTCCTTTAGCATTTAATGAGATTTATTTTATGGCCCAGTAAATGTTCTTTCTTGGTAAATGTACCATGTGCTCTTGAAAAGAGTATTTATTCTATAGTTGATGGGTATAGTCTTCTATATGTGTTAATTAGGTTAGATTGTTTTATGGTGTTTTAAAAATCTTTTATGTTCTTTTTTTTTTTTTTTTTTTGAGATGGAGTCTCACACTGTCGCCCACGCTGGAGTGCAGTGGCACGATCTCCGCTCACTGCAAGCTCTGCCTCCCAGGTTCATGCCATTCTCCTGCCTCAGCCTCCCAAGTAGCTGGGACTACAGGCACCCGCCACCACGCCTGGCTAATTTTTTTGTATTTTTAGTAGAGACGAGGTTTCACCATGTTAGCCGGGATGGTCTCGATCTGCTGATCTCGTAATCCGCCCGCCTCAGTCTCCCAAAGTGCTGGGATTACAGGCGTGAGCCACCGCACCCGGCCTTATGTTCTTACTGATTATTTTGTCTGGTTTTCCCAACAATTTATAATAGAATAATGTTAAATATTCAACTATATGGTATGGTCTTATTTCTGATTATTTTTCTTTTTTTAGTTCTTACAATTTTTGCCTCAAATGTTTGAAAATATAGCCACCCGGCTTTCT
Organism: Homo sapiens; assembly: GCF_000001405.40. Classification (NCBI taxonomy): domain Eukaryota; kingdom Metazoa; phylum Chordata; class Mammalia; order Primates; family Hominidae; genus Homo; species Homo sapiens. The sequence continues at coordinate 3,274,774 of NC_000004.12, forward strand.
TATGGTATTTTTCCATGGTATTTCTTTTTTTTTTTTTGTTAATTCTTTTACTTTTAACCTAAACTTGTTTTTATATTTTAAGTGTGTCTCTGTTAAGCAGAATATAGAGAGTTTTGGTTTTTTAATTCAGTCTGACATGCTGTCTTTTAATTGTACTATGTAGCCCATTTGTATTTAAGGTAATTATTGATGTAGTTGGGTTTAAGTCTACCTGTAATCTTGCTAATTGTTTTCAATTGTTTACGTTTGTTGTTTACACTATTGTTTCTCCTTTCATGCCTTTTTTAAAATTTTTATTTATTTATTTATTCTTTTTGAGATGAAGTTTCACTCTTGTCACCCAGGCTGGAGTACGATGGCGTGTTCTCAGCTCACTGCAACCTCTGCCTCTCAGGTTCAAGCGATTCTCCTGCCTCAGCTTCCTGAGTAGCTGGGATTACAGGTGTCCACCACCACACCTGGCTAATTTTTTTGTATTTTTAGTAGAGATGGGGTTTCACCATGTTGGCCAGGCTGGTCTTGAATTCCTGACCTCAGGTGATCCACCTGCCTCGGCCTCCCAAAGTGCTGGGATTACAGGCATGAGCCACTGCACCTGGCCCCTGCCTTCTTTTTGATTGACTTTTTAACATTAAAAAAAAATTATCTCCTCCATTGGGTTTTAATTTACAACAATCTTTGTATTATCTTTTTGAAATTGCTCTAGGGATCCTAATGTATTTCCTTAATTTACCTCAATCTACTTTGAAATCATATTATACTATTTGATATATAATGTAAAAACCTTTCAACTTATAATTCCATTTCCCTCCCATCCTTTGTGCTATTGTTGCATGTAATTTACCTGTATTTATAAGCCTCATGGTACATTGTTAGTATTTTTGCTGTAGGTGTTCAATTGTTGTTTTAAAAAATTAAGAAAGGGAAAACAAGTCTTTTATATATACACACACATTTACCATTTCTTCTGTTCTTCATTTTTTGTGTGTGTGTAGATCCAGGTTTCCCTCTGTCATTACTTCCCTTCAGCCTAAAGAATTTCTTTCAGCATTGTAGTGTGCATCTACCAGCAATGGATTCCTGCAGCTTTTGTTTATCTGAAAACACCTTTATTTTGCTTTCATTTTTTAAGGATGTGTTCACTAGATATAGAAATTCTCAGTTGACAGTCCCTCCTCCCATGCTCCTAGTTCTTTAAAGATGTTCTTTTGTCTTCTGGGCTTCATTGTTTCTAATAAGAACCCTGCCATCATTTTTATTATTGTACTAATGTATGTAATCTATCTTTTTTTCCTCTGGCTGCTTCTAAGATTTTAGTTTTTGTTTTCAACAATTTGTGCCTGGGTGTATTTTCTCTGTACTTGTCCTGCTTGGGATTTATTGAGCTTTGGGGATCTATGAGTGATTTTTTTAAATTCAGTTTGAGAAAATTTTGGCCACAGTTTCTTTAGATTCTCCCCATTTTACCTGTACTCTTTCTCTGGAACTCCAGTTACACATATGTCACCCCACTTGATATTATCACACAGGTCACAGGTGCTCTTTTCATTTTATTCTTTCCATTTTGTGCTCTGTGATTTCGTTTAGATTATTTATGTTGAAATTTTTTTTTTTTTTGCAGTGCACAGAAGCCTCACCAATACATGTTTTATTTCAGATACCATGATAGTGTCATTTTTGGCTTGACTTTCTTTTTGATATTTTATTTAGAGTTTCTACTTATCTTCTAGTATACCCCATCGCTTTATGTTTATGCATCTTTATCGGTACATTTTTTATGTATTCATAATACTTCTTTACATTATGTGTCTGCTAATTTCCATTACTGGATCATCTCGGTCTGCATCTTTTGATTGTGCTTTCTTTTGATTATGGGTCAAACTTTCCTACTTCTTAACATGTCTTATAATTTTTTGTTTCATTCCAGACATTGGATGTAAATAAACAGTGGAAACTCATAGGTCATATTTTGTTCTGTTTTGATTTTGTTATGCATGTTTCCCACATAATGTAAACCCTTTCCTCAGTTTGAGTAAGGGGCTTATCATTCAGATTCCTCTAAAAGTCAAGTCATCCTTGGAGCTGGGCCACAAATTAATTACATTGAGTTTACCCATGTTTAGCCTAACCCTCTACTTCCCATTCCACTGCAGCCTTTTTAGATCTTGTCAGTATTTGAGCTAGGAAGGGTTGAGCTTTAGGTATATTTGGTTCAACTTAGATTTCACTCTGGCACAGCAATGGAATCGCAGCACTGTGACAATGCGGAGGACTAAGTGATTTCTGCCTGCTTCCCAGCCTCTCCTCCATCGCTACTTTCATGGCAAAAATGGAGGCTGGATGGGAGCCAGTAGGCTGGCTGGGCTGAGTGACGCATCGTGTAGGACTGGGCTGCTTTCTCTTCATCCCTGCGGTCTCCCGTTTTGTGGCAGCCTTGCTCCTTCGTCTGCTAACATGCAGACCAGCCTCCTGTTCGGGGATGGAAGCTGCTGTTCTATAGGAAGGGCTGGTCTCTCTTGGGAATTTAGGTCATCAAAATTTCCTTGCATCTACTGGACTAGTAATCTCATAGAAATGTATAATATTGTTTCTGGGTTCTTCTGGTTGTTGCCACGGGAGTGAAAATCTTTTCCATCATTCTATACCCTAGGTGGAAGAAGTCTTGTTTTCTTTCCCTCATTAGGCTTCACATCGAAAGTGCTCAGCTAAGGATAAAAGAAGAATTAATGAACTTGTCTCATTCTTCCTCTCAGGTGGTGCGAATGCCATAGAGTCTCGCATAATGAAATACTGTTTCCTAATAGCACCAGTGTCTACTTGTCTTGTTTTTCTTCATATTTCTATTTGTGATTGTTTCCAGAGCTTCTCACACATGAGCAGAGCAGTCACTACAGGATCGCGTGGCAGTGGAAGAGTATTTTGCAAGACTGGGGTTCTTACCTCTCCTTGCAGGCAGAAAGGGCCAGAACTCACACATCACAGAGTTCCTCACTTTCACACTGGCAGCCAGTGGGCCATTTTATTTAATGAGTCAATTAAATTTTCAAAAATCAAATAAAAACAATTTTAGATTTATTTAGTTTTTTTTTTTTTTTTTTTTTTTTTTTTTTTTTTTGAGACAGAGTCTTGTTCTGTTGCCCAGGCTGGAGAGCAGTGGTGCCATCTCAGCTCACTGCAACCTCTGCCTCTGGGTTCAAGCAATTCTCCTGCCTCAGCCTCCTGAGTAGCTGGGATTACAGGCATGCGCCAGCATGCCCGGCTAATTTTTGTATTTTTAGTAGAGATGGGGTTTCACCATGTTGGTCGGGCTGGTCTTGAACTCTTGACCTCAGATGATCTGCCCCCCTCAGCCTCCCAAAGTGCTGGGATTACAGGGGTGAGCCACCGCATCTGGCTGATTTAGTTAGTTTTTTTTATTTTTAAAAGATTGTCAAGGGGAGGCTGTGGAGGCTGTGATAATGGTGCTATCACAATGGGTAAGGGAAGAGGAAGCCTAGAAGCCACCTTTCGGCCATGTACAGCACAGAGTTTGAATTTGTTGTCAGGAGATGTGGTTTTGAGGATGCCAAGAGTGAGGATGTGCTTTGGAATACCCTGAGGATTATGTTTGATAGTTTCTGCATCTTCCCAAAGATGGGACATCTTGACTCAATGTGTATCATATTTGACCTTATAATCACCCTCAGAACCACAAAAGAATGTCAACTAAATGCTGTTAAAGCAATTAGATTGAATTTATACAGTATTCAAGATGTATTAGAAGAGTTAAAGGAAACAGCAGAATATTCTCAGATAAAAATAAATCATGGTCTTCAGAAGAAAATGAAATTAATTTTAGACATGCTCTGTTCTAGTCATTTGATATGTTAATTTTTATTGGTAACATTTGCAAAGGCTTACCCCCAAAAAAAGGAAAGAAAAGAAGGTTGACTATTTTATGTTTAAAATGTTTAGATATATTTTTTAATTGGAAAATGGCTTTTGTCTACTACAAAGACCTCATGTAAAATAAGCAATAAAAATAGCATTCTAGTAAAATCTAAAGAAATCAGAACAAAGAAATGAAAACATTTGCATGATGATTGATATGGTTTGGCTCTGTGTCCCCACTCAAATCTCATCTCAAATTGTAATCCCCATGTGTCCAGGGAGGGACCCATAATCACCACATGTTGAGGGAGGGAGATGATTGGATCATGGCAGTGGTTTCCCCCATGCTGTTCTCGTGATAGTGAGTGAGTTCTCATGAGATCTGGTGGTTTTATAAGGCAGTTTTCCCTGCTCTTGCTGACTCTCTTGCCTGCCACCATGTGAGATGTGCCTGCTTCCCCTTCCACCATGATTGTAAGTTTCCTGAGGCCTCCCCAGCCATGTGGAACTGTGAGTCAATTAAACTCTTTCCTTTATAAACTACCCAGTCTCAGGGAAGTTCTTTATAGCAGCATGAGAACGGACTGATACCATGATGAAAACAATTCACATGTAAATAATCTTTAATGATTCTATACAGATTATTTTCTGCCATTTTAGATTAAGGAATAATCTCAATTGAAGAGAGATGTGAATAAACTGAGTGATATTCTGGTACTTTAAAAATAATATCTCAGCACTGGCAAATTTGAAAGAAGGGCTTTAGAAATACTGTATGAATCTAGGTGTTGCTTTAAGAGATGGTGAAAATCTTGCTATACATCACAGTGATTTTTGTGATGAAATTTAAGAAGTTTGGGCCAGGCATGGTGGCTCACACCTGTAATCCCAGCTCTTTGGGAGGCCCAGGTGGGTGGATCACTTGAGGGTAGGAGTTCCAAGACCAGCCTGGCCAACATGGTGAAACTCTGTTTCTACTAAAAATACAAAAACTAGCCAGGTGTGGTGGCGGGCACCTGTAATCCTGGCTACTCGGGAGGTTGAGCCAGGAGAATCACTTGAGCCTGGGAAGTGGAGGTTGCAGTGAGTCAAGATTATGCCACTGCACTCCAGCCTGGGCAACAGAGCAAGACCCTGTCTCAAAAAAAAAAAGTAGGGAGTTTGCAATATTTTCTGCGATAACAATAATGTATTATAGGCAGTACCATAATAATGTTAGAATTGATACATAAAATTTGTGGCTCTTTTCCAACGATAAATATTTGCTTGAAAAATTTTATTGACAGTTATGTTTGCTTCTGCTTCATCAGGGAAAAGTTCTTCCAAATTGAAAATAGAACATAAATTATATGGAAATGTAGATTATAACAACATAATTAGAGATTTTGCTGAAATGAATGCAGGAAAAGTTATTTTGGGGAATAAAATATAATCATTTGTGAACAGTGTGTATCCTTCTGCTATTACTCAGGCAGGCACAGCTGACGGTCACTGTTCTGCAGACACAGGCAACAAACATTGTCAGTTTGGATATTTGCTTTTGTGTGGTTATCTGAGAAGCCATAGCTTTAGCTCTGTTTTTCAGTTTTGTTGTTTTAAATGAATTTGTGTCAAGGTGGGTGGATAGAAGACATTTTATTTCACATTTTATTAGCTTTATATTTATTCTATATTTGGGCATGTGTGGCCAGCATTGGAGCTCTTACTCTGGAACCATGAATATTGGGTGGTGCCATGGAAGGGCTGAGGCTGGAATGGATCCTGCCTGGGAACACCGAACCACATAGGATGCCTGGCTGTGTGTGAGCCACAGCTGGAGTCATTCATGTGATCTACCTGTAAAAGTGTAGGAAAGCTGGAGAGATCCACCCATCTCAGGACACTGACATT